>NC_000006.12:166016016-166331091 GCF_000001405.40 Homo sapiens | reverse complement strand
AAGTAGACTTAGTAATTTCTACTTTTTTCCCCACATAATTTGGCTAGAATTTGCATGGTATATAGGAATGCTGTTGCTCTAGAATAAATGATCATTTCACAGTATGTTTTTACAGTGGTGGAGGAGGGGCCCAAAACTTTCATGGGTTGGACTGAAAGAGCTTAGAACGGGTACCGTCTGGTGCGTGCTGTGATCGTCTCTGCTGGGGCTGCTCAGGCTGCCTCCTGTAGGTGGCCAGCGTCCTCTACCCTCCATGGGGTGCAGTCACCCCACCCCACCCCTGGCCTGCAGCCAATGACCGGCCGAAGGGAGGTGGCGTGTGGAAGGCCAGCCTCTGCCTCCAGCAGGACTTGCACTGAGTGCGGATGCACTCGGATGCACTCAGACTCTGGCATCTAGGAGCCTGAGGAATTCGTCCTGCAGAGGCAGAGAGAACAGATAATGAACCTGTGTACTCTTTCCCAGCCTCTGCAGTTTCAGTGTTTTGCCTGGCCTGTTGCATCTGCCCCCTGTGTTTTTTTAATCTTTGTATATTTTATAATATATCTTATATGTCATTTTATCCATATCAGTGTATATCGGCTGTCCCTAACAGATAAGGACTTTTGTGAAACATATTATCAGACTTTGCAAAATTAATGGTTATTCCTCAGCATCATCTGCTACCCAGACCATGGTCATATTACCCTTAACAACCGTGGAATCTTAGTATTCTTGAATGACACTGTGATATGCAAAATAAATGATTCAGACTATGTGTTAAAACTTTGCTTTAATTTAGTATAAAGAATCAGATTGGTAGTGAATTAAGACTATATTCTAAATTTTCCCATTTTTTATTAAGGTCCTGGATGCCTCATCCCTTAGTTTCAACACCAGATTGAAATGGTTTGCCATCTGCTTCGTATGTGGCGTTTTCTTTTCTATTCTTGTGAGTTAAGGCTTTATATTGTTTAATAATTTTTATTTTGTATTAGACTAATAATTCCATTTAGTACCAAAAACTAATGTCCTTTACTAAATCCCTGTTAGACCATTTTGGTGGAAGGTATTTATTAAACTAAAATAAAGGGGTAGAGATCAATGAAAATACGTAGAAATTAGTATTTTGGGGAGTTTTGTGGATAGTTGAAATAATTTAAGAAAAATGTATCAATGTGTTAAAAGATCTGGAGAGTCAGTAATTTAGATGTTTATTACCTTTTCATACTTGGTATTTAGCATGAAAATTTAACTTAAATAGACTGAGATTTACTGGTAAGCACAAAGTTTTGTTATGGCTCATTTATATATGCTAGTGCAAATAGGAAGAAGATTCAAGTTAGTGTATAACATTGAAAATTAACTATTTTTTCTGTGTAATCAGACTAGACTGTCTACAAGCAGATTTGTATTTAAACATATTACATAATATTGGTATTGTATTACTGCAGTAGCACGTTTATATTTTAACCATTAAAATCATAAAATTATTTTAAAATAACTATAATATCTTAACTTAGGGAACTGGATTGCTGTGGCTTCCGGGCGGCATAAAGCTTTTTGCAGTGTTTTATACCCTCGGCAATCTTGCTGCGTTAGCCAGGTACGTTTGGCTTCTCAAAATATCTTGTTTGCTCTTGCTACCAAATTTACCTTTCTAATAAGCACTTTCCCAGTAGGATGTTTATGTAGTTCTGTACATACTGTGAATTCAGCCACAGGATTTACATTCATTAAATAAATATGTATTGACTGCTGCTGTATGCCGTCTCCCATAACAGACGGTATTAGTGCTAGGAATAGCCAGCCTTTGTGGGGCACTTAATGTGTGTCTGGGACTGTTCTAAGTGTTTTGTATGTATTATGACGAGCTTGTGAGGTAGGCAGTATTATCATCCCCGTTTATAACTGGAGATAATAGCACAGAGCAGGGGAGTCAGTGCTGCCCATGGCGATGAACCTAAATCATGGCTGAGGTGGGAATCCTGCAGGCAGTGGGAATCCGGAGGTGGGATCCCACCATGGCTGAGGTGGGAATCCGGAGCCCAGGCTTGGAGCTGCTGCACTCTAGGCTTTGTTCTTGTGGAGCTTACATTTTAATGAAGAAGATGTTCACATGATAAGCCAGAAAAAGATGGGATGGCATTGGTGCTGTGCAGAGAATTAAAACAGGGTGTGGCAGTAGTGACAGAGGGCTACTTTATATTGGGAGTATGAGAATCCCTCTTTGAGAATCTTTGTCGCATCTTTGGGTTGTTGTTTGTCTTAGCCCTTTTTATGCTGCAGTAACAGAATACTGTAGACTGGGCGACTTAGGAAGAATAGAAATTTTTCTCACAGTTGGAGGCCTGAAGTCCAAGGTTAAGGCACATCCATCCTGCTGATAGATGCATCCCCCAAGGGGAAGATCCCTGTGTCCTCCCAGGGCAGAAGAGGAAAGAGCAACCCCCAGGCAGCCTCTCCTCCAAGGGCCTTTGATCCCTTTCAAAGGGAGGAGTTCTCACAGCCTAGTCCGGTCTTCATACTAACACACTGAAGACACTTACATTTTGGAGAAGACACCTTCACACCATAGCATGTCTATTGGTATAGTTGTAAAGTTTCTTTATAAAGTTAAGGAAAAAAAAAATTTTAGTGAGAGATTTTAATTAAATAAAGCAACAGGGCTTCTTTTTTAAAAAAGTAGTTTATTTTTGCATAACCAGATAAATTAGTAGACCTGTACCTCAGTCACTTTATTTGTTTCAAATAGTACATGCTTTTTAATGGGACCTGTGAAGCAACTGAAGAAAATGTTTGAAGCAACAAGATTGCTTGCAACAATTGTTATGCTTGTAAGTAAATAATACATTTTTAAAACTTTTATTGAAGTATTCTTTGCACTGTTATTTTACGAATAATTGCCTGTTATGTATGTATACTTCTTTTTTTATTTTTATTTTTTTTTATTATTATACTTTAAGTTTCAGGGTTGTATGTATACTTCTTGTGTTGAATATAATAATTATATCCGGCCGGGCACGGTGGCTCACGTCTGTAATCCCAGCACTTTGGGGGGCCAAGGTGGGCGGATCACCTGATGGCAGGAGTTCAAGACCAGCCTGACCAATATAATGAAACCCCGTCTCTACTAAAAATACAAAAATTAGCCCGGTGAGGTGGCATGCACCTGTAATCCCAGCTACTTGGGAGGCTGAGACAGAATCACTTGAACCTGGGAGGTGGAGGTTGCAGTGAGCCAAGATCACACCATTGCACTCCAGACTGGCCAACAAGAGTGAAGCTCCATCTAAAAACCAAAAAAAAAATATATCCTATGTGGTTATAGAGTTCAGATGGTACAGTATTGTCTAAGACTACTGGCTGGGTAAAGCCTGCTTCTGCTGCGTATATGGCATGGTGTAGCTGCGTATTTAAATGGAGCCTAGAGCTGAGTGTGCTTTCATTTTTAAGCCCTGCTGATGGTTTCATGAGGGATTGTTAGTTTGTACCCTTTAGAGGGTGGGCATAGACACCCTCTATGCTGAGGGTGAGATTTAGCATCATTTGTCATCTGACTTTTGTCCCTTCTCTGTGTGCCAACTTGACAAATTCTAACAATATGGCTCCCGTAACAGTATCTTTAAAGGTGCCTTCCATTACATTGTGGGTTCTGTCCACAACTCTCAGGTCATCACTCTTATTATCTTGAGCCTGGGTGGCGGGTAGATGAGAGCTTACACTTTGGCTAGTAAGGTTGTTTCCATTCTCATACGTGCTGGGTGTTCAGCTGATCATCGTTTTGTGTATTGTGGGCAGGAGGGGGACCCAAATCTCTTCTGCATCCTGCCTCTGCCTCCTAACTCACCTGGTCTGTGTCTCTTGTGGATTTCTTTTGCCTTCAAGCATTTATGATATTTAAAGAATTTAAATGTTACCATTATAACTATTAACATTAGCTTTCCAAACACAGCTAACCTATGTTAATTTATAAGGAAATGTTTGTTAACTCTAATCTGCCTGGCAGTCTTCTCCCATCTCCTCACTAGAGTAAAAACTCATTTTTAGCTTTATTTATTATGTCTTTATTCAACTTCATAGTTTCTTACCACTTTTATAATCTCCAATTATTTTGAATTTCCTATAATAGCATATGTATCAACATATATATAAACATTTAACTTCAGATTACTAACAAAGTATATTTCACTGTTAGAATATAAGTAGTTTATATTCCACTAAGATTTTAGTTAGTTTTATTTAAGAAATCCTGGCACTTACCCCTCAAACTTTTTAGTAACATACTGTACCTTACAAAAACACACATGTTGAGAGAACGTGGGAACGTTTGAACATATAAGACGTCTCCCAAGGTGGAGCACTTTGCGTGGTTTGATTTGCTGCCCACGTAAGATCACGCCTAGTAATGGTGGTGAAGAGGCTGTGCCACATAGAGCCTTCCACATGCCAGCTTCTAGCTCAAGCCCATCACGGATGCACTCTACCTTATTCATTACAACAGCCCTTTAAAGCAGGTAGGTAGGAACTCTCCTCATTTTAAAGAGAAGACAACAGGTTTAGACGAGTCCACTGACTTCACCAAGGACCCTCAGATAGCAGGCGTCAGAGCTGGGATCTCTTTAGGTCTTTCCAACACCACACTGCCCACCTCTTGCATTCACTCCTGTGCCTGCTTGCTTTCATGGGGATGTGGAATGATCATCTTTCAGTTTACTTAACAGATTAAATTATTAGATGCTTCCAATTTGCCAAGGAATATTGCAGTCATAGACTTTAAAGTAAAATAATACTTACAGAAAATACAAGTAAAACTATTCAGCTGTATTCTTATTTTTGTTCTATAGTATATTCCCTATGTAAATGAATGCAGAATAGTTTATGCATTTTTATTAGGCTTTTGAAAGGATCTCAAACTTATAATCTACTCTTTCTTCCCCTGTAGTTGTGTTTCATATTTACCCTGTGTGCTGCTCTTTGGGTAAGTTATGTCAGCCCTACTGGCTTTCAGTTAACTGTGTGCCCCCCACCCCAGCTGACGTGTCATCACACCATTATCTTAAAATAGCTCATCTGTTTTTTTAAAACTCTCTAAAGATTAGGTGTTCCTAAAATTTGACATGTTACCATCCAGCTAGTTGCTAAAAATGCCATAGATTCTACTGTCTACAGCATAGAGGTAGTCAGTGAACACACATGTGCACACATGCTCACCCACCCAGCTGGTGGCTAAATGTGCCATAGATTCTACTGTCTGCAGCATAGAGGTAGTCAGTAAACACACATGTGCACACATGCTCACCTACCCAGCTGGTGGCTAAATGTGCCATAGATTCTGCTGTCTACAGCGTAGAGGTCATTAATAAACACACATGTGTGCCCGAGCTCACCTGCTTGTGGGCCTGGTTGGCAAATCTGACAGTGCCCGGTGTGGTGAAGGGCCCTGGCTCAGGGGCTGTGCTCTCCACCATGCTGCTGCAGGGGTGCGCTGTGAGTCTGCAGTGGTGAGGCAAGTGTGCTGCCGAGTAGCAAGGTGTAAAACCAATAGAGAGGGCCAGAAAACACAGATAGTAACAACAAAGAGAGGAACTGAAATCATTCTCCTACCCTGTGGAGAAGGTTAACAGCTGTTCATTAGCCTTTAAAGAAGTCACATTGTTACAATTCCGTTTACTTCTTGATCTCCTGATTCTACATCATATTTTTCTATTGTACTCAACCTATTTCCCAAATGGGTTTGAAGCAGTTCTTGAACTATCAACAAGAAAAGTCCCATTTTAAAGAAGAAAGGGTAGATATTTTAGAATGCTATCAGAAATATTCCAGTTTTTTTTTTATTTTGATGATGTAAGGACAGGACTTTAGTTATATGAGATTGATTTACGTGTCATTTCTTAATGATAAAAGAATATTCTTAACTTGCACCTCTCTATAGAACCTTGATTTTTGGTTTTGGAATTGCCTGTTTACTTATAAACAGTAGATTGAAGATAAATAAGTAAAAAAGCACTGATGGACAAGGAATTCTGAAAATATTTTAAAACAACCATGGAAACTGTTTATATTATTCCAGAAGATCACAATAAAATACAATTTTCCTTCAAAATATCACTCAAGGAGCAAATGGGAATGAGTAAAATAAGTAAATTTCACATGGGGCATACAGATCTCAGTGGGATTTTACATGTCGATTCTAGATAAGTTAACATTGACTTTAAAGACCTAACCACCTTTAAAAGTCTAATGTTTTCAGTCTATGCACAATTGTTTCAGTAACGTTTATTTAAAGTCATATATTTTGCAGTATTTAAATTAATGGATATAGTTTTAGAAAGGAAATGTATTTTTTGGGTTTTAAAGTTTCAGATCAACTGTATCTTAAATTTATCACACTAAAATTTAATAAAGATAAATGAAGCCATCATCTACATTTTTGAAAGACAAGAATTAAGTTTGATTGAGAAAGATGTTTTTAAAACTTTGAAACTCATAATTGCTCTGTTTTTGCTGTTGTTAGTGGCATAAGAAGGGACTGGCTGTGTTATTCTGCATATTGCAGTTCTTGTCAATGACCTGGTAAGTCTTTCCTTACCCTAGTGAAGTGTTAAAATTGCCTGAGACGTGACGAGCATTTTGTTTGGGACCTGTGAAGCCCTAGCATTTCGTCTGGTGTTTTGGAGCCAGACAGGCCCTGCAGGGTCAGAGGAGGGGAGGTCTGCGATGAGTCCTGTTGCACTTGACAGCGTGGCTCAGTGGTACTGTTCGGGAGAAGTATGGGGTGCTGTGCTCGTAGAGTTACATAGTGATATGTTCTGCTTTTTTCTAATGTGAGAAAGAGAAATAATAAGAAAAGTAGGTGATGCCATGTGAGTACATAAAAGTGAGACCAAATCACAGGGTGAGTCCAAGGGAAGATGAGTTTACCTGCATTCTCCACTCTATTGCTGGATAAATACAACGTGGAATTTATCCTGATGTTGACTCTGTGGCCCTGTGATATCTGGAGATGTCTTCTGAATTGGCAGTGATTAAATACTTCTTAAGTTACTGGTTGAGCATCCCAAATCCAAAATGCTTCAGGATCCAAAACTTTTTTTTTTTTTTTTTGAGGCAGAGTCTCACTCTGTCACCCAGGCTGGAGTGCAGTGGCATTATCTTGGCTCACTGCAACCTCTGCCTCCCGGGTTCAAGTGATTCTCGTGCCTCAGCCTTCCAAGTAGCTGGGATTACAAATGTGAGGCACCATGCCCAGCCCCAAATCCAAAACTTCTTGAACGCTGACATGATGCTCAGATTTGGTTGATACTCAACCAGTAAATGTAATGCAGATATTCCAAAAATCCAGAAAAATCCAGTATCCAACACATTTCTAGTTCCTATCATTTCAGATCAGAGGTGCTTCACCTGCACTGCCTTTCCCAGTCCACTTTTGTGAAGATTCAGTCATGTCCTGGTTTCTGCTCAGACTGTCCTCCTTGTAGCCTTTTTGTGTCTCGCACAGTAAGAGTTCATCTGCATAAAGGCCATAAATATCTGGGTGGTTGATTAAACGTGCCCTGCAGCTCCTGCGCTCTTCTGTGTTAGTGAAGAGTACTTTTCCTTTTCCTTTAGAGCAGCTCTTGCTTCCTAATTTTTGCTTCCTGGTTTTGCCATTTTACATTCCTCTTACTCGACATTACCCAGTTTGGGATCACCTTTCTTTCGGCCTTCTTTCTACTGACAGATGAAACATCAGTGAATGTTAAATGTAATTCTCTGTATATCTCAAATTCACCATAAAATGTTCTTTACTTTTTTTCACTGATATGTGAAGAAACTTAATCTCTTGGTTATTTTCTCTAGTATTTTGCCTTTTATTGCCTAATTTGTAACTAATAATTGATTTATCCCTAAAGGAGACTATAATTATCAGTTGTGGTACAGTTTCTATTTTATTATAAGAAGCTCAAACTTTAGCATGCACCAGAATCACCTAGAGAGTTTGTTTAAAGTGCAGGTTGCTTGTTAAAGCAAGCTTGTGATTTAGGAGGTTTAAGGTAGGACCTAATAATTTACATTTTTAACAAGTTCCCAGATGATGCTCTCACTGCTGGTCGGGGTCACACTTTGAGAACCACTGTACAGTCTCATGCTGCTGTATTTATTATAAGGTTAGACATGGCCTTTTGGCATAAAGGAAAACCATCATTCAGATGAAGATTCAACATGCTTGAATATTTCTTGCAGGTATAGCCTGTCGTACATCCCATATGCAAGGTAAGCTTGTTTGAATCTTGTCTTCTTTCTGGTTCTTTACTTATCTTCACACAAATATATGAATTTAAGTAATTTTTACATAAAAATACTATTTAAACCCTTTTTTTTTGGTTGATTTTAATTTCCTAAAAGGAAATAAACATACTTTTTTTTTTTTTTTTTTTTTTGAGACAGAGTCTCACTGTGTCGCCAGGCTGGAGTGCAGTGGCACCATCTCGGCTCACTGTAATCTCTGCCTCCTGGGTTCAAGATTCCCCTGCCTCAGCCTCCTAAGTAGCTGGGACTACAGGCGCGTACTGCCATGCCCGGCTAATTTTTTTGTGTATTTTAGTAGAGACGGGATTTCACCATGTTGGCCAGGATGGTCTCAATCTCCTGACTTTGTGATCCTACCGCCTCAGCCTCCCAAAGTGCTGGGATTACAACCGTGAGCCACCGCGCCCGGCAGTAAACATGTTTTCAATGAGATGAATAGCAGCTTGCCATGATAATGTCTGTATGGAAACATTTTGGCGACATGGAGCAGCTCTGTGGGGAGTATCCTCCCGCCCTGCTGCCTGGCGTGCACTAGGGAATGTGGATGAGATTCTGGACCCTTCCATGGCTTTAGGAGTTCAGAAAATAGGACACAGAGACTCCAGGAAAACAAATTCTACTTAAGAAAAGGAAGTTACGGCTGGGTGCGGTGGCTCACACCTGTAATCCTAGCACTTTGGGAGGCCAAGGTGGGCAGATCACTTGAGGTCAGGAGTTCAAGACCAGCCTGGCCAACATGGCAAAACCTCGTTTCTACTAAAAAATACAAAATTAGCTGGGTGTGGTGTGGGCGCCTGTAATCCCAGCTACTTGGGAGGCTGAGGTGGGAGAATCACTTGAACCCAGGAGGCAGAGGTTGCAGTGAGCCAAGATCGTGCCACTGCACTCCAGCCTTGGTGACAGAGCCAGACTCCATCTCAATAAAAAAGGAAGTTACTGGGAAAATGAGGGCTTACACATAAATGCTTATTTTTGGTCAGCAAAAACATTTTAATTGTATGTCAAGAGGTAACCGGCATTTTAAAATATTTTTCCAGAGAAATGTATTTAGCCGTGGAGGAGAAAACAAAACTAGTTCCAATTTTAAATCTGATAGATTTAGAAAAAGATTCTGGTGAGGCACAGCTTTGCCTGTTTGTGAAATTCAAAGATATGTTATATATTTAAAAACAGCAAAATTGTCTTTAATACGAACAGTGAAGGAAATTGGTAGAAATTTTATTTTTATTCCATTTCAAATGTATGATTCTTTCTGATAGATACTTACAAGGAGAAAAAGCAAAACAAAGTTAGCTACAGGTGAGAAAGCTGCTTAACAGGAGTGTGCAAGGGTAATTTACCATGCATAGGAACTTTAGAGCAAGGAGACCTCCAATACTTCTTGGTGCGGAGGAAAGGACCTCTAGACGTGATGTCCCATACAAGAGGCTCTGAAGAGATGGCAGGACTTCAAGAACATGACCAGCCTCTCCAGACACAGGATCCCACACTCGAGAGCAATAAGCAATGTACAGATTTTGCCTATAAGAATTTTATTAGTGGATATTTTTTATGGCCTAGGTAAAAGCTTTTTTAATGAATGAAGTATCAAGTAATAACAGTTTTGGAAGAAAATATGAAAGGTCACACTTCAATCTTCTTTTAATTCTGAGGATTCAGTTATAAACATTACAGTTTTGAAACTCAGTTCATTAGTTCTTTTTTTTTTTTGAGATGGAGTCTCATTTTGTCACCCAGGCTGGAGTACAATGGCGTGATCTCTGCTCACTGCAACCTCCACCTCCCAAGTTCAAGAGTTTCTCCTGGCTCAGCCTCCTGAGTAGCTGGGATTACAGGCACGTGCTGCCGCTGCCACGCCCAGCTAATTTTTGTGTTTTTTAGTAGAGATGGGGTTTCACCATGTTGGCCAGGCTGGTCTTGAACTCCTGACCTCAAGTGATCCACCTGCCTTACAGGCGTGAGCCACCTTGCCTGGCCTAGTTCTTTTTAAAAATTAAATCTTTGGGCTGGGCTTGGTGGCTCATCCCTGTAATCCCAGCATTTTGGGAGGCTGAGACGGGTGGATGGCTTGAGCGCAGGAGTTTGAGACCAGCTTGGGCATCATAGCAAGACCCTATCTCTATTAAAAAAAAAAAAAAAAAAATTAGTGTAGTGGTGTGCCCTATAGTCCCAGCTCCTTGGGAGGCTGAGGTGGGAGGATCTGCTCACGCCACTGCACTTATCCTGGAAGACAGAGTGAGAACCTGTCTCAAAAGGAAAAAAAAAGAAAAAAGTTAGATCTTTTGTTAGGTTATTTTTGGTATTTAAACTTATTTCTTTGATTGAGATCAGTGTATATGCCAGTAAAAATTTCTTAAGATAAATACCATGTCAAAAATCAGCAAAATGTTTTCAAATCTTAGCTCTTAATCTTAAATGATACTGAACAAAGTTTTTATTAATCAAAAAGTGTGTTGGAGCATCCATTGAGTTCTGTTAAAAAAGGTGATTTAGCAGGAACATTTTGCGCAACTTTGCTTTTGAGGAATATTATATTCTGTTTTTTTCCCTCTCTTTTCCACCAGGGATGCAGTTATTAAATGCTGTTCTTCTCTCCTAAGTTGAAAATCAGAAACTTGTGGAAAAGAGCACTTGAATGTTGGTACTCTATGTTTGGTGAAGTTTGCTTTTCCCCATAAAACACTCCAGGAACAACTGACGTGACAGTTGAAGACCGTTTTGTACTAAGTCTCATTTTGTATACTGGTAAAAACTACATGCTTGATTAAACCATTAAATGCTTGTAACTTTAAATTCATTATGTGTCATTAATATACTTTTCCAAAGATAAGATTTTTAATCACTGCCAGTTGTAAATTATTTTTAGCCAATTTTTAAATCTTTTCAAAGCAGCTTTGAAATGTGAATATTTAAAGGTAGACCTGTGCTGCAAGATAATTAAACTTTTTTGCTTTTAAAAAATGTCTGCATTTTTAAGATTTTTTTTACTTTAAATGTGAAACTTATTTTAAGCTAAAAATTGCTTATTATATGTAATAAAAATAATATATAAATCTTTACAATTTTGAAATAAACCCATCCTTGGAAAAATAACATTTTCTGAATCAAATTTATAATATTTTAAGTGACTCAATTCAATAATATTTAGTTTAGGCACTATACAGTCTCTCTGTAGAAAAATGAGGAAGATACAGTCTCTCCCCTAAATAATACTGTTAAATACAAATTGTGAGAGATAATGGGACTGACAGCAGAGCCCATTCCAGGAAGTGCAGGGGGAGGAGGTGAGGCGGCATTGACTGTGAGGGTGTCAGGAGAAGTCAGGCCACTGGACAGTAGTGGCAGCAGGAAGCTACCTTCACCCCAGGCTGGAGGAGAAGCAGAGAGGGCGGAGAACTAGCCAGCGCCCTCCTCCTCCCTGCAAGTCTCCCACTGGCTGTCCTGGTCTCCTCAGTTGCCAGGGAGAGGCAGATAGGCGGGTGCCAGCATGATGTGGTGCCAGCAGGAGGGAAGGCGGCTCTATGTCTGTCCAGGGTAGGGAGAGTTAATAAAGAGCATACAACAGGGTAATGGGAGCAGCATTTTATGCACAGTCAGCTTAGAGGAGAGCTGAGGGGGATGTCCTTGAGGGGCAGCAGGCAGATGGGCAGAAGGGATCTTGTGTAGCACTGGGTGGTGGTGGCCGGACCTTGTTCAGGTCATCAGGTGTGGCTGAAATCCAGGAGTGGGCTGGGGTGGGGAGGGAGACTAAGCTGGCAGGGAGCCAGGGTCAGGCCTTAGGACCCTGGAAGTCAGGCACGCGCTTGGAAAAGAAGGTGCAGGAAAAGAGTGAGTTCTGGTGAGTGGGCGGACACTGTGCTTGGTGCTCAAGGAAGATGCAACAGACGTCCTTGTCTTCAAAGACTTTACGATTATGGGGGAGACAGACATGTTCCCAGTTGTTAGGTGTGGGGACTGGGGCTTCAGAGACATCCACAGGACTCTGCGGGCGTGTGGAGGACAGCTCACCCAGCCGCAGGGGGCGTATAGAGGACAGCCCACCCAGCTGCAGGGAGGGTGACAAGGAGCAGAGGGGCAGAGGAAGAGGGTGGCATGGAGGGGCAGAGCGTGGCATGTGTGGAATGCCACAGAAGAAGCAGGGCTCCAGAAAACGTGACGGAGCTGGAGTTTGAGTCTGAGAGTAGCGGCAGCCTGAAGAAGAATCTTATTTTAGACAGCAGGCGACAATGGGAGTAAAGAAAACATGTCAGTTTGCAGAAGACTAGGAAGAAACTCATGTGCTGAGTTCTGTCTGGGGCCTGGTTCGTCTGAGGGCCGGCCCTCAGCCCTGCGGTGTAGCCGAGTCTCCATGCCATACAGAGGTGCAGCTGCCGTGGTGACTCAGCCTGCGTGGCAGGGGCAGGTGTGGCCAGCTTGTGGGCTGCGGAGGCCGTGCCCCCCGTTGCGCTCTGCTGCCTCCCCAGAGTCATTTGTTCTGCATCCGTGTTTGTCGGCCACAGAAATGTTCCTCTAGGAAACATTCCCCCAGCATTGGGAATCTTCCTGAGAAATGTCCGTTCAGCTTCATTTCTGCCCAGGTGGACTTAAACACAGAAACGGCTCTGTGCTTCCCATTTGCCCTGTGCTGGCAGCAGGGTTTGACCTGATCAAAGTAAGGAGCCTTCTAGGAGTCTGTGTGAGACAAGTCAGGGCAGCCTGAGAGCCAGAGCAGGGACTGGTGGCACAGGCGGTGAGCTCGTGCCTGTCTCCAGAGGAATCTCAGTCTTCCAGGACTGAGGGATAAACTGGAGGCCACACTTAGAGTAACCATTATGGAGCAATGCGGGTTCAGAAACTACCTCTGAAGCCTGCTGCTATATTGATGCAGCGGTGCGGGGTGGGGTGTAGTCCCAGGACAGGATATGGAGTAGCTTTGGGTCCACCATGGGGTGTGAGGCGTGGCCTCGGGATAGAGAAGGGCGTCATTCAGTCTGCCCAGGTGGTGGAGAGAGACACCTGAGTTCAGACAAGGGTGTTGTCTTAGCTCAGAGCTCTCAGGCGTCCTGGATGGATAGGATGGATGCCCTCGGTCCCAGCCCAGATACCGGCAGCAGGGCAGGCATACCTTGGGTTCCAGAAGGCCTGGGTCAGTGCTGGAAACGACTAGAATTGGTGAGCACAGGCTCTGTGTTGGGGTGATCAGACCCAACACCAGGTCGTGGGGGTGACAAAGTCCGGTGGAGTAAAAGGATTGAGAAAAAGACAGTTTGAGAGAGAAAGGTGGGACACCAGGGGGCCATCGTGGAGGCTGTGAAGGCCCCGAGCTCTGGGAGCCCACAGTGTTTATTGGTAATCCAACAAAGAAACAGGTGGTGATAACGTGGAGGTCAAAAGGGCAGGCGCATGATCTACAACTGTGATGGTTTAGCATTTACATGGAACATGTTCTGCTACTTGAGATACTGGGAATAGGGACCTAGGAGCCTAGGAAGGCTAGAAGCAAGGAGCCAGCAAGTCTAGACACATTCCAGAGGACATTATGCAAGCCCTGCCTCGGTTTCCCCCCCAACACTCAGCTTTTTTCCCAACATGTCCCCTCTTTTTTATAAAAGAGAAGGTATCATTATTACTATCATTATTACTTAGCTATCATTAGCTAGGCGATTGCAGGCTGTGCAGCCCTTAATTGCCGGTAGGTGACCCAGCTTCTCTTTTCTTAGCCCTTATTCAAACTGGAGTCACTCTGGTTTGAATGCTTCCCACATATCTCCCCTTTCCCTTCTACAAGAGGACCCTTAATCCTAGGGGCTGCAGAAGGATGAAGGTCCATTTTCTGTAACTTCTTCATGCTGAATAGGGGCGATGATATTCCTGCCTAACTATTAGGGTCTCTCATATTCAGGGTAGAGAGGAGCTGAGTCAGAAAGCATTGGTCTGTTAGGCATCGTGACTCCGGTCGGTCCTCATTCCTTCTTCGCATTCAGATTCAACTGGCTCATGGCTCATACTGGGGGAACCCGGTCCAAGGTTGGGATCCATGGGTCCCTCCAGTCTCCCATTCCATGGTCGTGCACATCTTGAGGGCATCCACACGGTTCGTTCATCTCCTGCAAAAACACAAGCATACCCTCACCCCCATGTTAGTAAATCTACTGAAACAGAAGCAAAAACTTTTGTGGCTGTAGCCGGGCCACTGATAGTGAGAAACAGGCCTTTTCTGATTAACAGAAGGCATAGAGAAAGCAAATCGAGGCTTTTCAAACCTTCAATTCGCACTGTACTCTGCAGGTGGGTCCACTAGATGCCATGGCTCGTGATAGATCTTCAGATGGTTGGTGGGCACCCACACAGACACCTGATTGTCACCTGGGGAGACACAAGCAAATCCTCTTCCCCATAAAATTATCTTTAGGCAGGGATCGGAGGATGTAGATTCAGAGGTGAAGAGAATTTGGGGGGCCTAATGGCTTCCTGATGTTTGATAGGTGTTCCCTCGGAAGTTAGGAATTCCCTTTCTCCCCATATTGCTGCGTGGGCTTGGAGGACTAGGTAAGCATGCTTAGAGTCTGTATATTTAACCTTTTTCCTTCTAATTCTAGTGTATAATGGCCCCTGCTTTTGCTAGGATGTCTCTCCCTAACAAAGGAGTGGGGCTTTTGGGCATAATTAGAAAGGCATGTGAAAAGCGTAAAGTTCCCCAGTCACAACTTAGTGGCTGGGAGAAGTATCAAGTGACTGCCTGTCCTAGGACCCCTCGGATAGCGACAGATCTGGAGGACAGTTGTCTGGGACAGGAGAGTAAGACAGAAGGCCGCACGAGTGTCCAGGAAACAGTTAACCTCCTGGCCCTCAATGGTCAAGCATACCCGGGGCTCTGTGAGGGTAATGGCATGGGCTGGTGCTTGCCCCAGTACCCTCAGTCCTGCTGCTGGATCATCTGGTGAATGGCTTCTGACTCAGAGGACCTTCGTCCCCCAGGGCAGTGGGCCTTCCAGTGATTCCCTTGACATAAGGGGCATGGATGAGGGGGCGGCTTGTTTCTATTGGGACAATCTTTTTTAACGTGTCCTTGTAGACCGCACCGGAAGAAAGCCCTATTAGGCATTCGATTTGTTCAGGTTTTCCTTTTCCAGAGCCTCCAAAGTCCGCTTGCCTGAGGGCCATGACTGAAACGGTGGCCTTTTTTTTTTTTAATCTCGTTTGTCCCATTCCGACTGCTCCTCCTGATCTCTATTATAAAAAACCGAGGTTGCCAAGTTCAATAGGGTGTCTTAAGTTTTGCTCCAGGCCTAAGGTGGACTTTTGAAGTTTGTTTTCTAATGTCTGCAGCTGACCGAGTGATAAACTTAATCTTTAAGATTAGTTGGCCTTCAATAGAGTCAGGTGACAGGGAGGTATGCTTCCTCAGTGCCTCCCTTAGTCTCTCCAGAAAGGCAGTAGGATTTTCTTCCTTTCCCTGTGTTACAGTGGACATCACTGAAAAATTCACAGGCTTCTTCCTGGTTTTCCTTAGTCCTTCCAGCACGCAAGTTAGTAAATGTCTGCAGCACCAATCTCCATGTTCTGATTCTGTGTCTCAATGAGGGTCTGCACTGGGAACTGCCTGCTGGCCTGTAGGGAATCGTTCTCTTTCCTCTGTTGTCATCCTATCATTGACCTGACTGAGATACCAGAGATCGCCAAGCTCTCGGGCTGCAGTTATGGTGGCACTTCTCTCATTTGGGGTTAGTGTCTGATTTAGCAGTAACATTGCATCTCTCCATGTCAGATCAAAGGATTGTCCTAATTCTTGTAAAACATCAATATAGTCATCAGGGTTATCTGAGAATGTACCTAGGTCTATTTTAATTTGTTTCAAGTCTGAGAGGGAAAAAGGTACATACACTCTGACTGGGCTGAATTCTCCAGAATACATCTTGGGGACATTTTTGCCTTGAGGGGAATGTTTCTCATCTGAAAAAAAAAAAAAAAAAATATATATATATATATATGGATGCCAGCACCCCTAGTCATTTTCCGATGAGCATTAGTCCTAGAGTGTCCGCTGTGGTCTTAATGCTTATTCCTTTCCAGGGTGCGTAACCACTCATGGACCTCTGCTTATCGGATTAGTTATGCTTACTGATGTAGCAGTCTTGCACCCCTTTTCCCACCTTTCTTGACCACCAAGAAAGCAGTCCGGGCTGCTGGATTCTAGTGGTCCTTTACCAGCATGCCCAACGTCGCTTTTGCGCTCAGGGGTGAGTCCCAGAGTTGGGCTGGGTTCCTGAGTATTTCATGACAACCCAGCTGCCCCATCAAGATGCAGTCCCATAAACAACAGTTCTTGCACAAATTCGTTTCAGAGAGGGTGTAGGTAACCTTTTGAGTCAGGATTGAGATAGAGTTTTTTGATTCTGTGAGTACTTTAAGGCTTGACTGAGTGCAAACAGCTCGCACGTTTGAGCAGACCAATTGTTAGGCAATTTTCCTAACTCTGCTTCTACAAGAGTTTCCCTATCAATTACTGAATACCAATTGTGGGCTTTTTTTTTCTCCCCTCAATCACCGGGGAGGAACCATCTATGGTCCTGTCCTGAAGGGATTTCCTCCTGGGTCTGGTTAGACCTTTGTATGGTAATTAAGATTTAAATTCCTCATTAGGAAACCTTCTGGGTTAAGGGAATTTTTAGTGGTTAACGTTAAATCACCTTTGTCTAACAGAATAGCCCTATACTTTTAGATTTTTGAGTTAGTAAGCTACCTTTTTTTTTTTTCTTTTACTTAGGATAGCTCTGAACTGGTGAGGTGTGCTCACAATGAGGTTTCCTCTAAAGGTTATTTTTCTACTTTCTTCTGCTAGCAAAGCTGCTGCTGCTACCGATGGAATGCATTTGGGCCATCCGCGGGTTACTGGGTTAAGGATTTTTGATAGAAAGGCTACTGGTTGTCAGCGGTCTCAATGCAGCACTTCTCACAACGTGTTCCCAGGACGCCTGGGGTCTCGGAGGCCTGTTAGGGTCTGTTTTCATAGTGATACTGAGCCAGCATCACTCTTTTCCTCTCTCCTGCGATCCCCAGCACACAGTGGCGTTACTGTGGTCCCGTGGTGCGTGATGGCACAGGACAGAACACAGTGCATGCGAGATCCTATGGCTTCTACTGAGCCCACCACTCATCTCTCATTTGTTTATTTTAGAAAATAGTTTTTAAAAATATATTAAAAATATGTTAACATAATGGGTTTATTGCTAACATGTAATGTATTTAAAGCTATTTAAATTTCTAATAAGGTTAACATAATAGGTAAAATCCACAAAACAGAAGCTCTTTGGGGTTCTCAGCCATCTGGTCTTGAGACCAAAGAAATTGGGACCCCCCCCCCCCGGCATGGAGGGAAGCGTGTGCTCTGGCGCCCCCTGCCTAGACAGGCTGCCCCTGGCCGCGTGCTAGTTGTGTGACTGCTTGGGTAAGCCTTGGTTTGTCATCTGTAAAATGCAAGTATTGCTAGTACTGCTCTCACAGGGCTTTCATGAGCTTTCAACGATGTAACTAATCCAGATAAAGTGGATTATTTAGTGCAGAATAGACATTGCCTGTTATCATCTTAATAATGGGGAAAAAGAAGTACTTTAAAATTGTTAGCATCCAACACATTTCCTAAGTGTTTTTTTAATTCCCAAAGCCTTTCACAGTAACAGACCAGCGTTAGAAGAAATGTAGACATTTTTAAGTTATTGGCAAGTTTTCCAAGTAATAAAATTGGTTTTAAACTGGAATAAGCTTCTGTGTTAAAATTCAGGTTTGGTTTTAGTTCTAGATGTTTGATTGCTTACTGTTACATCATGTAAAATGATTTGAATGAAAGTATAGAAAGAAGTAGACCATAGGGGATAATGAGAAACAATGTATTGAAATAGTTCCCATTTTGAAGTTTTTCTGAATGTACATTTAAATATTATATAACTTAGTAAAAAAGAAGAAATTAAGTTAATGAGAAAAATGAAATGTTTTTCAAATAATGGCTAATTTCCTGGTGTTGTGATGTGATTACTGGCTCTAATTTTATTCACTGGTTACGAGGCAGGAGTGAGCAGTTGAGCAGCCAGCGCGCATCGTGTGGGAGCCCGGAATCCTTGGGATCATTTCTGTAGGGTCTGGGCAGTTGGGATGATCAGATCTGAGGCCCTTTACACAGCAGGGTCACCGAGCTGCAGCCTTGATAATTCTTCAGTCCACACAGTTCAAATCGGTGGAACAGCTGCCCTCTGTAATTGTAGTTGGGCCTGAATGTAAACTTCCTGGTGTTTTATTTTAGTGATTGAAATATTCTCTGTGCACATATTATTCACTGGAAATGTCTTAAAGGGTTGTTGTAATGGAAATTCTTTACTCTGATACACACTTTACTCTGACAGAATAGTGGGGCGGGTGGATAATCACCATTCCCACATGTGGACAATATTGTGTTATTGTTATATTTGAAATCTGAAAATCAAATTTAATTTAAAACATAAATGACGTAAAACATAAGTCAAAAATATGGACAGTTCCAAATACATAGGACCCCTAAGCAATGTGGGGGTTAGGGGTACCAGCCTCCCATAGGGTCAGAAATCCTTGTGTAACTTTTGACTCTGCAAAACATAACTACTAATAGCCTACTGTTGACCAGAAGTCTTATCGATAACTTAGTTGATTAACATATTTTGTATGTTAGCCGGGCGCAGTGGCTCACGCCTGCAATCCCAGCACTTTGGGAGGCTGAGGTGGGTGGATCACAAGGTCAGGAAATCGAGACCATCCTGGCTAACACGGTGAAACCCCGTCTCTACTAAAAGTACAAAAAATTAGCTGGGCGTGGTGGTGGGCGCCTATAGTCCCAGCTACTCAGGAGGCTGAGGCAGGAGAATGGTGTGAACCCGGGAGGCGGAGCTTGCAGTGAGCCGAGATCGCACCACTGCCCTCCAGCCTGGGCAACAGAGACCCTGTCTCAAAAAACAAAAACAAAAGCAAAAAAAAAAACACCATATTTTTTATGTTATATGTATTATATATATTATACAGTATTCTTAAAGTGAGCTGAAGAAAATGTTAAGACAATCATGAAGAAGAGAAAATACATTTACTATTCTTAAGTATTGAAGTGGATCATCATGAAGGTCTTCATCCTCATCACCATTACCTTGAGTAGGCTGAGGAGGAAGCGGAGGGGTTGGTCTTGCTGTCTCAGGAGTGGCAGAGGCAGAGGAAAATCCTCCTGTAAGTGGACCCTCGCAGTTCAAACCCATGGTGTTCAAGGGTAAACTGTATTTGGTTTTGGTTAGTTGACCTTTTAAATCAACTTATTTGAGACAGTAAATTTAGATAAGATGTAATCATGCAAGATAAGATGTAATCATGCATTTTAGAGATCAGCTCTTGTTCAGGTGAACCCCAAAATCTAGTTCTGAGACAGATTAGCTGATCTCAGTATTCTAGTACCCAAGCTTTACTATTTAATATTACATATGAATAGTTATAATTATTGTGTTCTGGGCAAGCTATGAGAAATCCCTTGTAAATTATAAGCTAAATTTTACATTATTTTTATTTATTTATTTTTTTGAGATGGAGTATTTCTCTGTCGCCAAGGCTGGAGTACAATGGCACGATCTCAGCTTACTGTAACCTCCACCTCCCGGATTCAAGTGATTCTCCTGCCTCAGCCTCCTGAGTAACTGAGATTACAAGCGCGTGCCACCACTCCCAGCTAATTTTTGTGTCTTTAGTAGAGACAGGGTTTCACCATGTTGGTCAGGCTTGTTCTCGAACTCATGACCTCAGGTGATCCACCCGCCTTGGCCTCCCAAAGTGCTGGGATTACAGGCGTGAACTACTGTACCCAGCTACTATATTTCTTTAACCGCTTTTCAGTTACACCTGCTGTCCTGAAGTTAAACGCAGCCATCTCTCTGGCGTGGCTTTCCTTGCTGGGAACTGCTGCTGGCTGCTTGCATCAGCCGAAGGGTATTTGTAACGGATTCTTTAACAGCCACAGCACCAGTGAGGGCCAGCGACAGAGGCTGCTTTCACGCATTCTGTTTCAGGCCCAAGCCAATCTTTCTAACTTCTAATTTACAAGGAGCTGAAGGTTTCAAGTAGCAGAAGTAGCTGGGCAGGGGACAAGCGATGCTGTCATTTGGGTGCTTTTATCAGAGTCTGAAGAGGGGATAGTCCGTCGGCAATGCTAACTCCTCCGTACTCCTGGGGCAGCAACCCGCCATGAGAACCCAGAGCTCAGAACCCCTCGTAGGAGCATGCTTTGCTCTGAGGGTTCTGGGGAGACAGGGAAGAGGCACTGCCCCTCCTACCTGGCCTGGTGATGAGGTGGCGGACACTCAGAATGTACTTTTCTGCCTCTCAAGGGTCACACAAACTTACAGCTTTCCATGTCTCCAAGCTTCTGGGCTGGTATGAGACGTCTGGGAGGGCTTGGAGAATCCCAGTTCTTGTCTGGTCAGACACGTGCATTAATCTGATAAACTATCACTTTTCTTGGCTTAAAAAGGCCCAAATCGCTACTAGTTTGTGGGTGAGAGGTCACTTAATCCAATCACCCTGATCTACCAAGACTTTTTCCCTCTCAGCTTTAGTGTAAAAGTTGCAATCTGGCCTTGGACTCGCACTCCTGGGGTGGAGTCTTATCTCCTCCGTCCCGTTAGAGCTGTGTGATGGCAGTTGCGTAGCTACCTCGCCTCTGTACGACCAGTGTCCCAGCAGAATGGAGACAGCAGTGGAAGTCGGGAGCATTACTATGAGGCCACCAACCCATTCTCACCCCAAAACTGTCATTCCTTCTGAAGCATCCTAAGAGTAAGGAGACAGGAAGGAGAGAAGACCCCACCAGCACCGTCACAGCTTTTGAACTGCGGGGCTCCAAACTCAGATGTCTGAGTGTCCAAGTGTTTGCTGATTTTTCTCCATAGCCTGCCTCTCCAGCTGTGCCCCCATAAATGATATTTGATACCGCCCCCCGCCCCACCCCCATCCTCTCCTGCCTCACCTTCTCTTCCAGTTCTCCACTTTCCAGGCACAGAACTGTGGGCCTCCTGCCGCCACTGACGTGCCTCTTCCCACACCCATCCAGAGATTCTAAAACCTGGAATAAAACATATTGAGGAGGAGGTTTCAGTATCTTAGGACCTCACCTGTCAAGCCGATTAACAGCCTGAGCCCACCGGCAGAGACAGGCTGGCAGGGATGGAGGGAAAGTGCCTGTGAGCTGGGAGGCTTGTTTCAGAGCTGTATTGGGGTGGCTTGGGAGGTGCTGGTAGAGATGACAGGGCCCAAACCTGTCACCCCAACCCAAGCTCTGGTGAGAAGTGTTTCCCACCACCTGCCAGGTTTCCTTGACGCTCCCATGTATCCACAGCGCAGTTCTCTGAGGCCACCAACAGTCAACAAGGGGAGGCGTTGCTGCTGCCTCGGAGACTGAGGCGGCTGGGGGAGGGCCATGCTGTCCTGCTGTGACTGTTGGCACAGGGCACATTTGTGTTTACCCACAGTTGAATGTGCTCTGGAGCTAACCTGGGGCCGTAACCATCACACACCTGGTTTCCATCAGAAAAGTGTATCTGATGGAAAGTACTTTGTGGAGATCTAAGCAGCTGATGATTATCCTTAAGTAATGCAGGGACTGCACACATGAAATGTTGACTTTTTGATCCGTCACTTTGCAATTGTTCAATTATTTATTAAACAAACATTTGAATATTGTAGGATGTCTTCATGTGTCTACGACTAGAATGTAAATTGACAGTGAAGATTTATCTCATTAATTCTGAATCTCTGCTACAGTGATAAATATATTGCTTTGCTCATAAGAATTATTAAAGGGACTTGATGTCTAATATTTGCCATGTAATCAGCATTATATAGCTGAAACTGAACTATTTTGCCTGTTCATAGATACTTAGGTTTTGAATTTGAAAGTGACTCCTCAAGGGGTGGCATGAACACTATGTAAGATTCACTGAGGGTCATTTCTCCCCTCTCAGCTCCAGCCCGCTTTTCTCTGTGAAGCAGGATGTGTCCGGGGCCGCAGAGCTGCATCTACTGGCGGTGCCTTTCCCGCCGTCTCGAAGGCACGGAGAGGCTACAGGGGATTTTCTCTGAAACGTGCAGGGCCTCCACCTGTGACTCCGGAAGGCTGCCGGCTCCCCCAGGGGAATGCTCCTGGCTTTCGACGGACTACATTAACCTCGGACCACCGGAGCGCCAGCTGGGGGAGCCCCGGGATGCCTGGCGCGCGCTCCGCCCTCCGCTGTCCTGGCACTTTGCTCCCATTCAACAGTCGGTCGTGACACCAGCCGGGCACAGCCCGGGGCCTGGCAGGGCCGCGTCCTTAGCGAGCGCGCTGGGCTCCTCCTCCTGCCGGCCCGGCCCGCGTCTCAGCTGTGGGGACCCGGGGGCGCCGCGACTCGCCCACAGTCGGACGGCGGGAGGCGGTTCCTGCAGGGTCCAGTCCCGGGAGCACCCCCAGGAGGAGGGGAGGGTGGGAGCGCCTCTCTTTGAGTCCCCGGGTTTGGTCGCTGGGATGTGAGGAAGCCGGAGAGGCCGCGGCTGGACGCAGGTGGGTGTGGAGGGGCCGCCCGGACTGCGGGGACCCGCTCCGCGCACAGTGGCTGAGCGCCCGCCTCTCTTTCCAGGGGCTGAGGATCCGGCGGCTCGGCTGCACTATGCCCTTCCCGCCCATGCCGCCGCCGCCCGCCCCCGCCCCGGGGGCCCAAGCCGCGCGCCAGTTACCCCGGAGGCCCTGCGCCGCGGGGGACAAGAAGAAGAGGCCCCCACAGCGGCCCGAGGGGCTCCTCTCCAGCTCCTGGCCCTCCGCCACGCTCAAGAGGCCGCCGGCCCGGCGCGGCCCCGGCCTGGACAGGACGCAGCCGCCGGCCCCTCCGGGCGTCTCCCCCCAGGCCTTGCCCAGCCGCGCGCGGGCCCCAGCCACGTGCGCCCCGCCCCGGCCGGCAGGCTCCGGCCACAGCCCAGCGAGGACCACCTATGCGGCGACCTCGGCGGGGACGGGGACCACCGCCGCGGGCACCTCCTCGGGGGCGGGGCCTTGTCCAGACTCCGCTGCGCGCTTCTGCCTGAATCTCACCCCCGAGGCCGTCCTGGTCATCCAGAAGCGTCATCTGGAGAAGCAGCTGCTGGCGCGGCCCCGCAGGCCCTTCCCCTCACCCTCGGCCGAACCCAGGCGCCTACTCGCCCCGTGTCTCCCGGCTAGGGCCGCGGGCCCGCGGAGGGGCGGCCCCGCCAGCGACCCCGACGCACCCCCCACCGCCGGCCAGGGCCGCCGCGCGCCTCCGCCCGGCGCCCAGCTGCTGCACGGCGGCCTGCAGGTTCCCCAGCTCAGCCCGCGGCCCGGGGCCCTGCGGCCGATGCTCAAGGTGTCGCTGCTCAACGAGCGGCACAGGTACGACGACGTGGAGTACGAGGAGGAGCCAGAGGCGGTGGACGAGGGCCTGGTACGCAAGTGCACGGAGTGGCTGCGCGGCGTGGAGTCCGCGGCTGCCGCGCGGGGCCGGGCGGGGGCCCTGGACTCACGGCGGCACCTGAGCACGCTGTGAGCCCAGCGGGCCTGCGGGGACAGGCCAGGCCTGATCCCACCTCACTTCCTGCACGCGCCACTCCGCCTAGGGGCCCTCGGGGGAGACCGCAGGCTCCTCTGGCCGCCAGCGCCCACTTTCGGGACACCAGTGCGCAAGCTGGCCCACGTGGGGCGCAGCCAGACTCGCCCGACGGCCACGGCCCCCCTCCTGCCCTCGCCAGCCGGCAGCCCGGGCCTTTCTCGTTCACACCGGTGGTATCTACCCCAGATGCCTGCCTCTGCCCCCACTCTGGCCTCCTCTTGGCATCGCCGAGCATCCATGCAGTTCGTGGGGAATTAAGCAACTGAGAAAATGCCTCTTGGTGCCCCGACCCCCAGGGTTCGTCTAGGTCCCAGAGACCCTCTGCCTGGAGGCGGGCCTTCCCCAGGGCTACATCTGCACGCCCCGTGGTGTCACCCTCAGCCGGCGCCGGGCACCCTGGACAGTGCGGTGGGCGATGGCCCAGGTGGGTGGCCGCGACGGTGGCCTCCTGCAGAGCTGGGACCCGGTCCTACATTCGTGATTTTGTTTTCTCCCAAGTCAGAAAAATGTTGAGGGTATTAGACATCCCTGAAACTCAGTTAACCGAATTTCCAGTCTCCAAAGCGGAAGGGTAGGCATCGCCAGGCGCTGGTGAGCCCTGGTCAATGAGCGCTTCCATGGAAACCGCTCGGCTGATTACATTTTTTCTGTGTATTATTTGAATAGAGAGTAAAGCTCCTCCGCTGTTTCGTAACCATATCCTTTCCCCCGCTAACTGGAGGCTGATTTCTACATATTTCTTCCATGTATCTGAGAATATCTAACTAGAAGGATGAGAAGGAAATAAAATGTTATAATCAGATAAGGCTGGTTATAAAAGAGTAATGTATTACCTCAATTTTTGACTGACTTTGTAAAAGCCAATAACTGGTTTAATGTTTATCTTGATAGACTTTAAATGTATCAAGTCTTAATTGTATTTTAAATTGAAGCCTTACATTTTTAAAACAGATTTTGTATTTTTCTTGTGGAGGTCTTTGCTCTAATAACACACACACACTGTCTCTCTCTCTCTCTCTCTCTAATTCTAGGCACACATTTAGTTAGATGTGAAGCATTTAATTCATTGGGAGCTAGGTCAGCTGCCAGATGAGTTGCAAAAACAGAAAAAAACCTACCCATTGAATAACTTCTTTGAATTTGGAGATAAGTTTTCTTTTACTTAAAATGAATATATTAATTCTAGAGGGGCAAAACTAGCAATGCTTATGCAAGTGACGGTGCTGCTCTTGTTCCACCCCCACCCAGATGGTCTCTGAGTGCGCCGTCCTGGGCAGGGCACACGGTCTGGAGCTGAGAGGGTGGAGCAAGAGTGCACTGACTCCGAGCCGAGGGCAGGAGTGGCTCAACTTGGTCTCGTCTTGCACTTAGTGCAAATACCAATAATTAAGATGCCTAGACTTCTGCCCTTGGTCACAGTAACAACAACATTTTGAAGACTTTTCCCTGGTGGCATCCTAGAGGGACCGACTTTCTGCAGCCTCTGTCTTCCAAGCTGAGCTTCTGCTGCAGTGTGGCTGTCACTGCACCTGTGTGTCTCCCTGACGTCCCTGTCAGCTGCTTCATTTTGATTTCCTTTCTTCTCCCGCCCTTTCTGTAGGCTCTGTCCCAGCATCTCCTGTTCTTAACTGGCCACAATACAACACTAAGCGCATTTTTAGTAATTTGTATTTATTAAATAGAGTTTGTGGGCCTTGTTCTCTACTTTAAAAGCAGATGAGTGGAACATTTATGTTTCCCTGGTCAATGAGCTTCAATAAAAAACAAACAGAAAAAAGGTTTTACACGTGACACATGATATCTTTTCATTGCTGTTAAGGACATTTTGAGAAAGTTTTCTAAGTCGCTATGCTCCAATTTCTTAATGCTTAAATAAAAGAGAAATTCAGTGACTTGTGATTCTTTTTGAGGGGGACACTGAAAACTGGTCAGGAAGAGACTACTGAGGGATTTACAATTCACATGACATGATTTCTTCATAGTGGCACTCAACCTAAGGTTCTGGGATTTCCAGGAGTTGAAAAAGGTTTGCTGGTTTTAATCACTACTAGAATTTTTAAAAATCACTACCAGGATTTTTAAGATAGTCAAATACTGTAAGGTTATTTGGCAATGACATTTGACCTTTTATGGGGCCACAAATCCCCGTGAAAGCTATATTCCAAAAGGACTCCTAAAACCGTGTACCACATAGCAACAAAACATTGCATATAATTTGCATATATTTTAAGAAGCTCATGGGTCCCAGGTTAAGGACTCCTCCTATATACACTCACTAGAATATTTTTTTTATTTTGCCTAAAGTAATTTCATACTGGTAGGTCATACCAATCAGAAATTAAAGGGTCAATTTGAATAATTGCTAGACTATTAGATTACTATTATATTATTATCAAATTCTCCCATAACTGTAATATCTCATAGCAGGGACTGAGGAGGACTTCCATCCCAGGAGAGAAAATTGGGTGCCACTATGTAAGTAAAAGTGTTGCCAGTTCCAAAGATTGAGCATATATGTGACTTAATTCCCTCTATTTAGAGAATAGCTGGCACTTTAAGATAGGTTTTTATGTTGATCTGCCTTATTTCTAGAAAAGTGGATGCCAAGTTGTCAGAACCATTAGTTGTGGGGTTTCCCTGGAAATCACGCGGTTCAGTTTAGGGTGGGTGATCTGTGGGATCTCTGCTTTTCAGCCAACCGTGGTATATCATTCAAAGAAAGTCTGAAAATAACAGTCTCTCTAGTAAGCAAGGACACTTTTGCATCAACAGAAATGCACACACAGGCCTTTGTGACCTCTGGGAAACCTGGATTGATGTGGTTCCCCAGCATGGCCTCTGTCCAGATGCTGCCTGGGTAAGGGCACAGCTGCTCCCATGGCCTGTAGTGGAGGCCCCTTGGTCTGGCTTGGAGTCAGAGCGCCCCTCAGCATTGTGTGGGAGAAGGTACCGCACCATGGTTCAAGGTGGGTTTTGGTGCCCTAGAGGCTGGAGTTGCCACACTGATGCTGTCATTTATCCACATCTTTCATTAAACTTCCATGTCTGTTTCCTCTTCTGTCTGTGGGGATAGTTGAACATAGGTGACCCTGGTGAGGATTATGAGGCAATATGCGAAGCGTTCCCCCAGCTCAAAGTTAACTGTAATTTTTACTATTTCAAAAAAGTCTTTACTACTCAAAAAACTCTGGCACTCTTGTGCACATTCAAAACCTCCCTAGTTACAGCATTCTGAGATTTTTATCTTTAACCATTTAATGCACACCTACACTTTTATATTCCTGAGGAATTAAAAAATTAAAATGTCTATTGTGTTTTGCCTTCTTATCTCACACTTAATTATTATGTTATGAGCACAAAATTTAGCTCTGAGCTTCCTGGTAGCAGAGACAAAGTTTAAAGTAAGAGTCATATAATCTCAATATCTAATAACAAGAAACACTTCTTGGAGAAAATTGTTATGTGTGTATTTGGATTATATACAACACAATGGATAGTAGTATCCTTAAATGCAGCTTCTCGAAGATGCCTAAGTGTTCTTGTTGTTTTTTTATTTTTTGAAACGGAGTCTCACTCTGTCACCCAGGCTGGAGTGCAGTGGCGTGATCTCGGCTCACTGCAAGCTCTGCCTCCTGGGTTCACACCATTCTCCTGCTTCAGCCTCCCCAGTAGCTGGGACTACAGGTGTCAGCCACCATGCCCGGCTAATTTTTTTGTATTTTCAGTAGAGACAGAGTTTCACTGTGTTAGCCAGGATGGTCTCGATCTCCTGACCTCGTGATCCACCCTCCTCGGCCTCCCAAAGTGCTGGGATTACAGGCATGAGCCACTGCGCCCGGCCAAAGATGCCTAAATGTTCTTTACATTACTATTAGCTCTTGATGAAAGCCAGTGGGGTCATTATCAGCGACATCCTTGCTGGAACTGGACCATCCCACCTTATGGAGGTGGTGTGGATGGAAACCTACAAAATACAGTAGGGAATCTTCAGGAAGCAGTTTTAGATCTGCTCAAATATTTAGCAAGTACTGCCCTAGTACCTCAGACAATTCGACATCAGTCCTTAAATGTTTGGTCTCGTGACCTCTTTCTAGTCTCAAAAATTATTGAAGGGAAAAAAAGTATTGAGGGAAGCCAAAGAACCTTCTTCAGTGTAGGTTTATCTATCAGTACTTCCTGTATCAGAACTAAGAGACCCTAGAACAATCAAACTGCTGGTTTCATCCATACCATGTTGGCTCCTAGTGCCTGCTGTAAAGGCTGGGTTAGCTGCATCTGAAATGGATGGGAAGTGTTTTAAGAAACAGATATTCCAGACCTCAGACCTAGGGATACTAATTCAGTAGATCTGGGAAAGGGCTGATGTGCCACCAGGTTGGGAGCCATTGCTATATGGCAAGAAATACACGACCAGGCTCAGGAAATACTTCAGGCAGATTTTATTGAAGGTGGATTTAACCAACTGTGTCCTCTCACAAGAGACCCTGCAATGCGACTCTGTCAATATAGAGTCTCCTTTTCTAGGTAGTCATGTCTCCCTTCCTGGCCATGTGTTTTCACGGCAGGGAGGGTAGGATGCAATGACCAAAAATAACTAAAGTGACCCCATGTCATCAGCCTAGGCACCGTCCAGCTCATAGAATTGGGAGTGCTGGCCACTCCACTTCTGGGGGGCCTTGCCCCACATCTCATTCATCCGGAGTCCCCGCCCTTGATGACTGTGTCCTAGGTCTTCCCTCGTCTACCTCTGTCAGCATAATTATGAGAGCCTCCCAGATACAAGCTTCTACAACACAGCACATGCCACTCCCGATGCCACTCCTGATGCCACTCCTGATGCCATCCTGTCACCAGAGCGGGAGGCAGGCTCTGAGAACTGCAGATGCATGGGCGTGTCCTGAAAAGCCAACCCCAGACAGTGCATGGAGCTCAACACCTGATTTTACGAGGAAATTATAACAAGTATCTGTTGAGTATTTCACTTTGAGCAGGATAGTATGCCAGCAGGCCCAGAATTGTTCAGTTATTATTCATTCAAAAAATATTTACCCTGCCTCTACAGGATGAAGGGTATCTGAGACACAAAACTAACTGGAACTGTTCCTTACGTAATCTAATGGGTCAGCATGTCCAAAGGTGTATCCAGGTCTGCCGAGAGCAATGACTTTGGTTTGAGGACAGTCAATATTGAGCGGTTCTTTAGGACAGCCATTGATCTGTATTTGTTTACTTGGGCCAATTTAACAGAATACCACACACTGGGCGGCTTAAAAAACAGATACTTATTTTCTTATAGTTCTGGAGGCTGGATGTTCAGAATCAAGATGCCGGCAAGGCTAGTCCCTGGTGAGGCCTCTTTCCTAGCTTGCAGACGGCCGCCTCCCACACTGCGTCCTCATAGAGCCTTGGTATCTCTTCCTTCTCCTACAGGGATGCCAGTTCTGTTGGATCACAGCCCTCACGTATGTGCCCGTTTAACCTTAAAATTACCTCCTTAAAGGCACTCTCTGCAAATATAGTCACAGTGCATTTAGAGCTTTGATATATTAATATTAATTTGGGGGTGTTGGGGACAAGATCCAACCCAGAACGTGGTCTGTGGTTTCAGTTGCTTTTTAAGGCCACTTATGGAATATGATAGCAAGATAAGATCCTCAGCTTCTTCCCACCACTTAGGTGCACACACAGCACACATACACAAACACACACGTACACAAATGTACACATGCGCACAAACACACTCGTGCACACATACGCAAGCATGCACAGAAACACATAACTTTTGGAAGCATAAAAATAGAAGAGTTTTTATTGAAATTTGAAAAATTAATTAGTTCAACCTTTTTATTTCTACCTACAAGAATGTGGAGATGAAAGAATTTGCCGAACTAGTCAGAAATGTTCAAGCCAGGACTGAAGTCTGTAACCTAAGATTGCAAAGATTTTATTTGCTCCCCACAATCTCTTATTTTTGCCTTTGTATCTGCTCTGAAATTTTGTTTGTTTTTGTTTTTGAGACAGAGTCCCACTCTGTTACCCGGGCTGGGGTGCAATGGCGCGATCTTGGCTCACTGCAACCTCAGCCTCCTGAGTTCAAGTGATTCTCCTGCCTCAGCCCCCCAAGTAGCTGGGATTACAGGTGCCCACCATCATGTCTGGCTAATTTTTGTATTTTTAGTAGAAACAGGGTTTCGCCATGTTGGCCAGGCTGGTCTTGAACTCCTGACCTCAGGTGATCCACCCGCCTCAGCTACCTAAAGTGAGGGGATTATAGGCCTGAGCCACCTCGTCCAGCCTGCTCTGAAATTTTTGACAGAATCTGTGGGCCAGGCAGATAATCTAAGGCATAGTCCCTTAATGAACCTGTGCAGGGCGCAGGCCCGGCCAGGCTGTTCTCCACTGCCTGCTGGCCCACAGCCCTGCGGCTCCAGCCGTCTGTCTGCATTCTGATGCATGTGTACAGAGAAACACTCTGTCTTGCTTTCTCTTCTTAAAAAGTTTTCTTTTTCTTTTCCCCACCTTCTCTCTTTTTTCTTCTTCTGATCACTTCTTGGCAATTTTCATTTGCTTTTAACTTTCTCTTCTTTTTTCGCTAAAGCCATGACCATATGCTGTCTCTAGCTGACTCAGCAGTTATCTTCCTTTCCCTTCTAGGGGGAGGCCACCGAATTAAAAGGACACAGACTGTACATTTCCATATCACTAAGAGAGAAAATCTCAAACGTTCTCATCACAAAAATGTCAAACTTTTGAAGTGATGGATAGATTAATTAGCTTGATTTAATCATTATGCATCATACTCAAAATTCATAACATCTGCATAAGTCCTGGAGGTGGCTTCTCACATATCCACCAACAGGTAGAGCGTCGAGATGCTGGTGCTGACTACTTTGCATGCATGGGCAAGCTTGAGCCTCACAGCAACCTTCTTTGCCTTTACAGGTATAGAAAATGAGTCTCTGGCTGGGCGCATTGGCTCACGCCTGTAATCCCAGCACTTTGGGAGACCAAGGTCGGGGGACGCCTGAGGTCAGGAGTTTCAGACCAGACTGGCCAACATGGTGAAACCCTGTCTCTACTAAAAATACAAAAATTAGCTGAGCATAGTGGCAGGCACCTGTAATCCCAGCTACTTGGGAGGCTGAGTCAGGAGAATCGCTTGAACCCCGGAGGCGGAGGTTGCAGTGAGCCGAGATAGTGCCATTGCACTCCAGCCTGGGTGACAAGAGCAAGACTTCATCTCAAAAAAAAAAAAAAAAAAGAAAAGAAAATGAGTCTCTGAGGGTAAAGCAACTGACAGATTCACCTCACACCTATTTAGTTTTACAGCTGGGCTCATGCCCAGGTTGGCCTGAGTACAAGTTCCTAACCAGTATGCAAAGGGCCTGTCCCAGTGCTGTGGGGCCAGTGGGAGACCAGGTAGGACTTCAGGAGCCTCCCAGGAAGTGGATTTAGGACCTTGAGGGTTCCATGGACCATAGATTTAAAACCTTTGATGGATAATGACCACAGCAGAAATCAGCAAAATAGGACAATAGGGAGGATTAACAAGGTCCGAAGCTGATTCTTTAAAAATAAGATTAGATTAAGCAACCCTTAGCAAGATTGATCAAGAAAAAAAAAATAACAAATTATCAAGACCAGGAATGAAAGAAGGGATATAACTACAGATCCTACAGATGTGAAAAGGATCCGCAGACATGCCGTGAACAGAAAGAGGCCCGGGCCACAGCCCTTCCAGCCCACTGCCCACAGTGTCATGCAGAGTGAGAACTCACCCTCATTTCCCACTGTGATTTTAGAAAGATATTTTTTCTGTGGTCAATACCTTCTTTGCCATAATTAAAAACAGCCAATATACACATGACTGAGGCTGAAATTCTGTGATTTACAATGTTCTTTGTAGGAGTGGACGCAAGGAGGATTTTGCTTTTATTTCCTTCATCGAAAGAATAGATATACAGAACTCCCCCAGCACACATCATCTCAAATGTTTTGAAAAAATCTTTCCCTTTTGCAAACGAGAGCCTAATTTGCATGGCCACAGCATTCATGGAGAGGGGGATGCCTGGTCCCTGGGGCGTGAGAACCCCAGTCCCCCTCCAACACCCACTGCCCTCTCTGAGCAAGCTCTGGACTTTAGCTCACCTCTCCGCCCCTGTAGATCTGTGCAAGAGATCAGCTTCCCACAGCCCCTCCCGCCTTCTAGTAACATCAATAAGAAGACTCACCTTAATTTCCGAGGTCTCACATTCATCACTGACTGGACACAACTGCTTTGTCAGTCTTGTAGATAAAGGCGGGGAAACTCTTTGGGAGGGGTCCCCCATCACTCAGGTAGGAGTGGCAACAACCAACTCATAGCCAGTTCAAGGCAGACATGGCTCCCTTCTGGATGGTGCCTGCCTCAGGGCCTGGGGTCAGTGGAGGGAGCTGGGCTGGGTGTGCCCCTCTCTGTACCTCACCCCATAGGGATGTCCTGTTGGAGCAGGGAGGGAAACATCCCTGCAAATCTACTTTGGACTACCTCCCAACATGCACTTGCCACTGTTGCTTCATGGTCGAGAGGCCAGCAACATTCGAGTTAAGACTGTTTGGGGATTAGAGAAAACGGCCTGTTTCCTTACTATAGCTCACGATGGAGGGGTCGGCATGGGGTTCCTGAGTTAGCATCATGAAAGCAGGAAATCTTTACTCCAGGGAGTTGTTTAAAAAACACTTATACGAGCCAGGCACGGTGGTTCACGCCTGTAATCCCAGCACTTTGGGAGGCCGAGGCGGGCTGATCACCTGAGGTTGGGAGTTTGAGACCAGCCTGGCCAATATGGTGAAACCCTGTACTACTAAAAATACAAAATTAGCCGGGTGTGGTGCTGCATGCCTGTAATCCCAGCTACTCAGGATGCTGAGGCAGGAGAATCGCTTGAACCCGGGAGGCGGAGGTTGCGGTGACCTGAGATCGTGCCATTGCGCTCCAGCCTGGGCAACAGGAGCAAAACTCCGTCTCAAAACAAGCAAACAAACAAATAAAAAACATACAAAAACACTTATACGAAACCAGCTATCTGGGAAAACGAGAAGGAGGACAGGCGCTGAGGGGCACTGGACGGCTCCGACGGGGGCCATGGGTCCCCTGTGCTGGCTCCGGTCCCAGGTCCACCCCTTTCTTGGGGAGGGACCGCCGTGGGGCCGCTTCATCTCTGTGCCCGCTTCCCCAGACAGAGCACAGCAGGTGCCGAGGCCCGTGCCTGGCACTCGGTAAGATGGCCTTGGCCATCGTCTGTCACCGTCACATCTCGTCCCTTGGTGCAGCCCTGCAAGGGTGAGCCTGGCTTGACTGCAGCCCAGCGCCGCGGAGACAATGGAACCACAGAGTTCCGAGACACTCGCTGCCCTTTGTGGCTCTCCTCATCTGCGGTGTCGTCATGCCGCAGAAAAAGAGCACACGCAGCACACAGGAGACAGGGACTTCAGACAAAGGGCCTCGTTCATCCACTTAAAGGACAACGAGCGCCCGCTTCTGTGTCATCCCAGGGTCTGCGGAGGGACATCGAGAGGAGTGGAAGTGTCAATTAAAGAAAACTGAAGAACAGATGAGCTCACATAGTTTCATATTTGTTACAAATCATGATGCTCTCAGGCCAACTGGATCCAGGGGGCAGCCGGGGCTATAGTCAAAGCCGCACTAAAGAGATGACTTTATCTCCCTACTCTCAACAGCAGGCATATATTTTGTGGAGATAGAAAGTTATGAGCACCTTTTCTAGGGATACCTATCTGGGCTTGCAGCCCAGCAACTTCCAGAAGAAACTATAGTCGCATGTCGACAATAAAATATTTACCAGAATTTTAGAAGAATGCATTCTCAATCTTCTCAGGGTAGCACCTCGTGCAACAGCACAGGAGAATATTGTGATCACACCAGTGATATTTTGCTGTGTGTAGTTTTTAGGTTACACTTACCTTTGTTTTAAAATAGATCTGGTTAGGATGATAAATGAGGAGCTGGGAAATGAAGGGATAGAGCGAGTTCTAATTACGTGAAGATCTCTAAGAAATAGTCTTGTGCTTTCTGAACCCAGGGGAGCGTGTTTCCAGTGGTACTGGAGACCTGGGAATAGGCTGGCTGGAATTGCCTGATGTCTCAATTTTCCATAGCCTCCCCCAGCACTGAACCCCATGAGCACGTACTTAGTGATGATGGCTGAAGATTCTATTTTTGCTGTAAAACACAGTCAGTACCATTAGGGTGAGCACGGCAAGGCAACTGGAGATGGCTCATTTGCTCCATAGTAAGCTACTGGGATTTTTTTAACGAGGAGAAGGGAGGGCGTGAAGTGTTTGAAGAGGTGGGAGAGGGGTGGGCAGGGCACCCAGAATGAGGGAAGACTTGGGCATGGAAGGAACAGGGTCAGCTGACGCCCACTGGTGTCACCTCTGCCCTGCCAGCCCTGGAGGAAGAGGAAGGAGAGAGCTGGTGAGCGGGAGGGAAGAGGAGGAAACCCACTTGCCCTGGGCTTTGCAAAGTGCTGGAAGGTTCCCTGCTCACTTCCCTCTCTCTCAAGCCAGCCCCTCCTCCAGGTCCAACCAAATTCTCCGAAGCTCAAAATGGTTCGGATCTTTCTCTATGAGAAACTCCTTCAGAGTCAGTTTTTAACGAAACAGACTCCAATCAGTACCATTTGTCTTTTTTGGACCACATCTGTGGGATGCATAAACAGAAGCGTCCTGTGTGGCTTGCTGGGGCTGTGCTGGGCTTGCTGACATGAACGTCCATAGGTACTTAGATTGCTTCATGTTGATTGGGTTGATCAAAACATCCTGAGTCACTCTTTCATTCTACAGACCAGTGTTTCAGATTTTTAACTGTTCTGCAATGCATGGATTTCTTTAACTGTAATAGCACCAATAACATCCCCAGATGGGATTGCAGAGAATGAAAGACTTGTTCCTTCAGCTGGGACTAAAGAGCCTGCTATTGTTTCCAGAGCATTGCTAGCTGACTCTGGTACGTACAGCTTGTTAGTGTTGTTGATTTCTTCAGGAAATTGAGAGAGAAAAAATTTCAAGTACTTGGTATTGTGGACAAATTATTAATCCCCCTCTCAGGACACTTGGCAGCTGGGTAATGCACCAGTAGACTGGTGCACATCTAGGTGGATTTCATGAAGCTTAAAGGGGATTCACCCTGCAGACTGGTTCTTTAATATCATTAGACTATGAACTACACATTTCCAACAGGGTGTGTTGACATGGCATGTATTTGTTTACCAGTAATGTTGGAAGGACCCAGAGCTGTCTCACATTTAGCTGACTTTATGCTGTTCCTCCCACCCCGCCCCAACACAAACACACACACACACACACACACACACACACACACACACACACACTTCTGCTACTGCAGACCTGATAGAAGGGCATGGAAAATTCTGCCTTGTGCAACTGACCTTCAGGCATCACAGAATAGAACAATTTTCACTTAAAGCTTTCTCTATCTGATTTTTTAAATTATAAAATTATATGTGCTCATTGTGCCCAAGGATAGAAATACATAAAGACAGAGTTAAAAGTCCCGATGCTCCAAGGTTCTCCTTACTGTAAGAATTAAAGAAAGAGGAAAAAAACACGAAAAGTGGCTCGACAGTCAAAGACAGGTTTATTTTAGAGAATAAACCTGAGAGGGGCTTCTGGCCGAGTGAGGTCAGAGGCACTTTCTCTTATAGACTAAGAGTTTTTAAGGATTCAGGGAGGGAACGTTTATCAGAGGCTTGGACTGCTTCTGTGTCTCCTTGTTGTGCTTATCTGGGAGGGAGGGTTGTGTCTGTTCCCATACATCTTTCTGCAGCTGCAGGCATACCCCCGCTTAATCCACCCCCGAGTTCTGCTTTTAGCTTCCCTATCTTAGTGCACCTGAAGAGAAAAGAATGTGCTTATTAATGCCCACTGTTTTACTGGGGCCCATTTTATGAGGGTGAAGTTTGGCAGTTACCCAAGAGACTTCCCCACACCTGCCTCTGTGCCTGAGCTGTCTTATCTGTGTTTTACTGTCTGCTCTTTCTGACTGCTTGTTGTTAGAAGAGAAGTGATTTCCTTGAAATGCATGAGGCTAGAAAGGGAGCTGGAACTTAAAGTGGTGGTGTTTGTCCAAGATGACAGTGCTCCAACTCTGTCATTTACTAAGATGGCCAAGTCAACCTGAAGTGGATTCTTCTGACATTTTTCTTTCAGCCTTAGATTTATTATTTTCCACACTTGTTATGATTCTGTTCTATGCATTTGCAATTTAAAAAACCTGAGGACTAATACAGTTATGTTTTTCTAAAAAACTTTCAGTTTTGGCTGGACACAAAGGCTCATACCTGTAATCCCAGCACTTTGGGAGGCCAAGCTGGGAGGATTGCTTGAGTCCAGGAGTTTGAGATCAGCCTAGGCAACATAGCAAAGCCCTATCTCTACAAAAAAAATTTAATTAGCTGGGTGTGGTGTACACCTGTAGTCCCAGCTACTTGGGGTGCTGAGGTGGGAGGATTGCTTGAGCCCAGGAAGTTGAGGCTGTAGTGAGCCTGATCACACCACTGCACTCCAGCCTGGGAGACACAACAAGACCCTGTCTCAAATATATATGTCTGATATTAGAAAAAAGACTTGCCTATTTGGTTACAAAAAGACTTTAGTAGTGCCTCAAAGGAGCCTGCCTGCCTGTCACCAGCACAGTGTCTCAGGCAATTGTGGCTGTTGGCTGTCAAGCTCCCACCCCTGGGGGACTTGTCTGCTGTTCCTGAGGACAAACTGTCAGGACAGCAGGCTGTCAGAGCAACCAGTTGGGGTTTGGTTTTCCCAGCGATTGCGGGCGTGCGTCTTCCATTCCCTCTTGCAGTGAGGAAGACTCTACCTCCTACGTTGCCCCTGCCAGCCCTGCTGCACCAGGAAACACCATCGGGTCAGGGATATCTGAGCTACGCATTCACAGTAGCCACTGAGTCCGAATTTCTTAGAAACATTCTGGTTCACTAAGATTCTTCTCCCACTTCAATTTTAATTTCATTTTGGTAAAAACCAGTCATCTCACAGATTTAGCAGTGTGGGGTGGATGGGCATTTTCCCCTTTTTGTCTTCTCCTTGCTTCCTCTACCAGTTGTAAGGACTTCTTGGGTGTCCTCTGCTGGTGGCCTCTTTCAGCTCATCTTAAATAAATAAGGGCACAATAAATCCAAAGTGAGAAAGTCATTGCCCTGATTCAGAACTGATGCTTCTTGGTCAAATAATGTCTTAAAAATAACAAAAACCACAATAAAAAATGCACCTCTGACAAGGTCCAAACCTCTGCTGCTCTCCAGCCCCAATCTGCCATGAAGATGAATGCACAAGAAGAAACCGTTAGATAAATAAAAACGCCTCTCACACAGCTTCCGCAAGCCTCCTCAGACGCCTCAGGAAACCCATTGTATTTGTATATCAAATAATTTGACTGACTGTAGGATATTATTCATTTGGTTTTTCTAGTCTCAAAAAATTTAATATCTTACAAAAGCTTATGATCAAGTACAAATTTTATTGTATAATTTGCAATAAATAAAAATACTAGATCACTGATGTCCTTTAAGGAAGATTACATGGCTGGGCATGGTGGCCCCTGCCTGTAATCCTGGCACTTTGGGAGGCCGAGGTGGGTGGATTACTTGAGGTCAGGGGTTTGAGATCAGCCTGGCCAACCTGGTGAAACCGCATCTCTACTAAAAAGACAAAAATTATCCGGGTGTGGTGGCCCACGCCTGTAGTCCCAGCTACTTCGGAGGCTGAGGCAGGAGAATTGCTTGAACCCGGGAGGCAGAGGTTGCAGTGAGCCAAGATCATGCCACTGCACTCCAGCCTGGGCAACAGAAGGAGACTCCATCTAAACAAACAAACAACAAACAAAAAAACAAAAAAACTCATGACTATCCAATAGTAAAATTGAAAAAAATAAAAGACCAATTAGGAGAAAGTGAAATGGGAAAATTATCTGTGATCACTGTAATCTCAGCAGACATGATTAATTTTCAATTGCCTTCCCTTTTCTGGGTTTCCTTAAGCGAACAAAGAAATAAGATTTAAACAAAAGTACTTCAAGCATTATGTGCTTGGAATTAGATATCAGTTCAGATTTGAACACGGATGTGGTTCAGAATGTAATTGGTGTGTCATTCTCAGGATGAGACAGCTTGGCTTAGCTCTTTGCTAAATGTTCCATATCTTTGAGAGAGTAGAGGAATCAATTTTTGACTGTTTTCCTTCAATTACCATTTGAAATCCTTGTTTGGTCCTTTTTGCTCTTATGAACTCGTTAACTCACATGTTTACCTATATTTAACTCATGCATTAAAATGCTGCCGGTCTTGGAGATTGCAAAGAAAAGGTGGTAGTGGAGGGGGACTGTCGCGGCCCCTGCACAGGGGCTCCGCTGCACACGGCCAGGGCCGAGGCCCACGAGGCGGCCATGCCCTCCTCTTTCAGCCGTTGTTCCTCTCTAGCTACTTCTGCAGCAGCCGATGCTATCCCTGTTTGTGCTTTTGCTTCAGAGAATTAACCGTCTCTGTGCCTGGCCCTTGGCTTCTGCCTGTGGAAGCCATTGCTAGATGTTAAAGCTCAAATATCACCTCCTGGTGGGAACCGTTTCTTGCCCAGAGGAACCACCCTTTCTTTTTTAACTTTTATTTTAGGTTCAGGGGTACCTGTGCACGTTTGTTATATTGGTAAACTCACGTTCCAAGCGTTTGTTATACAGATTATTTCATCACCCATGCATTAAGTCCAGTACCCAATAGTTATCTGTTCGGCTCCTCTCCCTCCTCCCCCTTCAAGTAGACCCCAGGGTCTGTTGTTCCTTCTTTGTGGTCATGAGTTCTCATCATTTATCTCCCACTTATAAGTGAGAACATGCAGTATTTGGTTTTCTGTTCCTGTGTTATTTTGCTAAGGATAATACCCTCCAGCTTCATCCATGTTCCCACAAAAGACATGATCTCATTCTTTTTATGGCTGCATAGTATTCCATGGTGTATACGTACTGCATTTTCTTTATCCAATCTGTCATTGATGGGCATCTAGGTTGGCATGGAATCAATCTAAATGCCCTCACTTTCTAACTCTCCTCTGATGCTGACCATGCTCTGCCCTGAGCGTGGCTAGTTTTGTGCTCACCTCTTCTCTCCTCTTAGAGTGCATCCTCCCAGCAGCTGGAACCAAGGAGCTGTCATTTACCTTCACGCTCCAGGTGCACCTGCTCACACAGTGTAAATGTGCACAAATATCTCTTGCAGCAATGAGCAAGTGACAATGCATCTTACTAAATGAGCAACTCATCCCATTTAGTTGATTTATCAGAAATGATCAATACAGCTCCCGTAAAAGGGAACTTACTTTCTTGGCACATGGAGAAATCTAAAAGCAGGTGGGATGACTAAGTAAAGGCTTCAGTTGAATCAGAAATGGAACTGGCGTACTGGTGACCACCTCAGTTTTCTCCACACTCATTCAAACTGTCCCTCTTCTTTGTTAGAGTTTTAAACAGGATGGGATTCTCCATTCCTGCTAGACTTTAGTGCTCCAATTTGCACTAGAAAATCTTGCCTTGTTTACTCTTCTATTACCTTTTATATCCATCTTTACCTAAAGTATTACACACCCAAGTACATTTATAATCTGATGATGTCTCAACATAGCAGCCAGAAAGCTGGTAACGCAAACATCAATTCTACAGGCGCACCAGTAGCAACCAGAAATGGGTAAACAAATTGATGCCCTTTTGCTAATAGGGTCTCCATGAAAGCTAGAGGCCATGGGTGCTGGGAAGGATGAGGGGATTTTTAAACATTATTTTATCAGTATCAGATTCTGCTGGTAATTAACACATATTTCATGACTGCCAGTAGGATTCATCGGCAGCTTTGTTTGTGACTTGACAGCTCCCACTTCCAGTTTGCAGAATGTGATAACACTGTGCAGTTTTTCAGTTTGTGAAAATGACAATTTGGGGGTAATTTGGGCAGGAACTGTAGGTGAACACGTCTAGGGCTTAGTCCAGTTATTAATTTTTTTTAAAAAATGTCTTTCTAACCTCGGTTTTACTGTCTGTAACAGCATTTAAATAGATAAATTAAGAAAGCAAAATCTATTTTTAGGATTCTTTGGTTTCTAGTGAAGGGGATCAGGAAATGCCACCTCAGGATACGCCACTTTGGTATAAGGATTATTGTAACTATTGAGTTGAAGGCATTTGAGTTCCTGAAATCCCTTACCTGCCTAAAACAGGAGCCTACCAAAAGAACTCAGTTATTATAAATCCCCTCCCAGGAGCAACTCTAATCTTTTTTCGGAGAAGAGAAGTTGGCATCCCACCCAGAAAGACATTGTCACAAGACTGTCATACCTTCTGTCTGTTCTCCTGAGGGCCCATTTATCTTTCCAAAAAGTAGTGTGCTTTCGGGCCAGGCACAGTGGCTTATGCCTGTAATCCCAGCACTTTGGGAGGCCAAGGTGGGCGGATCGCCTGAGATCGGGAGTTCCAGACTAGCCTGACCAACATGGAGAAACCCTATCTCTACTTAAAAAGAAAAAAAAAGTAATGTGCTTTCCTTAATTACCCTTTCTCCCTACTCCCTTTCCCTTATAGACCCCTAATTCTAACCACCCCCTGAGTGCTCCCATGAGTACACATGACTTAGCAAACATTTGTATGATTTTTCTCTTGTTAATCTGTCTGTCGTCAGTTTAATTCACACACCCCCATCACTGAACTTAAGAGGGTAGAGAAAATTTTTTTCTTCCTTATTCTCACAAAAGAAGCCAGCTCTGCTTCAATGTGATTAAAGAAGAAAGTGATTAGAAGGCTATGGGCTCAAAAAGGGGTGGAAGGAAAAACTGAAGAACCAAGGTAGGCCGGGGATCCAGTCCACAGGAGCTAATGCAGATTCTCTCAGGGCCGTGGATGGATCTGCAGCTCTGCTCTGCACTTAGGCCACTTTCTTCAGGCTGCAGATTTCAAGGGGAGGGCAGCTGTGGTGTGAGTCTTCCCAGGAACTTATGGTGTGTTGGGGGTGGTACTCCAAAGGGAGATGAGGATTCTTGGCCAGAGAAGGGTGGAGTGAATGCTGCCCGCCAGCACAGCTCGACATGCCTGCTGTACCCCCTGTGCGCTGGGTACCCTATGTGCACTCCACCATATGGCCACCATAGTCATCTGTGGACCACGTGTCTGATACATGCCAGGTGCCATTCAGAGAGTTCAGATGCAGCACTAAACAAAATGTGCTCATGGGGCTTACATACTAGGGTGGAGACAGTGAATAATAAATAACAAGGGGAATTGTGTAGTGAATGAGAAGGTGATATGCACCATGGAAAAAGAAGAGTAGAGCAAGCTAGCAGGTGAAGGGCGATGGGGTGGTGGAGGCAGCCTGCAGTGTTAGGCACTTCCGGAAGGCGTTATGGAATAAGTGAATCTGAGCAAAGACTTTAAGAAGGTGAAGGGCTGGCTCATCAGATCCTAGGGACAGTGGTCCAGGCAGCGGGATCAGCTGCATGGCAGGACTGAGCCACAGGGGAGTTTGATTGACTAATGATGAGTGAGCCCAGAGGGGAGCCCTGGATGAGACATCGGGGAGTTGGGGTAGATCATGCAGAGTCTTGTAGGACCCCATGCTTATGGGGTGGGAATTTTCAAGGAGAAAACTGAAGTCCAAGGATTACTTGCCCAAGTCTACATGGCTGTCAAGTGGCAGAGCGAATATTTACACCTAAGGAGTTCCATGCTCTAGAACCCAGCACACTCAAGTTTGGTAAACGGAACTGCACCATGGGGCCATCTCCTACCTCTGTGAAAGCCCCTCCAATAAGGGGAGGAACATAGCCAATGCAGCCACGCATTTGCCGGAGAGCTTGCTATACTTTATCAGTAGTGGCTTAATGGACATTTGAAACATTTGAAAAACGGCAATTAAATACAGAATACATACATATATCTCTATATTTATATATATCTCTATATTTATATATATTTATATATATATCTATATATTTATATATATTTATATATATATCTATATATTTATATATATTTATATATATCTATATATTTATATATCTATATATTGTATATATCTATATATTTATATATATCTATATATTATATATATCTATATATTTATATATATCTATATATTATATATATCCATATATTTATATATATCTATATATTTACATATATCTATATATTTATATATATCTATATATATTTATATATCTATACATTTATATATATCTATATATTTATATATATCTATATATTTATATATCTATATATTTATACATCTATATATTTATATATATCTATATATTTATATATATCTATATATATTTATATATATCTATATATTTATATATATCTATATATATTTATATATATCTATATATTTATATATATCTATATATATTTATATATATCTATATATGTTAATATATATCTATATATTTTTTATATATATATATATGTTTATATATATCTATATATATTTTTATATATCTATATATGTTTATATATATCTTTATATTTATATATCTATATATCTATATATTTATATATCTATATATGTTCATAGATATCTATATATTTTTATATATCTATATATGTATATATTTATATATATCTATATATCTTTATATATCTATATATTTATATATATCTATATATCTATATATATCTATACATTTATATATCTATATATGTATATATCTATATATATCTCTATATATCTATATATGTATATATATCTCTATATATCTCTATATATCTATACATGTATATATATCTATATATATCTGTACATATCTATATATGTATATATCTATGTATATATCTCTGTATTTATATATATCTATATATATCTATATATTTATATATATCTATATGTCCATATATCTATATATTTATATATATCTATATATTTATATATATGTATATATATCTATATATAGATATATATATCTTTATATAGATATATATATCTTTATATTTATATATAGATATATAGATCTATATAGATCTATATATCTTTATATTTATATATAGATATATAGATCTATATAGATCTATATATCTATATAGATATATAGATATATATATCTATATAGATCTATATATCTATATAGATCTATATATCTGTATATCTATATAGATCTATATATATCTATATATCTATAGATCTATATCTATATATCTATAGATCTATATATCTATATTTATATATATCTATATATCTATATTTATATATACATATATTTATATATATCTATATATATTTATATATATCTATATATTTATATCTATCTATCTATATTTGTATATATCTATCTATATTTATATATATCTATCTTTAAATATATATATATGTTTAAAGATATATGTGTATATATATACTTTTTTTGAGACAAAGTCTAACTCTGTTGCCCAGTCTGGAGTGCAGTGGCATAATCTCGGCTCACTGAAACCTCCACTTCCCGGGTTCAAGCAGTTCTGCCTCAGCCTCCTGAGTAGCTGGGATTACAGGTGTGTGCCACCATGCCCTGCTAATTTTTGTATTTTTAGTAGAGACGGGGTTTCACCATGTTGCCCAGGCTGGTCTCAAACTCCTGACCTCAGGTGATCCACCTGCTTCGGCCTCCCAAAGTGCTGGGATTACAGGCTTGAGCCTCCGTGCCTGGCCTGTACTTCTTCTTTGATAAATTGTTTATAGCTATTTTAAAACATTTTCTGCTGAGCATATGAGAGGTGACAATAATGACTAAGTGAGAGGTGACAATAATTACTAATCATTGTAAAGTATTTAGTATCTGCTAGACTTTGCTCCAAATACTGGGCAGATATTGACTCCTTTAACTCGTTTGACCCACTTATGAGGCAGGTGCTATTTTGGAGATGAGAGCATGGAGGGCCGGAAAGGTTCATGGACTTGGCCACCGTCAGAGATCAGGAGGTCAGGGAACCAAGGCTCAAACCTCTAGCCTAACTCTTGCCAACACGTAGTCTCTCTCAGGCCGGCAGGATAGGAGAAGGGAACCTGTTTAGTCATCAGTAAAGAAATTCCCTTCAAAACGGTTTCATCTTCTTCCTGTTAGGTCAGCACTCCGTCCTGGCTGCAGCCTCTGATAGCCAAGCGGATGAGGTCTGCTCTGTCACAGTAGGGTGAACAAATGAAGAGAAACAGGAAGTAACCTCAGTTGTTTTTCCCTATTATGGCCAGGTGGCAAGTAGGTCTTTGTGGAGCCACTGAATGCAAAAGCACAGAAAGGCCATCCCCCCAGCGGCCCCTTCCACCTGACAATGAGGAAGAAGGAATGCCTGCTTCCCAGGGGCCTTGCTCCTGTTGGCAGCAGTTTCTGTCGCTTGGGTGGAAAAGGGTCCCCACATATGTGCAGGACCAACTCTCTAGACTCGTGTGCAGGAATGATCGAAGAATTCGAGCAGCAGAGAGATAATTGTTATAGTTGTCCAATTTTCATCAAAAAGATACAAGAAAAAATAAAATTTATTACATTCTTAAATGTGGTTCAAGATAATGTTGAGTTTAAAATGATCAAAAAAGTATTATAATTTTATAAAGTATCATGATTTTAATGTAACTGAAATAGATGCATAGCTCACTCATCTTTCCAATTTTCAAAAAGAACATGACCAGTCCGGTCGCGGTGGCTCACACCTGTAATCCCAGCACTTTGGGAGGCCGAGGCAGGCAGATCACAAGGTCAGGAGTTCAAGACCAGTCTGGCCAATATGGTGAAACCTCGCCTCTACTAAAAATACAAAAATTAGCCGGGTGTTGTGGAACGTGCCTGTAATCCCAGCTACTCAGGAGGCTGAGGCATGAGAATTGCTTGAACCTGGGAGGTGGAGGTTGCAGTGAGCCGAGATTGTGCCACTGCACTCTAGCCTGGGCGACAGAGCAAGACTCTGTCTCAAAAAAAAAAAAAAAAAAAAAAAAAAAAGAACATGACCCTATCAGTTCCTTTTTTTCCCCCAGCAATATAGCTGCTTAATGAGGAGAATCCATGTTAAACTATGGTGAAGCCGCTCTGGATGAATAACAGAGCAGCCCCTTCTTGAAGCCGTGTGCCCACAAGGAAGCTCAAGTTAAGCGCTGGGTTAAGTTCCGATGGTTGGTAAAAGGAGCAGACAAGTCTCCTCCCTGACTCCTCACTGTATTTCCAAAGGTGGGTGCTCAGACGACACAAACTGTGGAGGGAACCCCAGCATTTCCTGAGCCCCCCAGGGCCTGACTGCCGCTTCCTCTATCCTCATCTGCTTCCCTGGGAGGAAGGTTTGCTTTTCCTTTTCCTTCCTAAAATACAGTGGCTTCCAGACCTTGACTGTCTGACCTCCAGTAAGAAATACACATAATTGTGATCAAGTGTGTATGTATGTGAGTGCATCTGAAGCAAATAATTTAAGGAAACTATACTCACTCTATGTGAAATGCAATTTCTTCTATTCTAGTCCATATTGTATAGAATCTATTACATTATTATCTCTTCCATTCCATTAAAAAAATTGCCAGCCCTACTCACTAAATTGATGACATGAACCACTAATGGTTTCAGACTTGAGCTTTGGAAAACACTGCTCTGATGAATGTGCCTGGACTGGTGCTGTAGTTGTTTCTCAGTCACACTCTCACCAGGCATAGAACTGGGTCTTGGAGCTCTGGCCTTGCGCTGCCGTGGAAACCTCCAGGGAATTTACAAGACGGTGGCATTCCATTAACTCAGAACCCGCAGCCAATGCTAAAAAGGAGAAAAAGTCATGATGTGCGTGAAGGCTGAAGTCCTCTCAAGGTGCAGCTTTTAAGAGTCTCCAGCAATTAAAAAGATAACCACACGATTTCAGAAACTTAGATCTTAAGCCTAAAATGTACAAATACACATTCACATGGATAAATGTGTTTCCTTCGGAAAAGTTAGCTACAGAAACCAGAGAATATGTAGTATTCAATCACAGGAAAACAGCATAATACCCATAATGTTCCTAATAGCTGTCTCTTTACTATTATTATTTTCTTCCAACAAATACAACTGGCATTAAAAATTGAATATTAGTTAATAGGGCACAAAATAGAAGTACTGAAAAGTTGAAAAGTCATTGTCTCAGCTTGCTCAGCAGTTATATAAAATTGCTATAATCCAAGTAGCCTTGTCTCTGAGGGGTTTGCTGAGGCCGGGGGCAGCACCCCTCCTACCCAGCTGCGTGTAGTTCCTGGTACCTGGATGCCTCCCGTGCCACGGTCACCTACTGCTGCACTGAGAGCCAAGGGGTAGACACAGTTCAGGGGGGCAGACACAGTCCCAGGGGGCAGACAGTTCTGGGGGCACAGAGTGAGAGCCTCATCCAGAGAGAAGGGACTATGGACTCCTGGGAAGAAAACCAAGACCACAAAGAGGAGGGACCATGAGCTCTCGCTGGGTCTGAACTTGGCAGGGCAGAGATGGGCTGGAGATGGGTGGTGGTGGGGTCAGGGCGTGGATTGAAGATGGGGGAATGGGGCTGCAAGCCAGGAAGTGAGAGGGAATGGTTTTTTCTCTGGGGTTCTGCAAGGAGCAGAGCCTGCCCTCACGGGATGTGAGACAGCAATGGCCAGGCCCCCCGCCCTGTGGACCAGGCTGCTGAATGTGCTCCTGCCTCCCTTTGTATCAGCAAGTGCCCTGCCAGAAATCCCGCCAATGCCCACGGTGCTCTTAGTCGCCATTTAGGGAATGGCCAGGGCACAGGCCCGCCTCATACATCCTCAGGGAGGTGAGGCTCAAGGAGTTTACATGAAGCTGTGGGGTGCAGACTCACCTCTCCAGAGGGGTCTCCCCCAGCACAAAGCTGTAGCATGTCCAGGTTCACAGAGACGCTGGGCCGGGTGAGGAGCACACCTTCTGCCCTGGTGGTGCCGCATGTGTGGGAGCTGCTCGTCCTACTGGGGCAGAACTCTGTGTGAGCTTTTCAGTGGGAGCTGCTCATCCTACTGGGGCAGAGCTCTGTGTGAGCTTTTCGGTGGGAGCTGGTTATCCTACTGGGGCAGAACTCTGTGTGAGCTTTTCAGAAACTTCCTGAGCCAGTTGATTTCACATGGAAGCTTCAAATCCCCACAGAAATTGACAAACACTGTAAGTGAGCTCCCACCCTCCCACAGGACAGTGCTGGCAACTGCCGTGGGCAGCCTCATGTGAACAAGCCTGTAAAAGGGGCTCTGTCATCCCCTGGGGCAGGTCCTACAGCAGCAGAAGCGTGAAGCAGTGGGAAAATCAGCGTCTTCATGAGATCCCGCTAATGCCATAAAAGCACCCCTCAAGGTGTTGACCACCAGCCTCACTCAGCCCGGAGACCACAGCCAAGATGCAGCACACGTTTAGATTACAGCCTCTGCAGTTATCTCACGCTGGACTGCCCATAAAATACCTTCAGGTGTTGTTTGTCCAAGATGTGATTTTTCTCCTGACAGGTGCTTTAGGAGCTTATTACCGGAATGCACCACCGCTGAACGCATTATTTCTTCCTGAGCAATCTTGTTCCTAAAAACTTAGGCATTAAGTAAAATACAGCTAACTCCTCTTGGGTGGTGTCTTCGACTGTTTGTGCTGCTATTATAGAATAAATACCACAGGCTGGGTGATTTATAAATAAAATAAATTTATTTCTCACAGCTCTGAGACTGGGAGGTCCAATACTCAGGTGCCAGCATCTGGCAAGGACCTTTGTGCTGCATCATCCCATGGTGGAAAGCGGAAGGGCAAGACGGCATGGAAGAGAGAGAAAGAGGGAAAGGGGGCAGAGCCCAGCCCAATCCCGAGAGAACCCCTCCTGTGATAACAGCCTTCATCCATTCACTAAGCAGAAGACAGCACGGAAGAGAGAGAAAGAGGGAAAGGGGGCAGAGCCCAGCCCAATCTCAAGAGAACCCTTCCTGTGATAACAGCCTTCATCCATTCACTAAGCAGAAGACAGCACGGAAGAGAGAGAAAGAGGGAAAGGGGGCAGAGCCCAGCCCAATCTCAAGAGAACCCCTCCTGCGATAACAGCCTTCATCCATTCACTAAGCAGAAGACAGCACGGAAGAGAGAGAAAGAGGGAAAGGGGGCAGAGCCCAGCCCAATCCCGACAGAACCCCTCCTGTGATAACAGCCTTCATCCATTCACTAAGCAGAGCCCTCATGACCCAGTCACCTCTTAAAGGCCACAGTCCCCACACTGTTGCACTGGGGATGAAGCTTCCAGCATGTGAACTTTGGGGCACACATTCAAATTATAGCAGATGGAATGACCAGTATGAGTACGAGCCAGAGAGGAATGCTCTCTGGGAATTTTACATTCCACGGGGGAAATAAACATTTTGTTTGACACAAGACAATAATCAAGATACCAATGACTCGCTCTGATTTAGGATCCGGTCCAGAGAAAAGGAGAAACATACTTTTTAAACAAGGTGATAAGATGCCTGTGTGCACAGTTTTCCTGTAACACATCTTGGCAATCAGGAACCTGTGAGTCAGACGCAGGTGCAGTGCACAGGCTGGAGCGAGGCCTGTGAAGATAGAGCTCAGGAGGGCAGCTGCTTAGGGCTCCGCTCATTCTCTGGGCACCAGGGTCTCTACGCAGTTGTCTGTTATGGTCTCATAGCCTCAAAGGATTCAGTTTTGCCTCAAGTCAGAACACTAACGTGACAATACAAAGCCTGGAAGTGATTAAGCCACACTGTGGACTGCGACCTGTGAGTAGTTTTACTTTTCAGTTAATGCGAATCTAAATATTCAAAGATAGAACAATATACTAACGTATTGGTGTGCACTGGGGGAGCTTCTCTTTAAGCTTGTTTCATGAAGAAATACAGAGGCTCTCAGGAAATCATTTTGAAAGAATGAACTTAACGTAAGTGCCCTTCTTTCTAAGAAATTGGTGAACTCCCTTTGAGGGTTGATTGAGCGCAGGTCTCTTTATTTCCGGCCCCCCTTGGACCCTCCTCTTTCTTCAGCTCCATGGATCCTTGGGTTTTCAGCAGACATGATTCTTCAAGCATCTCTTCCTTGCCTTAGCTGCTGAAGGCTGCGTGCAGACAGTGCTGTCTTTTCGTCTGCAGTGGGTTGAGAGCTCATGGTTCTGGTGTACTCCTCAGCTCCCTCTTTGTCAGCCCCATTCTAGGGTGTAGCTTCCTCCAGGGTGCCGTGGCGTTTCCATGGTCTGCGTTGCCCCATTGGCCTCCCCGTAGGACTCCCAGGCTCAATGCCACTTCTCTCTGATCCCCCAGGTGCAGAGGCAGGAGGGACCTCGCACAACCCAGCTGAGAGGATAAAGACTGAGAACAGGTGTCCCAGTGTGCAGAGGCCCTTCAGCTCCATGTTCCTTGGTGGGTTGTTGGCTCCATCCTCACCCTTCACCATCCGCTCCAGCCCCACCCTCGGGCTGCCACTGCCTCCAGTCTTCACACTTGCTCTCCCGTAGACCCCGCAACGCCATTCAGCACAGCTGGGCGAATGCACCCAAGGAGATGGTCCAAACAAAATAATTCAGGAGCTAGGAATTCTGGATTTGAACAGAAAATAGCAGACCTCTCCAGAAAGGCTGGGGCTGAGGGGCTGCAACTGGGGCCTCAGGGGGTTGGTGGGACTTTGAGCTCTTGGGTCCCATGGACATCGCCTTTCCGGACAGCTCAGGAAGACGGCGCTGTTATCCCGCAAAGACCTGCAGTCTCAGAGGACACCATCTGTGGAAATGACTTCTCTGCTGGCTAAGTGCTCGGTCCTTACACAAAATCCCTTCTCACCCCAGTAGTGTGGAGATGAGCCTGGAAGTAGTCATAGTGAGAATAACAAGGTTTGCTTAGCATTGTATGCTTCACAGCTCCTTTTTACATGATTACATCTGATCCCCAGCACAGTCTTGTGAGACATTGTTATTCCCACATTCCCACAAAGACACGGGAGCTCAGACAGGTAGTGCTCCCCTGCCCCCCGCCCTGGTGCTCTGAAGCTCTTCCATTTTTGTTACTACGGAAAAGTCCAAGACTTGTTAGAAAGATGTTCATTGAGAACTCAGATACTCTGAATAATTGCTTCAAGAGCATAGAGTCAAGTTGACATAAAAATATTTGAACTATATATTTTTTATCCGTTTAATACAATTTTATTTAAGATGTTCAAAGTGCATTTCTAGATGCCTTGAACTTGAAGCTATTGCCTCTCATTTTCACCCTTGTTGGGGTTAAAATGATCACTAGAGTGACCATGGTTTTTATCAGCTTATCTGTTACTCCTTCCTCCTCTGACCAGTGTCACACACATTCAATTCAACAAACACCGATTGAGTGCCTCCTGTGTGCCAGGCAGTGTTCTGGGCAGCAGGGATGCAGGCAGAGAACATGACAGTGAAGCAGCCCCGGCAGCGGAGCTTGGGTCTGGTGGAGGGAGACAGCCAGGAAGCCAGCTGGATAAGTTAATTATTTCTAAAGCTATATTTGGAATTGTACAGAAGTAAATCAGGTATATAAACAGTTTGTTAGAATGTAATCAGCAGTATGGAGAAGAATAAAGTAGTGCAGGGAGAGGAGGATGAGGGTGGGGTGAAGTCTGCAATTTTAATAAGGTGCTCAGCAAAGCTCTCACCGAGAGGGGCTGTCCGAGCACAGCTAGAAGGTATGAAGGGGCTGACGGTGAAGGGAGCTATGAAAGAACTTTACGGACCATGAGTCGGGCCTTCTGGGCATGAAACTGAGCTTCAGGGAATGGGAGACAAGGTTAGAGAGAGTGAGGTTCAGTGGCAGCAGATCATAGAGGGCTGGTGGCCTTGGGAAGATGTGAGGGAATTTCTAACAGAACTACGTCTCAGGAGGCTGAATAGGAAGTACAAGAGCTGGCCGGGTGCGGTGGCCCACGCCTGTAATCCCGGTACTTTGGGAGGCCCAGGTGGGCAGATGGGTGAACCCTCATCTCTACTAAAAATACAAAAAAAAAAAAATTTTCTGAGCATGATGGCACGCACCTGTAATCCCAGCTACTCTGGAGGCTGAGGCAGGGGAATTGCTTGAACCCAGGAGGTGGAGGTTGCTGTGAGCTGAGATTGCGCCACTGCACTCCAGCCTGGGTGACAGGGCGAGATTCCGTCTCAAAAAAAAAAAAAAAAAAGGAGCCACTGCACTCCAGGGTGACGACGAGATTCCGTCTCAAAAAGAAAGGGAGTCTGAGAGCTATGTTGAGGACTGGGGGTTCAGACAGAATATGAATTCATTTTATCTTTACCCCAGAGTGTTCTGGAAGTTGTTAAGGGGAGCAGCTTGGGGGCCGTGGTCAGAGTGAGCTCTCTAGGCTCTTCTGGAAGAGCACTGTCCCAGAAGCACCTGGTGCCAGTTAGGCACCCGTGATTTGGCAGCTTAGTAATGGAAAAGGATGGTCAAAGGAACAATTACTCGTGACCAGGAGATCTAGTTGTGTGGGAGGAGAGCACACATGCACATGCACAAACACATGTCTACACAAACACACATAAGCTTGTGCACACATGCATGTACATACAAACATATACAAACATGCACACACAAATCCACACACACATGCACAAATGTGCACACACAAAAATGTGCACACACCTGTACACACAAAATGCACAAACTCACACATGCACAAATGTGAACACACAAAAAATGTACAAGCACACATGCACATACAAAAAGCACACACGCTCACACATGCACAAATATGCAAACACAAAAATTGTACAAATACAAATGTACACACAAAATGCACACACACGCACACATGCACAAATGTGAACACACAAAAAAATGTACAAACACACATACACACACAAAATGCACACAAACACACATGCACAAATGTGCACACACAAAAAAGTACAAACACACATGTACACACAAAATGCACACACTCACACATGCACAAATGTGCACACACAAAAGTACAAACACACATGTACACACAAAATGCACACACTCACACATGCACAAATGTGCACACACAAAAGTACAAACACACATGTACACAAAATGCACACACACTCACGCATGCACAAATGTGCACACACAAAAAAGTACAAACACACCTGCACACACAAAATGTACATACACTCATACGCACAAATGTGTACACACAAAAACATGTAGAAACACACATGCACACATAAAATGCACACACATGCACACATGCACAAATATGCACCTGCACAAATGCACACAAGCACACATACACACAGGCATGCTCACATACACGAGTGCATGCATGTACAGACATGCATAAACATACATGTGAATGCCTGACCATGCCCATGTGCATGTACACCAAACATACACACAAAAACGCACATGCACAGTTAGACAAGTTCAATGACGCAAATATGGCTGAAGTATAAAATCATTACGTCATATTCAGTAATGGGCCACATGACTAGTGATTATGTTTCTGATGTTTGTGAAAAGTACAAGTATTGGAAGATGAGGCTCAGAAAAAGAAACTGTTGTGTTAACCATTGTTGATATCAAAGAATACCTTGACCACAACACGATATCACTTCACACTCATTAGAATGCCTCTAATAAAAAAGATTTCAATTACAAGTGTTGGCTACGATGTGGAGAAATTGGAGCCCTTATATGTTGCTGGTGGGAACGTGAAGTAGTGCAGATGCTTTGGGAAACAATTTGGTGGTTTCCTAAGAAGTTAAACATAGAGTTATCACATGACCCAGAAATTCCCCTTCTAGGTGGAATCAGTTACGCAAGATAACCGAAAATATATGTTCACAAAAAACCTTATATATGATTTTCATAGCAGCATTATTCATAATAGTCAAACAGTGAAAACAGTCCAAATGTCTGCCAATTGATGAGTGGATAATCAAAATGTGGTCTGTCCACACAATGGAACATTATTCAGCCATAAAAAGGAATGAAATACTTATATATATGCACGACATGATGAAACTTGAAAATGTTATTCTAAGTGAAAGACACCGGATGCAGAAGACCACATATTGTATGACTATTTATGTGAAGCATCTGGAAGAGGAAAATCTATCGCGTTCATCTGCCAGAGCTGCCATAACCAAGTGCCACAGACAGAGTGGGTTAAGTAAGAAACTTATCATCTCACAGTTCTGAAGGCTGGAAGTCTGAGATCAAGGTGTCAGCAGAGCTGACACCTGGTGAGGCCTCCCTCTTTGGCTTGCAGATGGCCGCCTTCTCACTGTGTCCTCACATGGTCGCCCCTCTGTGCCCGCACAGCCAGAGTCCTAGTGCCCTCTTCTTACAAAGACACCAGTTAGTTTGGATCAGGGCCCACCCATCCAACCTTATTTTAACTTAGTCACTTCTTTAAAGGCCCCATCTCCAACTACAGTCGCACTCTGAGGTATGGGGAGCTGGGGCTTCAACATGTGAATTTTGGGGGACACACTTTCAGCCCATAACATCTATGGAGCCAGAAAGGAGATTAGTGGTTGCCAGGAGCTAACAACAGGGAAATGGGGAGTGACTGCTAATGGGTACTGGGTGGCTTATGGGGCAGTGAAAATGTTCTAAAATTGATTGTGAAGACAGTTGCATAACCTTGGAAAAATACTAAAAACCACTGAATTGTATCAAGGGTGATTTTTATGGTATGTGAATTATGTATCTTAATTTAAAAATAAGAGTATTTGCTAACCTCAAGGAGAGATTAATATAGGTGCCAGTGGAAGAAAGACAAGGCAAAATAAAGACAAAGGCATGTAGAAAATGGTTTTTCTGTGATGTCTCTCTCTCCTTTCCGTAACTCCCAGCCAGGACTCCTTTGGCTGGGTTTCCAAGTGCCTTTGACAAACCACCAGCTCAGGGCTTCTTTCCCTCAACCACCACCCCCTAACCTCGTTGCCAGGCTACGGAAATCCAGAGCACTGCTTGAGAAAGGAAAGCCAAGGACAGAACAGAGCCCTGGGGAGGAGCTCGTGGTGGCCAAGCCGAAGGAGGCAGGGAATTCCGGTGGCCCAGAGCCCTGGCAGAGGCTGCCACTGCGTTGAGCCCGTCACTTTGTTGAGTTTCGCGGTGTCGCTGTGCTTGGAAAGACAATTTCCTTTTCAGCAGCACTGGTATGGACTTTGGATGATCTTGCCTGCTTCTTCATTTCTCTCTTTCTCATGAAAGCCTTTCTCTTCTCGGTAAGTAATTGTTCCTATTCTGTGTCCTCAGTGAGCATGGGGAAGAGTGGCCAGTTTGTGGCACATTTTTTCTGCGATGCAGCCCAGAGGCCTTGATGTCCTATGGCACTGCGCTTTGGCAAAGGCATGTTTTTACAATCAGCTCGTCCATGCTCTTGTCTGGGAGTGGGTATGGGCACACAAACACACGGAGCTCCATGACTTCACCCCTAGCCACTGTCATAGGGAACCACAATTTGTTAAATGCATGGGGAAACACAGTATTAAAAAAAAAAATCACCACGCTGGGCGTGGTGATGCACGCCTGTAATCCCAGCACTTTGGGAGGCTGAGGCAGGTAGATCACCTGAGGTCAGGAGTTCGAGACCAGTTGGCCAACATGGTGAAACCCCATGTCTACTAAAAATACAAAAATTAGGGCGCAGTGGTGCATGCCTGTAGTCCAGCTACTTGAGAGGCTGAGACAGGAGAATCGCTTGAACCTGGGAGGTGGAGGCTGAAGTGAGCCGAGATCACACTACTGCACTCCAGCCTGGGCGACAGAGCGAGACTCTGTCTCGGTTAAAAAAAAAATCTTTCTCTGTAAAAATTATCCTGATCTAAAATATGATACACGTGTGTGTGTGTGTGTGTGTGTGTGTGTGTGTGTGACTTAGGCTGTCAGAAATCTTGAAAGGTCATACAAAAAGGCATACGGAAAGAAGCCCAGCGAGAAGAGTTTTCCTGCTGATGAAGACAGAAAAGGCACTGCAGCAGATCCTGCTGGGACAGGTAGCAACTGTTCGTGTGATTGCTAACAAATTGAATTTGTGGCGTCTTTGGTGTTTCTGTATTTGATGTCCTCGGTTCATTGGACAACAGAGCCATTGTTGGTGGCAGGAAATATCACTGTACATTTATACTGAAAGTCTGTAGTTCTGGCAAAATTAAAACTTTGAGAACATAAAGTTGCAAATTCTAATAACACTTTTTAAAAGTCAGTTTTCTTTCACATGAATGCATGTGAAAAATTCACGCAGCTTTTTGTCATCCAAGGTCCCAGGGAGAGAGCACGAGCGTTGAAACCTGCACCAGCAGCCCGGGCGAGGCGGCTCCTTGTGCTAGGGCGCCCTCTAGAGCCGGAGAGCGGAAGCGGCGCGGGCGGCGGGCGGCAGGCGGCGCCTCTGCACCCAAGAAGCGCTTACCCCCAAAACATATGCTGGGCCCCAGGTGCCTGCCCTGGGTAACCAGCACGAACGAACAGAGATACCCCAGGCTGTGTAAATCCTTGGTGATCCCCTAGATTCATCCTTTGAGTTTTAAAACCGAGAAACTTGATATCCAGAGAAGAAAGACCCTTTTGAGGCCAGGATTCCATGGGAGGAAGACCCTCTCCTCAGCCCCTTAATACCCACCCTCCCCAGCCAACAGGACCCTTGGGGAAGAAAACCCTCTCCCCCACCCCTCATACCTCCCCCCAGATCCCCCATTCCCTCAGGGGAAGGAAGACCCTCTCCCCCACCCCCTCGCGAGCCCCCCTCCCACCCCAGACAACAGGATCCTTGGGGAGGAAGACCCTCTCCTCCCTCAAACCCCTCCTCAGCCAACAGGACCCTGGAGGAGGAAGAGCCCCTCCTCCACATCCCACAACACCCCCCTCAGCCAACAGGACGCTGGGGAAGGAAGACCCTCTTTCCCACCCTTCACGACCACCCCCAATTCCCCAGCCCCAGCCAACAGGACAGATGAGGTGCAGGCAGGCTCATGGGTTCGGTGGAGGGAGTTTGGGATCACCCCAAAGCTTTTTCCATTTTCGGGGTCAGCAGCCTGGCTGGTGGCCAGAACCAGCCAGTTCTGTGAGAACACTGGAGGCATGAGCAGCCCCTGCCAAGCAAGTGGCAGCAGCCTGGCCAGGGAGGCGTGGGTGTCACAAGTGAAGGGCCCAGTGGGGCCGGGGGCTGTGACCACATGTGGAGGGCCGGGGCCTGGGCCGGGGGCTTCCTCTCTTGGGGCTGAGGTTTGCTCATCTGTGAGTCAGGCTGAGGCACCCATGCCTTGGGGTGGCCTTGAGGTTAAGGGGTCTGTTTGTGTGAAATGCTCAGGGCTGGGCCTGCCCTCAGCACACTCAACAGGTGACAGAGACCGTGACCATGATGTCGGACCCGTCAGCCGCCCTTACAGGTGAGCACATCGCACATCCAGGGGGAGCTGGTGATGACATCACCTGGTCCTCACCTGAAGCAGCTGAACCTCTGAGACCCTGGGCAGCACTGTTCACGCTTCCCTTATTTTCCGTACCTCACTGCTGCCTGAAGCCCCAAATATACAGCTTGGGTAAACCATTTCCCCTGAATTGTGTTCACAGATTAAAAGATGCTAATGGGAGATCCAGAAATTTCTAAGAAATATAAAAAACCAATATGTCAATATTGGAAACCATATTGGCCCCTGACACAGCTCAATGCCACACACTTGTTCCTCTGCCCCCCCAATATACAAACATGTACATACACACACAAGCAGACAAGTACACACAAATATTTGGGAGCATGCACAAAGACATGCACGTATACAGACACACATGAGCATACACAAAAACACAGGCACACATGAGCACACACAGAGACACACATTACACACGTGCACACACAGACACACAAGAGCATGCACAAAGACACAGGCACATGAGTGCACACACAGACACACACACGTGAATGAGAAGACAGCAAAAACATGACCAGACACGAGAAAAGATTCAGTAGTATAGAATAGGGGAATCCATCTGAAATTTCAGAATAAATATACCATATATAACAAGTTTACTTTTTAAGACAGCAGAAAAAAGAAGACCTAATCCACAGTCCCAAACAGGTGTGAGAGATTATTTCATCTAACACAGGAGAGCATGCTGACATGGGTGAAGATTGACTTTGGATTAAAAACATGATTTCATTTTTAAAAGCAATAGAAACAAAATGACAGCTACATTTGCCCTTCAATCTAGCAACCCTATCTGCTAGAAATCTATCTAAACCTTATACTGGCATAAGCACAGAGCGATCTGGGCACAGTGTTGTTAATTACAGCATTATTTGTGATAACACAAGATCGAAACAACCAAAATGTCCACGAGTAGTGGGCTGACTATGAAGCCACAAGAAGAGGAAGATCTCTGTGGACTGATAGGTCAAGATCTGCGGGATATCACATCCGCGAGGGAAAAATCAAGGGGCAGAACAGAAGAAATAGATGGCCGCGTCTTGTGTCATATATGTGGGGAAATAAGAATATGTGTGTATATATTAGCAAAAAGAAGGATAAAGCCGAGGCCAGGCGCAGTGGCTTACACCTGTATTCCCAGCACTTTGGAAGGCCAAGGCGGGAGGATCCCTTGAGTCTGGGAAGTTGAGCCTGCAGTGAGCCATAATTATACCACTGCACTCCAGCCTGGGCCACAAAGCAAGACCCTGCCTCTCTCTCTCTCTCTCTCTCTCTCTCTCTCTCTCTCTATATATATATATATATATATATATTTTTTTTTTTTTTTTAAAGATAAACCAGAAACTAACAAAGATGGTTACAAACAGCGAACCCTAGGGGGAAAATGATGGCATGAAAGTGACAGTTCAATCATTAACCCTCTAATCCTCTTTGATTTTTGTACCGTTCAATTAAATCATACAGAAAACGGTTTATACAATTGAAAACTGTAATGTGTGAACCTAATTGTATATCAAATTGGTAACGTAACCACATACAGAAAACAACCATTTCTTGGTCTTTAAAACACAGTATTTTTATTTACTTTATTTACATGCTTAGTGAAATATAGTGTAAGTACAAAAGAAATTTAAAAATCTTAAACTGAATTTAGCAATTTGTCAGTAATAATATTAGAATTATTGTTTTGAAATTATTTTATGTATAAGATAAAATAAGTAATTTTGAATGCTCTTGTAAACCAAGGTTTTTAGTGTGAGAAAAGAATACAAGTACAAAATAAAAGTCCATGCAAAATTTTACAGTGTTATGTTTGCGCTGAAAATATTAATATGAACTCATGCTTTATTTGTAAGATATATTTTCTAACTTGAAATATATCTACTGAAAGAACCTAGAAGCTCTGACACCCAGTAGCACTGAGCACCCATTCTCACACTCAGATTTGATCACTAGTGTTATTCTCACTAAAAGGAACAAGAACCCTACAGCAGATTGAGTTTTGTTGTTGTTGTTTTGTGTGTTGTTTTTCTTTTTTTTTTTTTTTGAAACAGAGTCTTCCTCTGTCCCCCAGGCTGGAGTGCAGTGGCATGATCTCAGCTCACTGCAACCTCTGCCTCCCGGGTCCAAGCGATTGTCCTGCCGCAGCCTCCCGAGTAGCTGGGATTACAGGTGCCCGCCACCACACCTGGCTAATTTTTTTGTATTTTTAGTAGAGACGGGGTTTTCACCATGTTGGCCAGGCTGGTCTTGAACTCCTGACCTGAGGTGATCCGTCCACCTCGGCCTCCCAAAATGCTGGGATTACAGGCGAGAGCCACTGCGCCCGGCCCAGATTGAGTTTTGGCCAAAGTTCTTTCCCCATCCCTGCACCCATCGCCCTTGCCATCTTCTGTGCAGACCCTCCCACTGAAGGTGACGTGGTTTTCTCAGTATTTGGCTCTGTGGAGTCTTGGCAGACACACTGGGCATCCTTGCGTGTGGCAGATGCACCTGGCAGCTGTAACGGAAGTGTGCCCTGAGACCCACCCGGTGGTCTAAAAAGAGCGTGTGTTCAGAGTCCCCAGCTAAGGAATCCAGGAGTGGCCAACCTGGAGATCCACTCTTCATCCATGAAGGAATCTGAACCCCTGGCCCAGCCCTTGGAGCGCAGGCTGTACCAGGGGATCAAGGCCCTTTGTTTTGGGTCAGATGGAGGCTGCTAGCTGGAGGCTGCAAAGGGAAAATGCTGTGTAAACAGCACGTTCTTTACAAACAGTAGCGGTTTTCCCGTCCGGCAGCCACCACTGCATGTGTCTCCCATGCTGGCTCCAGGTCTCCTGTGGGCCTCTTGGACGTGGCACCACCCCTGTTGGAGCCCACAGGAGCTCAGCACAGTGATGCGGGGGCTAGGCAGGAGGTGGGAAGAAGCCCCGTGCCTGCTGAGCCCATGGGATGCACCGAAGCGGGGTGGAGATCTGTGGGGCAATCCCAGGTGGGCCCTCCACACCAATGTGGGGCCAGTAGCTGCTATCCTTGATGGATGGGGCCCATGCCTGAGTAGGGAGATGCCCCTAAAACGCCAGAGGGTCTGGAAGAGCGGCTGCAGGGTGTAGATCCGACTAAGTGAAAGTCAGGGCCCCCAGCCATGGCCCCTGAGGTCAGCGGCCACTGAGGTCAGCACAGCGCAGGTGGGTTCCTCAGCTACAGGGCCACTATGACTAGAAAGACGGGTGAGACTTGCTGGGGCTGAGATCCTGGAGACCTTACTGCTCTGCCTGCTGGCACAGGGTGACAAAACAGACACCCTGGCTTGTTGCATGCCCATTGGAATAGTCACTGGCCACCACGTCAACTGGTCAGGGCTATTATTACTAAATCGTCCTGAAGCCCTAAGTTCCGGGATTCTATGGAGGGCTCTAGCATGGAGGAGAGTGAAGACTGAGATGAGCCCATAGGTGTTCCTCTCCTCTCTGCGCCACCAGCAGGCACCACCAAGATAAAGGCAGACCAACTGCACCTGCAGGGAGCAGCCCCCAAGATTTGCCCCTGCCTGCAAGATGGCAGCTTGGGCCAACACTACTGTAGAATGGATGGAGCTGAGAAATGGGTTCAGACAGAAGGGCAGAGAGTCGGTCATGGGGTGGCTTCTCTGTCTACGGGAACAGATGGAGGGCATTGTCCTCTGCTGGGTTGAGATGAGTGAAATGGCATCGACCACAGGCCACCTTGCCCTGAGGCAGCACCTCTGTGGCACCAGTAATGAGGATCGGGCCATCCCCCACCTCGGCTGGGTGGTTGGTGGCTGAAAGGCAGCCTGGCCACATAAGGGGGACATCCCATGTCTCCTTTTCAATGGCAGACTATGGAGAATTTCAGGACAGCCCCTGGGAATTGGGGACTTAGCCCCCTCTATGTGCTGAACCTTGTTGGGGTCCCAATGACGAGCTTCTCACTGACCGCATGAAAGACGCCATGCTGAAGTGTGTACTCAACCAATGGATGGTGCACTGGTGTCTGTCCTGAGCCCCATCCTGACCCAGTGTCTCGGGGTGGGGGGTGGGGTCCAAGTGTCCACTGACTTAGGGGAAATGGAGAAACTGTGTGGGTGAGGGGTGTGGGTTGCTGGCACAAAAGACAAGTAACCTGAAGGGAAGGAGATGGCCGAGGAGCCTGTCAAGGCGACCCACTGACAAATGTAGCACGACCTGGTAGTGTCAGGGACATCTACTGTGAAAACAGATAAATGGCCTAGTGCTGTTCCAGTCAGACTGTGGCAGAAGCTCAGGCCAGGGCAATGCTTCACTAAGGAGCCTGGGTTCAGCCCACACCCCTCCCACAGAGGCACGGCCGGCACCAACCTCTCTAGACAAGGATGAAGGCCATGGAATCCCAATAAGAGGAATACAGCTCTTCCTCAGAACTGTGTCCAGAATCCTCCTGCTTCTCATCCCTGTCCCCGAAGCCCCTGGTCCGGGCCACAGCCCCTCCCACCTGGACAAGTCCGGGTCCCCATCGCCACTCTCTGCCCACCTGTGCATACCTGTCTCCTCTCAGCACAGCATCAGGCTCAGTCTGGGCCGTCCCTCCTCCATCCTCCTGTCCTCCCTGCTCACCCCTCCGACCTCCTTGCTGCTTCCTGAGGATGGAGTCAGGGTCCAGGGCAGGGCCTCTGCCCTCGAGGGCCCTTCCTGGGGAGCACTCTTCCCTCAGAGGCCCTGTCAGAGGCATTTGAACCAGAGCGACTCCATCTTGAGTAGGGGCTTGGTAAAATAAGGGTGAGACCTACTGCATTCCCAGTAAGTTAGACATTCTAAGTCACGGGATGAGATAAGAGGTCAGTATAAGGCACAGGTCATAAAGACCTTGCCGATAAAACTGGTTGCAGTAGAGGAGAGCCCAAATCCCACCAAAACCAAGATGGCGATAAGAGTGAGCTCTGGTCGTCCTCGATGCTACACTCCCACCAGCGCCATGACAGTTTATGGTCTGAAAAAGGGAAGCATGAATAATCCACTCCTTGTTTAGCATATCATCAAAAAATAACCATAAAAATGAGCAACAGGCTGCTCTCGGGGTTGCTCTCCTATGGAGTGGCCGCTTCTTTATTCCTTTCCTTTTTAATAAACTTGCTTTCACTTTACTGTCTGAACTCGCCCTGGATTCTTTCTTGCGCAAGATCCAAAATCCCTCTCTTGGGGTCCGGATCGGGACCCCTTTCTGGTAAGAGCCCCTCCCACTGCCCACCTCATCTGGGCTCACCTGCCACCAGCCCCCATCCCCTTCGCAGCTGCCCCATGCTGCCCACTCCTGGACCCCTCTCCCACCTTCCTGGCTTTGTCATCGCACAGGTCACCTCCTTCCAGACCATGGCAGCTAAATCTTAGACCTCTTTACTGTTTCTCCTACCGAAGCTCCAGGGCCAAGGAGTCCACTGTTCACCCACATTTCCTAAAAGCCCAGAACAGCACCTGCACACAGGAGGCATTTAATACATGATTTTGAGTGAAAGAACGATGGATGAATAAATAAAAATCAACTCGGGTTTCTCTAAGTGTGTCCACAGCTTACTGCATGGGTCTGTGTTTGAATGCCGTTCCCTACAAAAAAGACAAGAAACCAGCACTGGGGCGTGAAAAGATAGATTTCCTTCACCTCCAAGCCTTCACCCACCCTCACCTCATGACAGGTTTCGCCCTGCACAGCTTGGTAAGCCTTTGGAAACAAGCTTCCTGTTGGTGTTGAATGAGCACAACTTCTTTATCCAATGTGTGGTAAAAGCTCTAGTTTGCTGTCCCCCTTTTTCGGAACAAGCAACGTTTTAGAGCATCTGAGGATCAAAACCGATGTTTAGAGCAGCGGGTCTCAAGGTGTGGTCTTGGACCAGCGTCACCCGGCGACTTGTGAGAAATGCACATCCCTGGGCCCCACAGAGCTGTGGCCTCAGGTGGGGTGGGGCCTCGAAAACTGTTGTCACAAGCCCCCCAGGTGATTGATGCCCACTCAAGTTGAAGAACCAGAGCTCCTGGGGGAGAGGAGGAGGGGGCTAAACAAACACAGTCACCTGAAGACTTGGAAGGAGATGTTTACAGCTTTCCAAAAACTCATTGATGTGGAGATAATTCCGTAAATCACTTGCTCCGGACCCATCTGGAAGTCCAGCCCAGACTCCATTCCCAGGCACAGGGACGTCCCACCTCCCCGGGTACTGCCCCTTCCATAGGCACCTTGATGAGATTAAAAAATACGCCAAAAACCTTTCTGTTGACAATACTCAGTGTCAAATACCGCTGTCCTCGCGGGAGGTGTATTTGCATTCGATTAATATGTGCATAAAATGTTGTCCTTGTCTGAGCCCAAATACACAAATTGGAAAATCAAAGCGGGCCCCTTCACACCTTTTGCTGGCTTCATCCTGAACATTTATTTGTTTTAAAACAACTTCCTCAGCGAATTTCCTTTCTAAAAGAAGCTCCTCTCCATTTTAAAGGGAAATTACCCCTCCTTCTCCTTCTCCTCAACCAATTTCTGACAGTGACCCCTTAATGAGAGCCAGCGAGGTTGCAACTGGCATTTTCTCCATCTTCCGTTTTAAAGTCATAGGTGAGGCTTTTAGGAAATATTCTCAAGGAGATTCAGATGGCTTCAAAGAACTGGCATTTTGTATGGAATTTATACCAGTGTCCAACTAATGCTTTTGTGGTGTGTGTAAGGCAAGTAATTATTTAAATGCAGTAGACTTTGACTTATGTTCCTATGAGGAAATTATAAAATGATCTCTAATAAAATACTTAGAGGCATTAAAGAATACATGTTCTACTCCAAATAGCATTTCATCATTAACGTAGAATTTTAACTAGTACCTACTAAGAGCAAAAATAGGAAAAATGTCAATTTCTAATGAAAAGATTTGAAGTGTTTGATAATGTCCCGCAACTATTGGTGGTAACTAATTTTTGATGCCTCCAGGGCACCAAAATTGTTTTTATGGTTTTTTGACAAAACTTTTCTGTCTCTGAGACTGATTCATTGAACATCTTAGAGGCTATCATTTACATAGTGACTTCATTTTTCTCATGACCAAAGATGTGGAAATAGCAAAATGTGACCAATTTTATTATTAAACAGACTTTAGAAATCATTTCATCCAACCCTGTGTCTTCCCAACAAGGGAAAGGGGAGATGTTTGTGAGAATGCGCCCTGTGCCTGGCGCCCAGGATGGGTGGGCACCATTCCGGCCCCTAATGCCTTTCCACCGTTTTCTGTCTGTCTGAATGAGATGCTTCAGAAATAATTTTTTGTAACACTTTTTAACACCTTGGAATCATTAAAGGAATCTGTTTTCTTGCTAATTATAAATTAATGGAGTCAAAGTCTAAGGCCCATTTACTATATTTTCAGTGTTTACCATAATTTGGGGTGTTGCTCCCTACTTTATGCTAGTCTAAGGCTCAACCTGCATTCACTTCTAAGTCCATCATGCACACTTTAAAGTCTATGTTAACTGGACTGTGGAAGGGAGATCTGAATTTTAATATCCTAAATGTTAGGCTTCCTCTGGCTCTTCACCCACTCCGGCTTTGGTTTCCTCTTTTTAGGAGCTGTGTGTGTTGAGTTCAGAGCAGAGAGGCCTGGAGGGGCCCACCTGGCGGTCTCACTTGCCAGAGGTTCTCTTACATTAACCTTCTTGTGGCATGACGTCATCTTGCCGGATTTTCATGTCATTTTCCTAGGCCCAAAAGCTAAGGAATTTAGTCAGTGATGGGCAGAGAAAGCATCTGCCTTCAAACGCATTGTTGAAATTGACTTTTGAGGAATTGGACAGATTTTATATAGTTATGTTGACAATAAATATAATTAGAATGAATTTTCAAGTTAGAAAATGACTCACCTGGCTGGGCGCGGTGGCTCACGCCTGTAATCCCAGCACTTTGGGAAGCCGAGTTGAGTGGATCACCTGAGTTAGGAGTTCGAGACCAGCCTGTCCAACATAGTGAAACCCTGTCTCTACTAAAAATACAAAATTAGCCAGGCATGGTGACACGTGCCTGTAATCCCAGCTACTTGGGAGGCTGAGGCAGAAGAATCGCTTGAACCTAGGAGGCAGAGGTTGCAGTGAGCCGAGATCATGCCACTGCACTCCAGCCTGGGTGACAAGAGCAAAAAAATTCCGTTTCCAAAAAAAAAAGAAAATGACTCACCTTGTGTTTAAACACCTTATTTAATGCTGGAGGAATGTAAGGAGTATTAGAAGGTAATGGATTTGAAGGGCCTTATAAGGAAACAGGAAGAGAGAAGAATTTTTCCATGAGGAAATAATTTTCATTTTACAGTTAGAAGAATTAACACCTAGACAAATGAAGTGACTTACTCAGGACAAGGCTCCTACCCCTGGGGCTCAGAAGTACTTGGGAATTACTTCCAAGCCATATAAACAATATTGAGCTTTGGGTTTATTTTATTAGTTACTTAATTATACTTATGACAGGAATATAGTTTAGGCTTTTAGTAAATGTATGCTGTGTTGAATTAGTTGAACTTTAAAAATGGATTACTTTCTCAATAATGTATTTTATTAATCTTTCTCTCAGTTTCCATTTTAACCAGAGACTTACAATGTAATTACCTTTTTAAAGGATATGGTGGTGTTTTATTGCACCTTGAATTGCTAAATTTAAATTTGTTTTCACTTTTTCATGCTTTTGATTTTTTCTTCATTTAAAGGATCTAGAGCCACATTTACCCAAATTAGTAGGCATTAATGTCAAGTGGACTGTTGAAACAGCAGAGTAAAAAAAGTATAATTCAGAGGATTCACATGCAGAGTGGAAACACCCAACCTCCCTGTCCTCCTCAAGCCCCTAACATGTAGGCTCTGCTACCACGGGTTTCAAAACCAGGCCTACAGATGTGTTTCAGGGGTAACAATATTTTGGAGGAAAAACTCAAAGCCCTTTTTTTTTTTTTTTTTCCTGTTCAAGTAGCTATGAACATGTAAGCCACTGATTTTTCTCATCCGGGGAACACCGATGATGACATTTGTTGAGTTGTAGATCTCTAGGTTAGACCAAAGGATGAGATCAGTGCAGAACAAGATACTTAAAGCGTTGACCACAGGCCTAGTCAATCTCTCCGAGGACGGCCAAGGGCAGGTTTATCAGGCTCTACCGTCCTTCCACATGAAACTTGGCATGACCAGTACTTTGAAGCCTGAACGAAAGACGACAGATCCAGCCAGGCTTGGTCTATAGAATCGTGCCTTTCCCCACCTCCATCCACCAGGAAAGAGGAGCCTGATTAAGATCCCCTGTTTTAAGTCTGAAGAGGGCAGATTCCAATCTTCCCCATTTTCAAAATCACAGACTTGCCTTCGCTGCAGAATTAGGGCTCTACAAATTCGCTCTCTCAGAGTTGATAACTGCCAAGATAAAATGGTTAACTTAAAGGATTTTAATATAATAAATGTTAATTGTTTAGTAGGAACCAAGACACAAGTGAAAGTGCTAGCATTTGGCAGACTTTGATGGATTTCAAAATCCTATCATTTATTGGTTTTAGCAAACATTTTCCATTAATGACCGTACTTGAAGACATTTATATCAAATAGATAATTAATAAAAGTATATACATAGCAGCAATGCTAAAGTGATTTTAACTAAATAATTAGTTCTGGCGCCAGAAATAATTTAACTTTTTAAAAAACTAATAGCAAATCTATTTGTTTTGCTACTTTGCATACATTAGGTGGACAATAAATAATGGTTTGTTGTGGGCTGTGCTTTAAAACACCAAAATAACTAATTATTTGATTAAAGTGGTGCTTTGTCTCAGGAAACCTAGTATACAATTTCCTGAGTCCTTGAACTCAATGGAGGAGACCATAGCATGTACAATTACACTGTTTCCTAAACAGGGTGACCAGAGTCCGATCAAGACAACCTATCTCAGTTTGTGAGCATCATTATTTTTTAATACTCTCAGTAGAGTGTGTTTTGCAATTCACAGTGACATTAAATCTCCATTGGTTATTTGCACAAATGAGTGCATGTGATGTATGCATATGTATGTATACATGTGCATATGTGTCTATATATCTTTTAAAATTATACCAAAAACAAAGAACATGGTCAACTGTCTTCATTCCATCATGAGTGCATTACTGAAGCATTTATAGTATCTCTCCTATATAGAAGTGAACTACTCAGTAACCTCAGCTATTCAAGACTTCACAGATAACAAGAAATAAGGAAAATGATCTTAAGAATCAAGATAGATGTCACAGAGCCCATGAACTAAATAGTCATAATTGTTGAAATCTTGATAATAATAGAATAGCAAGCGCTTATATAGGATTTACTGTGGGCAGCCTGCCTCCAAATGCTTTATACAGATCAGATAATTTAGTCTTCACAAAAACCATGTAAGCTAGGCATTATTAGTATCAACTCCATTTTGCAGATGATGAAAATTGAGGTATAAAGAAGTTAAGTAACTTGTTACAGTCATGTAGCCTGTCAAGCGGTAGAGCTGGCATTTGAACCCGGCAGGTGGCTGCAGGTTTTCAGCCCCCGGACACTTTGGCCTTTTAGCCTCTCAAATGGACTTTGTGTCACAGTACTTCTATACGTTCATGCATTTTCCTTGTAGGTGGGATAAATATTCATCTAAACTTTATGGGGCATTTTTTAATTTTCTTTACAGTTGACCAACCAAATATCTGATTTTTAAAAGTGTTGTTGTTTATAAATGATGGTCATTATAGTCATAGATTTTTCTTAAAAATCTCTAGTTTTCTCCCCAGTTCTAACAAGCGTGGATATCTGTTTTCCTTGCACATGGCAGATCAGAAGTAGTGACTGAAACCTGGGAGTGAGGCAGTGAAACAGTCAGCCGCAAGGGTCTCAGGTCAGGGCAACGGGAGAGGGAGAAGACCCAGGCTTGCTAGTGTGGGCCTGGAGATTGTCACCACTGTGAAACAGAGATGGGCTGCTGGTGGTCACTGGGATGTTGCAGAGTCCTCAAGAGCAGGTTTCCCTGGGGTGGAAATCTAGCCAGGCCCTGGGCAGGCTTACCAGGGGCCTCATCTGCATCCCCTCAGAGGTCTCTGAGATAAGGAGGGATGAGGGTACCCAGGACTTCTGAGGACACCTGTGAAGAGGTCTCTGGTAGCAGGACCCCGATACCCCCAAGAACACCCTAAAGATATGCCCTTGACTTGAAGAATGGAGCCATCAGCAGTGGAAAGAACACTTTCGATGTGTGATGGTGTTAAAATACATTCCACCTTTGTTTCTTGGAACTTAAAGCAAATTCTTGTAGAGGACGGTAACTGAAAGAGCTGCCCCTTAGTTTGGAGATGGGGTCCTATCATGGTGGAATCTTCCCCAAGCCCTCCCACCTCCATTCCAGGAAGAGACAAGAGCTGGGGTGTCATCCAGCAGGAAGAATGGGGGCGCTGCTCCCCTTCTGCTTGAGCCTGAGTTGGCAGGCTTGCTGTGGCTGCGGGGATGGCAGCTGCGCCTCCTGCACAACGCAGGATCACAGCCACAGCAGTGGGGACCTAGACAGCTGGGGCCACTAGACCAGGCCACCAGACAGACAGAGGGCTGGAGAAATGCAGAGGTGGCAGCAACACACGCAGGCAGGCAGGCAGGCATCAGGGGCTGTCAGCAAGAGAACCTAAGATGCTCGTGGCAGTAGAAGTGGGCCCCTGGAGCGGCCCGGCAGTTCCTGGGTTGGTTCTGCAGACCTGAAGCTCTCCCAGGTCCTCGAGGACCTCAGGCCTTGGCCTTCCTCAGCTCTCCTCAGAGGTTTGACCACTTACTCTGTCAAATGAGGTAATGAAAGGGAACTGGCGACAGGTTTAGAATGTATTACACAATAGGCCGTGAGCGGTGGCTCACGCCTGTAATCCCAGCACTTTAGGAGGCCGAGGCAGGTGGATCATGAGGTCAGGAGTTTGAGACCAGCCTGGCTGATATGGTGAAACCCCATCTCTAGTAAAAACACAAAAATTAGATGGGAATGGTGGCGTACGCCTGTAGTCCCAGCTTCTTAGGAGGCTGAGGCAGAAGAATCACTTGAACCCAGGAGGCAGAGGTTGCAGTGAACTGAGATCATGCCACTGCACTCCAGCCTGGGTGACAGAGCAAGACTCCGTCTCAAAAAAAAAAAAAAAAACAATGTATTATACAATAATAATTATCTATACGGAAATGTTACACTCAGGGCATGGGAATCAACTCCAGAAAGAAATCCAAAGTTCTAAAAGTATAAGATATCATAAGCCTGGAATAATGAAATGTGGGAGAGGAAGTGCTGAAGAATCAGGGCCCGCTCTCACATTTACACTCTGCACACACTATGCACTAATCACAAGCAAGGCCAATCGCGAAAAGCAGGGCTTTTTGAATGAAAAAATTCGTTCATCTCAACGGTGGAGATGTTCATTTTTGCTTATTGGAGATAAAATAATATAATCAGAGACATCATAGTTAAGCTTAACAAAATAACATTATTAAAAACTTTTATACACAATGAAAAGGAACTTTGTTTTGTAAGAGACAATGAAATCTGAAAACAATAAATGTAAAAAGATGATACAGGTTTACATCCAAAATGCACACGGATTGATATGAATGTATAGGCATGAACATATAATCCACACTTTGCTAAACAAGTAGTCAAAGGATACTTACGCTTTACACATCAGCAGTAACCACGTATATTTATAGATTATGTGAAGCCTCATAACCTCTTCTTCGTGACGTAAAGGGCAGGTGTGACCATCCTCTTTCCACGCACTGGATACTGAGAAACGAGCTTGGTGCAGGCATCCTGGAAAGCAGTCTGGCTGTCATAATGGAAGCAGGGCCATTGTCCCTATGCTTTGGCTTCTTAGTGTTTTTTGAAAACTATAATTCAGGGGTATGGTGAAAATATTTGTACTAAAGCTATTTTTTTTTTTTTTTTGAGATGGAGTCTCGCTCTGTCACCCAGGCTGGAGTTCAATGGTGTGATCTCAGCTCACTGCAAGCTCTGCCTCCCGGGTTCACACCGTTCTCCTGCCTCAGCCCCCCGAACAGCTGGGACTACAGGCGCCCGCCACCACGCCTGGCTAATTTTTTTTGTATTTTTAGTAGAGACGGGGTTTCACCATGTTAGCCAGGATGGTCTCGATCTCCTGATCTCGTGATCAGCCCGCTTCGTCCTCCCAAAGTGCTGGGATTACAGGCGTGAACCACCGTGCCTGGCAGTACTAACGCTATTGATAACAGCCAAGTTAGCAATAACTCAAATGTGCAACCATTGAGAAATGCATGTATCACACTGCGTTATGCTTATCTTTTCACATAATGTATGTCTCCTGGCTAGATGAAAGTTTGGGGTTAGGAACCTTATCTCAGTTATTTTTATTTCCTTGGCATTTGATAGAATCTGGCACATAAACACTCAATCAATGTTTACCAAGAGGAAATTAGCTGAATTGAAGTAGGTAATTGGGTGTAACAAAGTTACCATAATTATGTAAATTATTATGTGCTACATGGAAATATATACACAATATAATTAAAAAATCAAAACACCAAACAAAATGTGTGCAGCAATTCCAACTAGGTAAATTATAGATGTCTATCATGAGAGAAAGCATCATTTGTAATAATGGTAAGACAAGTCTGGTTGGAATCACAGTGAGACCTTGTTCTAGTTTTTTAACAAGCCTCAGTTTGTTCACCTGCGTAATTAAATATCTACTTTGCAAGGCTGTGGTGACTATATATTCAGTTAAACCCACATGGAGTATAGAACAGAGTTTGGCTTATAATGTGTAAAGCAGATAATTGTTAAGTAATAATGAAATAGATGTTCTAAAGAAAATAGAACCCAGCATGGAGCCTGGCACTCGGTAGGTGCTCAATAAATAGAAATCACTTTTGTTATTTTTAGAAATAGAGGGGGACATAGTGATGTTCAGAGTTAATGAGTTAGTCTAAAAGTGTATTTGTGTAAAATCAACTATAATAATACATGGTAAAAACAAACAAGTCAGAGAAGGAGGGAAGTAGGATACATTTTTGAAACTGTCAAACAAAAAAATGTTTTAAAATGTATTTTTAAATCCTGCTACCCACATGTCTTAGTCCAGTTTGTGCTGCTATAAGAGAACACCTGAGACTGAGTAACTTACAAAGGCCAGGTATTTATTTCTCACAGTTCTGGGGCCTGATCAAGGCCCTGGCAGCTCAGGCCTAGCCTCACTGCTTCCAATATGACACCTTAGATGCCGCATCCTCCAGAGGGGAGGAACGCCATGTCCTCACATGGCAGAAAAGCAGGAGAGAGAGAGAGAGAGCAAGAGAGAACACCCACTCCCACTGGCCCTTTTTATAGGGGCATTGAACCATCATGAGGGCACAGCTCTCATAACCTAAACACCTCCCACGAGGCCCTACCTCCCAACACTTTTGCACGGGCAACTAAGTTTCTAATTCATGAATTCTGAGGGGCACATTCAGACCTTGGTACCAGGCAACCCGACCATCCAGCCTGTCTCATTGCCCTAAACTTTAGGTTTGCTGAAGTTTTACTTTTAGATTTCTAGAGTAGAAAGGGACCTTATAAATTGCTGCTGCTTATTTCATTTATACCTATTGCTTGAAAGAATTTGATGTGGCTTATAGTAAACACACACACACACAATCACACCTTTCTTTTTTTTTAAGAAAAGCAAATATAATTGAATGTTTAGGACAGAATATCAAATTATAGCTCATTCAGCAAATGTTCGCATCCTTAGCATGGTCAATCTTCATTTGTATTAGGATACAAACGTCACAATAGCCAGTGTGCATACAGCACTTGCTATGGGGCAGGCACTGTTGTAAGCACTTTGTGGGGATCAATTCAACTGGCCAGCACCCCGCTGTGGGATGGGTTCTATTGTTGTCGTTTCCAGTGTGCAGATGAGAAAAAGGAAGCACAAGAAGCTCATGTGACCTCTGCTGGGAGGCAGCAGGGCTGCCAGCTGAGCCCTATGGTCTGGTTAGAGGCCACATTCTGAAACATCACAAGTTCTAAAATGCTGAGGGGACTTTCTCAGAAAGTTCAACCGAGTTAAGGACAGAGACACATCAACAAGCATACTGTCTAAAACGTGCTGGGTGCGAAAGACACATGAACAAGCTTACTGTCTAAAACGTGCTGGGTGCGAAAGCAGCAATGTATCCGTGACCTTTTGGTGGAAATGAAGATGACGCTGCAAGACACTGGGCGGATGGGAGGCCGGGTGCTTTGCTCTCCGGGACCCTAAGTTGATAAAGAACCAAGTTTCAGGTTGGGCGCGGGAGCTCACGCTTGTAATCCCAGCACTTTGGGAGGCCAAGGCGGGTGGATCACCTGAGGTCAGGAGTTTTGAGACCAGCCTGGCCAACATGGAGAAATCCTGTCTGTACTGAAAATATAAAAATTAGCCGGGCGTGGTGCTGGGCGCCTGTAGTCTTAGTTACTAGGGAGGCTGAGGCAGAAGAATTGCTTGAACCTGGGAGGCAGAGGTTGCATGAGCCAAGATCTTGCCACTAGATTCCAGCCTGGGTGACAGAGCGAGGCTCTGTCTCAATTAAAAAAAAAAAAAAAGTTTCGAAAGCTTGGAGGAAGAAACAGCCACTTTAGTTTCCTGTCTTAGTCACCTCGGGCGGCTGCGACATGTGACCGCAAACTGGGCAGAGGACAGCCACAGAAGTTTATGTCTCACGGTTTGGGTCCAGACGTCCAGAATTGAGGCGTCGGCCTCTCCAGATAGCAAGAGATGGTGCTGTCAAGACAGTGTAAGCCCAGGAGCCCAGGTGGCTGGGCTGTGTCTGCACAGCCTTTGGATAAGGCCTCAGAAAGATCATAGCCTCAGCATTCTGCCCCACCAAGGGTGCCTTAGAGAGGTCAGGGCTGAGCCTCATGGATCGAACCAGGGAGCCCCTGAGGAGCCGAAGGGCGTTGACTCCGAGTCACCTCGGCAGGACTCAAAGATAGAAAAGGCTTGCCTCAAAAACATCGGCAGGTGAGGCCTTCGGCTCATGGAGTAGACCCAGGTGAAATCCATGAGAGACAAAGATTTTGAGGAAATCACTTTCACAGAAACACTGCCAGCCTGGGTGGGAAGGAACAGAGAGAGCACAGGATGAAAGGAGGCTGCCAGACTCCCCAGATTTTGCTGGCTGGAAGTAGGCTAAAAAGCTCCTCAGCTGCAAACATGGGCAACCTTTCCTTCCAAACAAGTGCAGTGTAGATGCGGGGACCAAGAGCCCAGACAGGGAATCCAGAAGCCAGGAGAATTCTCCCCAGCCCTGGAAACCTGACTGAGAACTCCCAACCTTTACTTTTCTGGATTTGGAATTGCTACACAGTCAAGATGCCTTTTATCTGCCATTTCCTCCCCTTGAAAACTGAAATGTCTACAGCTGCATCTGGTGCCTGCTCCACCACGGGACAGGTCACTAATCTCTTTAGCTTCCCGGGCCCATCCATGGAGAGGAATTGTGTCCCAGAACCTGAACCGAATGATTGCACCATGACCCTCCACTGACCTTTGACCTGATTTAGATGTTGACATTTCAGGCTTTGAGCTGATGCCATGAAGCTCCGAAAATCTTAGGTACCTAGAGCAGGTGAATGACTTTTGCACATGCGAGGGAGGCAGGGGGGCGTGTGGCAGACTCCCAGGTGCCTCCAGGTGTAACTGCCTTTTATGTAGTCATCTCCCCTGAGTCACAGAGAAGGACTGGTGACTGACTTCTAACCAACGGCTACAGCAAAGGTGATGGGATGTCACTCTGGGGATGACTCACATCACACAGGACTGTCTTTTGGGGAGACTCGCTGTCTCCCTCACTGGCTCTGAAGAAGCCAGCAGCTGCCACAGATCCTACAACTGAAAGGAGCTGAGTGTTACCAAACACATGCGAGCAGGGGCATGCACGCTCCCCCAGTCAGACTCCGCATGAGAACCCACCCTGGACATAACCTGGCGACCGCCTTGTGAGACCCCAGCAGGAGAGCCGGCAAGTCTGTCGCTGGACTCCCGACTCACGGATTCGTTGAGATAATAGGTGTGTGTTGTGTTACATTGCTGCAGTGGGGGAATTTCTACACAGCAATAGATAACTAATGCATGCAATTTATTCCTTTAACATAAGTAAAGAGTGTGATGCCAGTTAAGTAAAGATTTTAGTGGCCACACAATTATTGGTTTGCATCATTTTTATTAATTTGGGCATATCTGTATTAGTCAATTTCTGTACTGCTATAAGGAACTACCCGAGACTGAATAATTTATAAAGGAAAGGGGTTTAATTGGCTCACAGTATAGCATGGCTGGGGAGGCCTCAGGAAACTTACAATCATGGTGGAAGGGGAAGCAAGGCACCTTCTTCACAAGGTGGCAGGAAGGAGAAGTACCCATTGAAGGGGGGAGAGCCCCTTATAAAACCAACAGATCTCGTGAGAACTCACTATCATGAGAACAGCATGCGGGAAACTCTCCCCATGATTCATTTACCTCCACCTGGTCTCTCCCTTGATATGTGAGGATTATGGGAATTATGGGGATTACAATTTAAGATGAGATTTGGGTGGGGACATAAAGCCTAACCATATCACTATCTTCCTTGTTGTTGTAGAGATGGTGTCTTGCTATGTTGCCCAGGCAGATCTCAAATTGTGGGGCTCAAGTGATCCTCCTGTCTTGGCCTCCCAAACTGTTAGGATTACAAGTGTGGGCCACCACACCCAGCCTGAGCATATCTTTAGAACATTTATAGCCCAGTTCACTAATAAAGAGATAAATGATACGACTTTAACACAATTTTTCATGTAGTAGTAATTTTTCCATATATTTTAGTCCTCAAGTTTTAGTTGTTACAATTTAGTAGATGAAACTTAACATAAAGCTTCATGACTGTAGTTCCAGCTACTCAGGAGGATGAGGTGGGAGGACAGCTTAAGTCCAAGAGCCCAGGAGCCTAGGGGTTCATGGCTGCAGTGAGCTCTGATCGTGACACTGCACTCTAGCCTGGATGACAGAGAGAGACGTGTCTATAAAAAATTTGTTTTAATTAAAAAAATAAGAAAGACTTGTAGGATGCAAAAGTATTACTTATTATGCTTTCATTTTTTACCGTTTGCCAGACAGCTCCCTGCACTTTGCAGACTTTACCTTATTCCCTGAGCAATCCTGGGAGGAAGGTGTTATTACCAAGTCTAATCTACAGTTGAAACAACTGAGGCTTGGAGAATGTAGTAACTTGCCCAAAGGATAGAGCTTGATTTGAGCCCAAGTTAGATTCACCCAAAGCCTATGTCCTTTCCATATATTATGCTATTTATTTACTAAGTTTTTAAGCTTTAGAGGAAAAGATTATTTCCCCTCAGTTTTACTCATTTATTCACTTTCAGCAACACATTTTTAAAATGAAGATCTTTACATCTTTTTAAATTATCATAATTATGTTGAACACGAGACAATATAAAGGCAAGCATTTTCTTTTGTTCTTTCAGCTAATATTTTAGAGTTTATTAGTTAAATGTCATATAAATACAAAACTAATCACTTTTATATTGCTAGTATTTCTAGTTGTTTGCTTCTCTCTCTTCCTTCCTTCCTTTTTTTTTTTTTTTTTTTTTTTTGAGACAGGGTCTCACTCTGTCGCCCAGGTTAGAGCTCAGTGGCATAATCATAGCTCACGCAGTCTCGACCCCCTGAACTCAAAAGATCTTCCCCCTCAGCCTCCCAAGTAGCTGGGACCACAGGCACATGCCACCACATCTGAATAATTTTCTGAATTAAAAAAATTTTTTCTTGTAGAGATGGAGTGTCACAATGTTGCCAAGGCTGGTCTGGAACTCCTGGGCTCAAGTGATCCTCCCGCCTGGGCCTCCAAAAGTGTTGGGATTACAGGTATGAGCCAGCCAGCTACGTTATTTCTTATTGTTTCTATAAATATTTGTGTCACAAAGAACCTTGCATTTTATATTTATTCTGGATAAGAATGAGCTTCAATTAAATTAATGTTTACTGAGCAATTGCATTAATTCAACTTATTAAAGTCAAATTCAACTTTAATAAGTAAATTCAGTTAAATAAGTTAAAACTTTAATAAGTTAAGTTCAACTTTAATAAGTTAATAAGGGGATAAATTAGATGTGAAGACTGGCTCAGATGAGAATGGGAGGTATGAACATTTACACAGTGGATGGTCAGAGAAACACTGAAGTGAATTTGTTCATAGATACCAAACAAGTTAGTGTCCCACAAGATGATAAGCCATAACCTTTAGCATTATCTTTTCTCCTGGACAGAAATCTGCATCTCTAATGGATTAATGTCTGACATGTAACTTCCCATAAGTCCTTAATCTTTAATCAATAGTAAGCGATGAGTCCTACCAAATATATTCACCTATATAGAAAATCCACAGGTGCCTGCTAAACAATGCCTCTATCTGACATCAACAAGAATTGCCATCTATCTTTTTAACTTTTTTCAAGTTTTGGATAATTTGTCATGGTCTAAGAAATATCTCTAAAATAATTTTATATTTATAGATTTCTTTTTGAGTTCATATGGGAAGTATATTCATGTGAAAAAAAAGAGTCAAAATGTGGTGTCTGAATCTGGTATATAGAAGATCTTGTACGCAGATACTATCATTTGTAACAGTTAAGAGTTAAAATTGCCCACAAGAATGAAATTTTCATTGTCTTCCAGTGGTTCTTGACTTTCACTTACCTCTCAGTGAACTGTGAGCCCTGCAGAAATATTGAAGTGTAAAGTCATGGGTCCTGGGGAGAAGAGAGAAGTGGAGAAGAATGGAACTTCTTTTAAGGTTGAGGGTCTGGTACTACACATTCCGGGAAGTCAATGCAAGCAGTTCTCACTCTGGAAAATGCGAAAACCTCCCAAGGTTTCAACATGTTGGTTTAGAACTAAACCAACCAAAAATGTTGGTTTAGAACTAAAAATATTGGCTCAAAACCAAAAAAGTTTGTTTAGAATTAAAAATAATGGCCACTATATTGAATGCATGTGTTTTTCAGATTCCAGTTTAATTAAAATCAGTGAGACAGAGTGGTTTTATCATTGAACCTTAATCAAATTATTCTGACTCAATGTTCAGCGCACAACACTTGAAATATATCAATGAAGACACATTTGAATTAATTTTCACTGGGAAAGACAAACTGATAGAAACATAAAGGCACAAAAAACTAAACACACACACACACACACACCCCAGAAGAAAGTCACCTTAATGGGAAAACATCCATGCTTCACTACAATTCCCTTTAGCGTTAAAGTGATCTGTAGTCCTCTCTTCTTAAATTTTATCCTTGTACCTATGACGATATATTTATGATTAAATATAGTCTCTTTCTACAAAGGGAACTTATCACATATAAGTAAATCATAAAGAAACAATTCTCAGGTCTCGGATAATGCTTAGCAAATACTCGTTTGCACAAACAGCTAGTGCAGACGTTCTAAGTTTTACTTTTAAAGCACTTTGCCACTTGCTTCCTAAAATGTTTAAGATAAACACGCATAAAAGGCCCAGTCCTGTTGGAAGTTCCTTTACATGGTTCCCTAAGTTCCGGAGCGCATCTCTGTGTGTGGTCTGCTGGGAAACCCCGGGAGGAAGGAACCTGTGGGGTTCCCAAGGCCCTCGGGACCCGGAACAGGACTGGCCCTCTCTGGGTAGGCGGGGCTGGCTTGGGGGCGACGCTGCCAGGAGCGCGCGGGGCCGCGTAGGCGCCCGGGGAGACGCACTTGCCCCAGGCGGCAGCCGTGGGAGCCCGAATCCACACCCCGGAGGATGAACTGTCGTTTGCAGAGTTAAAACGAGCTGTCAGGTGTCTTCAGAAGTTTAGACGGGAAAAGGCAAAGAGTTAATCCTTGCTGGACAAACCACTGCTGCTTCCAGAAAAAACCACCTGAGAACGGTTTAAAATGGGAGGGGGCGCTTTCCTAGGAAGCGGATTCAGAAAAACAAATACAACTCAATAGATTACAGTAAAATAAAATTGGAGGGCGCCAAAGGAACATTTGGTTATTCAAAAAGCTTGTTTTTTAATGAGAAACGACTTCAAAGGCGCCTTGGAAAGTGGGTGGGACGCGCACATCTCAGCCGTCACAAGGCAGGTGGGGCCCCCCGGGCGGAGACCCCGGAGGGCCTTTGCCTGGGAGCTACCCCCGTCCCCAGCCAGGAAAGAGCAGAGGGCGAGACCACGGGTCCCAGCGTCTGCTCCCCTCACCGGAGCTTTCTCCCTGGGGTGGCGGCCGCCGGGCTCCAGGCGACACAGCCAGTCGCAGGGAAAGGCGCCGCTGCTCCGTGTCCGCGCGGGCGTGGCGGCCCCGCTGCGCGCTCATTAGCGCCCGCTCCGCCCAGTGGCTTCCCGCGGCTGCGTGTTTACTTGTCATTTTCTGGCGGCTTTGTTTCCCACCCAGCTCCTGAGCCCGGGCTGGCCGCACTTTCTCGTTCTGGTTTTCTTTTTCTTTCCTCTTCTTTTTTTTTCGAGACAGGTTCTCAGTCTGTCGCCCGGGGCTGGAGCGCAGTGGCGCAATCCTAGCTCACTGCAGCCTCGACCTTCCGAACTCAAGCGATCCTCCTGCTTCAGCCTCCCCAGTAGCTGGGACTACAGATGTGAGCCACTGCGCCAGCCTAATTAAAATTTTTTTTTTTTTTTTTTTTTTTTTTTTTTTGTAGAGACGGGGTTTCGCCGTCATGCTCAGGCTGGTCTCGAACTCCTGGCCTCAAGCGACTCTCCCGCCTCGGCCTCCCAAAGCGCTGGGGTTCCAGGCCTGAGCCACGGCGTCCGGCTCTCTCCTTGCTGTTAGGCCGTTCCAGGTCTGGCCCAGCCTCCCAGTGCGGAGCCCCCAGCCAGTGTGCCGTGCTTGCGTCCTCCTGGTGGGACGGGTGGTCGTGGCCCAGACACCCCCGGACAGTCGCTGTAGCCGCCCCCATGGTCTAGGGGTCACCCTGTCACCAGGACGACCCCAGAACTGGGAGCCCGGGCCCCCTAGCCTTTGCTCCGGGAGGCCCCTTGCCCAAGGGGCGGCGGGAACAATACCTGCCCCTTCAGCCTCTCAGGACTTTGGAAATCCTACCACCCGAACACCGTGTCCCCGAGCTCGCTGCACCTCCCGGGGGTCCGATCGGATTGACGCTGAAGCTCAGGAAAACCTCCGTTTCATTTTATTTTGTTTGGGGAAGAGCCCTGCGAACGGCCCTGGGGTGCTGAAGGCTCTTCCTACAGAGGGAGGTGGCATGGACCCACCTCGGAGGCGCGGCCTCCCTGGGTCACAGCGATGAGGCCCTGCTGTAGAAATTAGACTGAGGCCGGGCGCGGTGGCTCCAGCCTGTAATCTCAGCACTTTGGGAGGCCGAGGAGGGCGGAACACGAGATCAGGAGATCGAGACCATCCTGGCTAACACGGTGAAACCACGTCTCTACTAAAAAAAAATACAAAACATTAGCCTGGCGTGGTGGCGGGCGCCTGTAGTCCCAGCTACTCGGGAGGCTGAGGCAGGAGAATAGCGTGAACCCGGGAGGCGGAGCTTGCAGTGAGCCGAGATCGCACCACTGCACTCCAGCCTGGGCCACAGAGCGAGACTCCGTCTCAAAAAAAAAAAAAAAAAAAAAAGAAAGAAAGAAAAGAAATTAGACTGAAAAAAAGTCTGATTTCTGCTGATGACGCTACATTTTCATCATCTAAAAAATGTCCCTCTATCTTTATAGAATCCTGTGCATCCCTGATTCTATTCTTCCCCAAAGGAAAATGGCCAGCGTGACCCTCACCTTATAAACCCTCGGGTAAATTAGAGGGCGCCTCTAGGCTCACTGTTCTGAGAAAGCTCTCCAGCTATCAGGCAGCCTTGTCAGTCACGTGCGCTCCATTGCCTAGGAGATGAAATTATATTGAAAAGCATTCATGTCTGTTTTCCACGAAACTGGCAAATACATGGTTTATTATCATAAGCAGCATATTCCCATATGACAATTGGTGTGTATAGTGTAAGAATGTTCTAGAGTCTCCATGCCAAAGGAAGGTAAAATTAGAAATTGAATTTTAAGGGAAAGGTATGTTTGTCTACTTCCTCTCAATGTCCTCAAACCTTTTCTTCCCCCTCTATAAAGCCCCCATTCTCTCTTCTATCATCCTCCCTCCCACCAAGAATTCCCCTTATATTAACTCCCAGGTATGACTACTTAGCTTAAAAAGAAGAAGAAAAACGGTCTGTCTGACTTAATTGTTCCCTTTAATTTTTAAAATATATATGAACCCTTAGAAACTTTCAAAGTTGTGGTTTACTTTTTTGGTGTCAATTACTGTTGAAAATAACTGTTTCCTGACTAGCTAGCTGCAAGTTACCCAGCTGTTACACTCCGCTGGTTTGAAAGATTTTAAATTTTAAATCACACACACACACACACACACACACACACCCATTCTCTTTGAAAATAAGAGTATAGGGTTGCAAAATGAATTGACCAAATGTGCAATCTCGAAAAATATGATTGACTATGAAGATTTATGGAAGCTGATTCAAAAGGAAGCTTGTGGAACAGAAATCAGAGAAAAGCTCCAGAATACAAAATTTAGAAGTCTGTATATTTCCCATTTTTTTATTGTGGGTTTTTATAAATGTTTTAACTTTTTAGCAATTAGTTCTGGGAAGTGATATCATCTGTCTTACATTTGGGTTAAGATTATAGAACAGCTCTTTTATAAAGACTGTAAAACTGGGTTGATTTTTAATATTTTGGTTTTTAATAAAATAAGCACTGAAAAATAGTGCTTATATGTTAGATATTTTCCTTTAGTGTCCCCAAATCAATGATAACTATAATCACTAAGAATTACAGTTCAGAGTGAGAAAAAACTACACATTTTTTTTCCTCAGGGAGTTACGAGCTCGGGCTGTCTTTCTCACCAAAGTGAATAAATTCATTTCAATAAATGTTGAATATTTACCTTTTGCTAAGAACTGTGCACAAATATATATGCTATATGGCCAAAAGAAAAAAAAAAAACCCCAGCATTCTCCAAAAGTCTTCTAGTATTTGAGAACATGAGATTTTAAAGTAAGGCTGCAAGGAATTTTGGAACTTAAACTCACTCTATCAAGTCACATAACAACTGACAAAGTCACACAGTGGTTTTGTCTCAACAGAATCATTTACTTTTACGGTAGCATAGTTTTAAAATTATTAGTAAATTATTAAATTATTTTTTAAGTGTGAGATACCTATAGTTTGACAGTCAATGAAACTCAGACCAACTCCATTTAATAGAATGAATGAATCGTTCTCTCATTGAGTGGCTTGTGGAGTTTTGGATAAATTGATATTTCAGGTGACTCACATAGGAATTCTGTGGAGTTTGATAAATACACGCTCCCTTCTCTGAGGTTTGTAGTATTCTATGATAAAATCGTCTTAGATTCTTGTATAAATGTTTATTAAATGTTGACTCTGGCCAGGCACAAAGCTAAGCCATGTCGGTGCAGAGGTGAACACAGTAAGCTGATTTCACACCTTTTTCTCTTTGCAAAATGCTGGGGCAGAGTACTTGTAGGTAGCACAATCTTCACTCCTTATGCATTCATGTTAATTTCCTGAACAAATATTCTGGGCTCACTTCTTGAAGATTCACTGCTCTTAAGTTCTGGCCTTTCCAGGCCATATTATCTTTCATGCTACTCCACATATTGGTAAAGTGCTGCTGTCATAAAATTCCTAAAGAGGCTGGGCGTGGTGGCTCACGCCTGTAATCCCAGCACTTTGGGAGGCCAAGGCGGGTGGATCACGAGGTCAGGAGTTCAAGACCAGCCTGGCCAAGATGGTGAAACCCCATCTCTAGTAAAAATGCAAAAATTAGCCTGGCGTGGTGGCGGGCGCCTGTAGTCCCAGCTACTCAGGAGGCTGAGGCAGAGAATAGCTTGAACCCGGGAGGCGGAGGTTGCAGTGAGCCGAGATTGCACCACTGTACTCCAGCCTTGGCGACAGAGCAAGACTGTCTCAAAAAAAAAAAAAAAAAAAAAAATCCTTAAGAAATTTTATTCAAACTTGAAAATTTCTTAAATAACTTATGACATGAACTGCTAACTTCCTGAGAAGATGTAAATATTTAAACATTGTTAGTAGGGGCTGGGCGAGGTGACTCAAGCCTGTAATCTCAGCACTTTGGGTGGCCGAGAAGGGTGGATCACCTGAGGTCAGGAGTTTGAGACCAGCCTGGCCAACATGGTGAAACCTCATCTCTACTAAAAATACAAAAAATTAGCCGGGCATGGTGGCGGGTGCCTGTAATCTCAGTTACTCCGAGGCTGAGGCAGGAGAATGGCTTGAACCCGGGAGGCAGAGGTTGCAGTGAGTCGAGATTGCGCCATTGCACTCCAGCCCGGGCAACAAGAGCGACACTCCGTCTCAAAAAAACAAAAAAAACCCCCAAAAACATTGTTAGTAGAATGACTTCATGCATTCCATTGTGAGCTGCCTGTTTATGTGTGTGAACAGGACTCAGATCCGTGAGCACTCCCAGGCTGTGAATCTTTTTGAATGGACACAGAAAGCTAGGACCTCGGAACAAAGGTTTTAAATTAGAAACAGAAGGCAGCGAACAAAAAACTTTTCTCACTACTGAAATCCTGTATCAGTGAAGGTAAAAAAGAAAATTCTGTTGTGAGTTTAGAAGTGTATTTGTCTTTAACATATTGCTCTCAGCCATTAGGAATTGTTTTATGTTTTATGGAAGACCCGCGTGAAGGCCGGGCACGGTGGCTCACGCCTGTAATCCCAGCACTTTGGGAGGCCAAGGCGGGCGGATCACGAGGTCAGGAGATCGAGACCATCCTGGCTAACACGGTGAAACCCTGTCTCTACAAAAAAATACAAAAAATTAGCCAGGCGTCATGGCGGGCGCCTGTAGTCCCAGCTACTCGGGAGGCAGGAGAATGGCATGACCCCGGGAGGCGGAGCTTGCAGTGAGCCGAGATCGTGCCACTGCACTCCAGCCTGGGCGACAGAGCGAGACTCCGTCTCAAAAAAAAAAAAAGAAGACTTGTGTGAAGAAGGCGTCCTGATTGCAACTGGACATCTCAATGGGCATTTGGTAATTAAAGGTCTGCTATAGTCATGGGACTAGACTTAGGAAGGAATCTTAGCATGGAGAGAGAGCAACCTGTCCATAAATATTCACAAAAGGACAATGGTACCATTTTCTAGAAAATACTGGATTTTGATCTAAATAGGTGTCTACAAATATTATTTACTATAATTATGGAATGTATAAATTGTATATAAAAACATGTCTTTATGTCTTTATCAACATAAAAAAGTTAATTTTCTCTAGAATTCTAAGAATGAATAACACATCAATAAAATTTTTTACATGATGATAAATTTAAAGAGTTTTCCAGATGTATATCTTTATATATATGCATATAAAAATGTTATTGAATATTGAAATATCAAAATAAATCTTGCATAGTTGAAAGGACTATACATTTCTAGTTTTACACCAAAGGAAGAATTTATTGTTTAACTATTAAAGCTTTATCCTTAATATTAAGCAGTATATCTCATTGTGAATTTATATTCTTTTTTATTTACAGGCTAATGAAAATTTATAATATCAAATGCAATGTTCTACTACCACATGAGCAAATCGGCCTTCTTGATGGTGCTAAAATATCTCTTTGCAATGTCTAATCCTGGACCCTGGCTTTTGGCTGCTCCTAGGAGAAGGAAACCAGGCCCGTGGTACACACTGATAAGGACAGTGGGCTCCCCCAGGAAAAGCAGATGAGATTTCTCGTATAGATGACAAATGCGTTATCTAACATTATATTTTCATTTCTCTTAGGGAATATTTTTGTATGTCTACTGTGTTTCCATCTTTTTCATCACTTAGCATTAAAATATTCATTCAGTAAAGTGATTGGTGTAACCGGCATTTAAAAATTCTAATTGCATGCAAAGTAATATTTTGCATCATCCACATAGTTTCATTTCAAAGATGTACAAAAAGATAGGCATGATTCCTGCCTTAGAAGAGAATGTGGTCCGGGCGCGGTGGCTCACGCCTGTAATCCCAGCACTTTGGGAGGACGAGGTGGGAGGATCACGAGGTCAGGAGATTGAGACCATCCTGGCTAACACGGTGAAACCCCGTCTCTACTTAAAAAATACAAAAAATTAGCCGGGCATGGTGGCGGGCGCCTGTAGTCCCAGCTACTCGGGAGGCTGACGCAAGAGAATGGCATGAACCCGGGAGGCGGAGCTTGCAGTGAGCGGAGATGGCTCCACTGCACTCCAGCCTGGGCGACAGAGTGAGACTCCGTCAAAAATAAAAAATAAAAAATAAGAATGTGGTGTGACAGTCTCAATTTGCTAGACAGGGTGGTATTTGGGGGGGGCCAGTCTGTCCGATGGTTGAACATGGCTGAAAGTTTCATTTACAAATGTGCAGCGTTCTCTAGAGAGAAGACAAAATGCTGTCGTGACTTTAGAGGCAGAAGTTCCAGTTAACACTTTTGAATCAAAATAAATCTTACATATTAAGCTAGGAAAGGTGGTTTTCTCCAATAGTGTTAGAAATACGAAGCTTTTGAAAGAAATCATCTTTATTATCTCTGTAAAAATCAAAGACTTTAAAGCATTTTTGGTGTGGTTTTTGGTTACCCCTCTGTATTCAAAGAACTGAAATCAGTTTATTTGTCCATAGGTATATACATAGCTATAAAAGTATTTAGTGCTAGCAAGAATGGGATAGATTTTGGTGGACAACTTACGGAATTTCATGAAGGTTTCAAAACAAGGATGAAAAATGTAGTCCTTTTTAAGAATGAAAGCTCAGCTGGATGGTAAAGCTCTAGAAGCTGTCCCATAGTAAAGACTAAAGCAGGTGTATCTGAGCCTGGAAAGAAAGGTCCAAGGGGAGGTGTAAGTAGCCTGAAATACCTGGGGTTTGCATGTGGATTTTATACTTATTTCATGTTTTATTGACTATTCTGCTGTGGACTGCACTGTGTCCTTCTCATCCCCAAAATTTCTATGTCGAAGACCTAATCTTCAATGTGGTGGTATTTGGAGGTCACCTTTGGGCAGTGACAAGGTTCAATGAGATCATGAGGGAGGCCTTACAGGGGACTGATGTTCTCTGCTGTCTGCCAGCCAGGAGGAGGCCCTCGCCAGAACTCAACCATGCTGACATCCTGATCTTGGACTTCCAGCCTCCAGAGCTGTGAGAAAATAAATTTCTGTTGTTTAAGCCATCCAGCATGTGAAATTGTGTTACAGTAGCCTGAGCTAAGGCAAGAAATATTCCAATAAATATATTTCGTATTTATTCTAGGTAGCATCAGAGACCAGAAATAAGGCCAATGGGAATAATTTACAAAGAAGTTAAAGTTCAGTTCAATACGAGGGAAATTTTATTTTAAATTTTTTTTGAGGCAGCGTCTCACTCTGTCACCCAGGCTGGAGTGCAGTGGCACAATCTTGGCTCACTGCAACCTCCCCCTTCTGGGTTCCAGCAATTCTCCCACCTCAGCCTCCCCAGTAGTTGGGATTACAGGTGTGCGCCACCACGCCTGGCTAATTTTTGTATTTCTAGTAGAGACGAGGTTTCACCATGTTGAGCAGGCTGGTCTCGAACTTCTGACCTCAAGTGATCCACCTGCCTCGGCTTCCCAAAGTGCTGGGATTACAGTCGTGAGCCACCGTGCCCAGCACTAGGGAGATGTTTTAAAAAGGGACTCAAGGTGTATCCTGGGTCCAGGCTGAGCCCTGGTAGCTTGGATGTGTGTAACCCTAAACTGGAGGCTCCCTCCTCTCCCCCCATAAAAGGATTTTGGTCTTGTGACGAAGGTTCACCTAGGAGGGCTGTAATGTTTCTTCCAATTCAGAATGTGTAATAATCTAGAGAGAAAAAGCAGCTAGAAAAATAAAACCACACAATGTGAGAAATAAGCACACTACGTAGAAAACCCCCTATTCAGAAGATGACTGGAATGTTATCTGAGTCCCTAAACCAGAAGCCGCTATGTGAGTGTAAGTGCTTGTTAATGTGTAATGCTACAGTTTTCAGTGTTATAGTTTTTATGGGATGTTCACATGATTTTATATTTAAAAAGCCCACAGCCAAATTTAAATAAGACTTATTTTACAGGGATCAATCTGTAATACTGTTATGAAAAAAACCGTAGGGAACAAACGAAAAAGACAAAGTATCCTACATAAAACAGTGTAATAAGGAGGAAAGTAGTTCTTACCTCGTGTCAAAGCAACAAGGCAGGGGCTAGGACAATAATCTCTAGGTCCTGTGTGATACACTGAGCCCGGCTAAAGGCAGATGACTAAAATAATAACACCAAGTATTTATCATGTTGTTTCAAGAATTGCTCACGGATTATCTCAGTTCTCACACAAAGCCTGTGAAATACCTACCATTTTTTAGCAAACTCATTTCACAGATGAAATGGAAACAGGACTATCCAGTAACACTCTGGCCCAGGAGAATCCAGTTAGCAGCGTGGATGTCTCCAAACCTAGTTTGTCTCCAAAATGCTCAGACCTGCCTATGTGCTGCACCTCCCACACAGTGAAGAACACAAAATCATACAGGGGCACGTAGAAGCTCTTCTTTGTGACCAGTAACTGTGAGCCCACCCATTCCAGTATCAATACTTATTAATACAATGAAGATGAAGTGACTTTCAAATCTGAAATACCCTTCTGATCATTGCTTTTTGCTACATTCTAAATATTTTCACCAAAAACCTTTCTGTAGAAGGACCCTCAGGTGAATTTGGAAATTGGTTTCACACTCCAGGAGAGCTGGTGCAGCTCACAGCAAACTGTGAGGAAGCCCCGGGCTTTCATGTGGGCCGGCCTCGGGGCAGGCTGTAGGGCTCCCGTGTGGTTTTCCTGCACCAAGCAAACAGATCTTTGGTTCAACCTTGTTAGTCCAGAGCTGACTGAAGGAGGAGATTGTTCACAAAAAGGTGAGGAAAAAATAAAACTGAAATGAGGCAAGACTTTAACATGAAAAGGAAAAGTGCCACTGGAAATTAAATCTAAAATGAATGTAAGGCAATTGCTTTAACAATTTGTCAACAGGCAGGACAATGAAGCGTAGACAGCCCTGCTTTGGAGAAATGACAATGGAGAAAATGAAAGAAAAATAGAAAGTAAGAGCGGAACGGGGCCAGCCCCTCTGAGGTTCACACCTCTATCTGCGGACCCAGTGCGTATAGTTTTACACTTTTTGCCGGTGCAGTTTCATGGTTTCTGTCTAAAACCATGCAGCAGCACAAGGCTGTGGCTTCTGTCACTGATGTGATTGAAGTTAATGTGACTTCAGCCGCTGTCATGAGGTGCTGGATGAAATTTAACCAATAAGCCTTGGATCTGCGGAATTACTTGAACTTCAAAAAGTCCTGGAGAGAATGCCCTTGAGCTGCGGAAGCCAATGCCCTTGAGATGCGGAAGCCGGCTTGGCTTTCGTGGACTGTGAGCAACTTGGCCAGGGCAGCATGGGTCCCACAGGAGTGGCCACGTTTCACCTTCCAGAAACGCATGCATTTCAGTGGCACTGCCAGCGGAAACACGAGATTTGGTTGGGCACAAAAAACTAAACACCTGTCCACTGTGGAAATGACTCCTTCAAAGTCAAATTTTGGGCTCTTTGTTGAACTATATTGGGAGGGCACTTTTGATCACTCTCTAAATACTTATGATTATCTTATTGATACTTCTGTATTGCCAAATAAGGTGTAGGCATGGATCTGCCTTTCCCAGACAGAAGGGTCCTGCTCTTACCTGTTGGGAACTGCTCTGAAAGTCTGGGAGGAGATTGCTGGTATTTTTGCTGTAAAGTGAAGCTTTGCGCTTTCTGCAAGGTGGGTGCAGTTGCGGTCATAGCAGCACCTCTGTGTCTTGGTCTCCACTCACCTGTCTTCGTGGAGAGCACGTGGCCTCACACACAGAGAGACGACACATGGATAATTAGGTACACAGATGTGCTAGTTTGAGAAAATTGGAGGTTTCTTAAGTGTTTTGGGCCATATTATTCACCATAATCAGGGACAATAATCTATCGGTCCTGTGTGATACACTGATCCAGGGTCAGCAGAAGCCCCTGAAACTTGCTAGAAGTGCACATTTCCAGGCCCACCCCAGACCTACTGAACCAGAAACTCCGGGGTTGGGGCCCAGCAGTCTGCTTTTTAACAAGCTCTCAGGGTTATTCCGACGCAGCCTGAAGTTTGAGCACCTTTGCCCTACAGGCACTAGCTCAGCTCAGGGGGTTAAATATCAGGATTTAATTAATTGCTAGGAGTTCCTCCTTTAGGTCTGCTAATAGTAGGCTGTCTGACTTTAAATAATTCACTTGAGGGCTTGTTTCCAAAAGCAGACGGCAGAGCACACCTGCCAGTCAGCTGCGGGGGGACTGGCTTTGAGATGCTTGTTCACAAGTGGAAAACGGTTTGACCTGTCCAGGCACCTAGTGAGCAATGGCCACTGAAAAATTCATCTGAAATTAAGCTGCTCTACTCTGCACTAGGGCTGACCCTGGCTACCTCAGCACCAAATCTAAGCCTGTGGGTTATGAGGTGAAACTGCTCAGGAGCACCTCTTATGGACCCAGTGTGGGGAGGATGAGGGAGGAGACTCATCTTCACGGGTGTGTGAATCACCCTCTTAACTCTTCTGTGTAATACAGGCCCCTGGACTCCTGAATCCTCCATAGGTCTTTTCGGTCTTAAATTCCTTTATTAATAACAACAGTGGCTAATGTTTGGAGGACACTTGGACACCTTGAGGAGGACTTCCGTGGCCTTCTCTGAAGATGCTGTGCTCTACTCCCAATCAGCTGAGACCCATCTTCTTAATCTTTGCAGTGTGTGCTTCAGAACTGGCACCAGACAGGCGCTGCATGAACACTGCTGCAAGAGAGCAAAGGAGAGTGAGGAGAAGAGAAAGAGAAAGGCGGGCAGAAGGGGAGGAAAAAAGGATTGGAAAGGAAAATAAAGCACTTAAACATTTTTTTTCCTTTTTTTGAGACGGAGTCTCACTCTGTTGCCCAGGCTGGAGTGCAGTGGCACAGTCTTGGCTACCTGCAACCTCCATCTCCTGGGCTCAAGCCATTCTCCTGCCTCAGCCTCCTGAGTAGCTGGGATTACAGATGCCCGCCACCACACCCAGCTAATTTTTGTATTTTTAGTAGAGAAGGGGTTTCGCCGTGTCGGCCAGGCTGGTCTCGAACTCCAGACCTCAAGTGATCCGCCCGCCTCAGCCTCCTAAAGTGCTGGGATTACAGGCGTGAGCCACAGCGCCCAGCTAAAAATCATTTTATAAATCATAGAAGAGAAGAAGTTTCTTAAAAGGGGGTTTGTGAGAGGCTCAGGGACCTCTGAGGGCGGTTTTGGGATGAACACAGCATGCTGGATAATTTTACAGACTTGCTCATGTGAAAGCCAGGGTTTGACTGCAGTTTTCCAACTCTTCAAACAGACAAACTCTTTTCAGATATCGAGTGAGCAGAGTGTTGCTGGGCACGTAGGGGGCGCTCAATAAAGATTCCTTGAATGAATGATGGATTCGGGATGAATGACCGATGCTCCCCAGAGAGGCAGGTGGAGTTGCCTGGAAGTGTGCACTGTGGGTCTGGGGCCCCAGAGTTTGACCAAGAGATGTGAGGAGGGGGCAGCAGGGGCTTGCTGGGAGAAGTCTCTCTTCTTCTGACAGCTCCCTCTGACTTGAGCAAACCTGGCCACCTGCCTAAGTAGGAGCAGGGGCCATCCCAGCAGGAGAGCCCAGGACAGTCAGAAATGGGTCTGGCTTTTGGTAGCTGTTCACAGATTGAAGTTCCCAACACACCCACCTAAGGGCCCCTCCCTTCTCGTGCTGAGGCTTCTCTGTGGGCAGAAGGGGCAAGCCCATAGAAATTGTCTCTTGAGCATGGGAGGAAGAAACTGAACCCACTGCCAGTTTTGTAAAAAGAAACAGACCAGTATTCATTTCCAAGAGACTGCTGGATGACTCTGGAAGCATCGCGAAGAGTGGCCTTTCCTTTCTGCCGTGGGAAGCCTCCTTCCTGCCTGCCCTAGGATCTCAGGCCCTGTGCATGGTGCTGTAAGGAATTCCTAATTACCTGTGAGCTCTCAGGTGACAGGTGACACCTCACAGCTCTCAAGAGAACAAGTTGCCTCCTGACTCTGAGGGCTGTGCACCTGCTGACGGTGGGGTCTGAGCCACATTTGTGCCGCTTCTTTCGAGGAAGTTAAGTTGAGCTGTCAAATTGTAAGGCCGGCTTAGTCCGTGGCTCGTCTTTTTTTAATCAGGCCATCTGTCAGCAACTCATGTGGGCCCTCCTTGCAGAGACACGCAGGGAAAGCCATCGATAGGCTCTGCACATTTATTTACGTACATGAACCACACTGCCATACCTGTCTGCACCTCTCTCCCACTCTCCTCCCACTTCTCACCACATCTATGCCTACCCAGGCCCAGGCCAGGCTTGCCTTTTGTCGAATTCACTGTCTCTGCCGCCCCTTCTCCCCAGCACACACCAAGTAGTCTTGTCCTAGGACAAGGGCTGGAGCAATTGCGGGCTTCAGTTGTCTCCTGCTGTGTAACAGCAGGCCCGGAAGCCTGGTGGCGACAAACAGCGCTGTGTATTGAAGGGGTGGCTGGGGCTCAAGGGGAGGGTCTTTTCTCCCAGGGCTCGATCACGGGGCCTCACTCTGCTGTGAGCTGGGTGGACTCCACTATGTCAAAATGGCTTCAGAGGGCCTCTCGCCGCTTCCCTCCCTCCCTCCCCGCCCTTTCACCTTCCTCCCTTTCTCTTTCTCTCTCTCTCCCACTCTCCACCTCCCCACTCTGTCTCTCTCTTTCAGTCTGTGCATCTCCCTCTCTTTCCCTCTATCTTTCTCCGTCTTCCCCTGTCTCTAATCATCTGTCGGTCTGTCCCTCCCCATCCCTCTCTGACTTTCTTCAGTAACAAGGCCCTTAATTTGGAGGGAGGATTCCTTCATTTTTCCTATGGACGGGATATCTACAAATGTTTTCAGTAAGGATGGAAGGAAAAAACAAGCTATGGTAACACTGGGTCTAGGATGCTAGGAATAAGAATTTCTGCCTGCTTTGGAAACGTCCAGCCCATGGTAGGAATGTGAGAATGCTCTCCATTTTCTGGCCCCCTATGACCCACGATCCAGCAACCCACGAATCGGCCCAGACCTCACATGCACCATGTTGGCTTCCTCCAGCGTCGCAGCTATGAAGAAAGTGGTTCAACAGCTCAGGCTGGAGGCTGAACTCAACCGTGTTAAAGTTTCCCAGGCAGCTGCAGACTTTAAACAATTGTCTGCAGAATGCTCAACATGACCCTCTACTGACTGGAATATCTTCAAATACAAATCCTTTCAGACCCAGAAATTCTATTCCTTTTTGTAGTAAAATGAATCTTTCAAAAGTTTCCCAAACTTTTTTTTTTAATTGTACATTTGTGTACAATTAACTTACACCACGTAATTAGCCTCTGTGATACTGAGGTTGTGTATGGGAATGTCTTTTCTCTATGAAGATGAAACTGTTTGTGTGTTATTGGTGTCTTATGATCGAGCGAATATTCAAAAGAGAGCTAAATTTGAAGCCTGTACAAAAGCTGACCCCGTAACACATGTTCCATAATATACAAACTTCTCTTTTCGTCAGTCCTTAACACCTACCTCTCTGAATTTCCATGAATTTCTATTTCACAAGGGTAATTGTTTTATATACACTGGCAGCAGCATACAATAAAACTTAGTCTAAAAAAAAAGAAATGGTAGGAAGATTCTTATATCTGGCCATTCTTCACTTCTTTTCATTTTTCACATCTTTTAAATTTTCATTTTTATTTATTTTTCACAGTTTTGAAGCCTTTAGAGTTTAGCAGTGAAGTTTCGGTCATTCAACTCAATTACACCACGCATTTGTTTTTGGTGGATGGTTAATGCTGAAATCTTCATTTTCCTTAAATGTAAGTGAAAATAATATGTTATTAATCTATTGGGAATCAGAACCTTTTGAACTTCAAAAATGAAAAGACAAAACAATTACAGTTATATTAAATATAACTAATTTGACTTTGCCTAGTTTTGAATGAAACTGAAATTACACATATTGGTTCAACTTTTCTAATACCTTTCTAATCTATTGACAGCCTGTCCCTCCCTATTTTGACAAGTCAGCTGGTCTGAAAGCATACCTAGATACTCAGAAGCAATAAATAATATGGTTTTTGTTTAATTAGTGCTGTTTTACAAATATTGTCAATCACTAATATCCATGTACAAGGAAATTTTCAAGAACCTAAGATAACTTCTCTAAAATTGGTACAAAATAACAGCACCTTTTGGGTAACTATTTTTTGTAGGCATTTGTTATATGCTGAGACTCTAGATAGATACACAGACTATATTTATTCAATTGGCAAAAAGTTGTATCAGTTACTAAATACATATGTGAAAATACATTTTTAATTCCAGACATGTTGAAATGCATAATAATACCTCCAAATAAGAGGTGTTTTATTTTTGTGAATTGCAATGAGGTGCATCCCAGCCAGGATCTGGAAGCTCCCCTATCCTCAGAATGGAGCATTTGATCTTGTTTACACGCCCAGGGGTCCTGCCCAGAACCAATCTTCTGTCTGCCTCAATCAAGAAGAACCTTCGCAGCCACATCTCAGGGGCAGGGACATAGACTCTGCACTGTGGCTTTGAATTCCTAGGGGTATTTATCAACTCGATGATTAAACTGGGACTGAATGTGGTGAAACATAGCTTTCTTTCCTAAGATGTTAATTGTACGTTTGTGTGCAATTAACTTACACCACGTAATTAGCCTCTGTGATACTGAGGTTGTGTATGGAAATGTCTTTTCTCTATGAAGATGAAACTTCTTGTGTATTATTTGTGTCTTCCCTATTAGGAGGGGATATTGTTCTATATGTGAGAGTGTTATTCACACATCACCCGTCCACCCATCCTCCCATCCATCCATCCATTAAAAAACATTCATTTGTGTTTTTACAACAGACACCTAAAGAGATTCTGTGAGAGAGAAACAGATAAGCCAGCTTCTCAAGTGACTAAATTTTGGTAATTTTTAAGCGTCTATTATATGAAAACTTGATTTGAATTTCAGAAGGAGCAGCGGATCAGTTTTTAAATGTGATAATGTGCGTGCATTTGATTTCACTGTTTTTCAACAAAACATTCCGATATGAGAAAGTATCTAAGGAATCAGAAATAAGAGCTAATGAGAACATTTCCATGAAAATACATTCTGTCTGTTTATTTCCTCTCTGGTTGACTACCAGCAATTCTCTGTTTCTATTTTCCTTCATTTCACTGTAGGTGTCCTTCAACATGTGCTAACACTCTTCACTAAATGTACAATAAAGGTTAGAACTATTTCTGCAAAGATGTCCTGCAAGGTAAACAATGCAGCACTCTTTCAGGAGCTCCTACAATTGGACCTTTAAAGAAATTTGTGTAGCCACAAGGTCCCTGAGGGTTTAGGCAAACCCCTGAGAAGAGAGAGGAGAGAGGTGGCCCTCTTCATATTTTCCTTGTGATTTCAGCAGGCGGATCATCAGTTGTTTATAGCTTCCTCTCTTTTTCATTCTATTTTAAAAAGGTGGAAAAGGTCTGATTGGCGTAAAAGATAGACAGAGGTGAGGTTTTCATGAAAAATAGGATTCCCTGGGGAGAGGACAGAACATCATCCCTTTCAGTATGCAGTGACCACATTTCAAGCAAGTTTCTTCTGTCCCTGGAGCTTAAGGGCGTAGATTCCTGGGTGCTTAGACCATAAACAGCCTTCAAGGCACTTAAAAAATCTGCATTTTGTGGGTGTTGGCAAAATGCACTCTTCTCTGGCTTTCTCATCCGCCATCTGTTCTTTGTGTCTGAGCTTCCCTTTGAACATTTGCCTTGGCTTGTAAATACTTCGAGTTACTTCACTTCGGGTTTCAAGTGGATTCCATTTTGCCAAATGCACTTGCGGTTGGTTAGGCAATTCCTAAGACATTTTCATTTCTGTTAACCAGACTTGGCTTTTCTAGGTAAAACACCAAAATGCAGATTTTGTTTTTGTTTTTGAGACAAGAGTCTCACTCTGTCGCCCAGGCTGGAGTGCAGTGGCACCATCTCGACTCACTGCGACCTCTGCCTCCCGGGTTCAAGCGATTCTTCTGCCTCAGCCTCCTGAGTAGCCAAAATGCAGATTTTAGGGAGCTTAAGACTCCCCCAGGACCTGGCGATTCTGATGACTACAAGAGCAGAGGCCACCTTTTCTGTCTCCTTTTGTGATCTCCTCCAAGCCACGCTGCTCTTAGCTCCTACTCTCAAATCTCAGAGAGCCCATGAGAGCCACGTTGGGCCTCCCCTCGCGGAGAGAAGGGCTCTTAAGTGGCCTCCAACCCTGCTTTCCTCCTTCACCTCCTCAGGGTCGAGCCAAGGCGCAGGACCTTGAGGGGTGTCTCCGGTCCCTACCCAGCATTTTCAGGGCCGGCTGCCCTGGGTGCTGGTACCTGAGAAAATTCATTGTTTCAGGGTCTGTGTTTGGAGAAACCCCCGACCCTAGGCTGGCTTGGGCTGCTTGAAGGGACCCCCCTCATGTGCTCCGTCAGTGATGGGGACCCCAGGGTCTCACCGTCCCTGTGGAATCCCCGCCTACGCATTTCCTCCAGGAGTCTTCCCCCAGGGATGGAGGGCCTCATGAGGGTTTTGCCACAACTGTGACTTCCAAAAACAAACTTGCTAAGTCCCTTTGTGACGAGGAAGGAACACGATTTCCTTATTGTGTAAGACAAGCAGAAGTAAGTCTACAATGGTGCTGAGCTGCAGTTAGAAACACGGCGTTCGCCCCTCCTCAGGTGACCTGGCAACTGTCTCTGTGCCGGAGCCCCAGCTTCTCATTTCCAGGCCGCACAGCCTCGTCCCCCTTAGCTGTCTTTCCTTGTTCTCTCTGCCCTGCCATAGCAGCCCCCTCGCACCTCGGAGCCCTGGGCGTGCTTCCAGCCCAGGGCCTTTGCACCTGCGCCCCTTATCTGGAACCCCTTCCCCAGATGCCCCCCGCTAACCTCTCAATTCCTGGGGTCTTTGCAGAAAAGGCTCAGACTGCGTGGCACCTGCAGCTCATCCATGCCACCTCCACACTCTCCCCAGCCTGCAGTGCCTTCTGCTGCCTCACTTTCCTTTCTTAGCACTTATCACCATCTAACGTAATTCACATTTTATTTATTTATCTTCTTTAGTGTTTATTTCTACTTGTATATCCCCAGTCTAGACTAGGTCCTGGCATTTAAGAAACATTTGATGAAGTAATGAAAAGATTAGGGGGTTTTCTAGGGAATCTTAATTTCCTTGGCAATGCTTTTCATTTTATTTTATTACATGCAGTTTCTGAATGACGAAGGTGACCTCACCTTGTTGTCATCTTCAGAATCATGAGCATAAGATAAATTAAGGCTGTTTAAAGACATAGTCAAACCTAGCGTTCAAGACCTTCTGTCCTGTGGCCATGGAACAACTCTCCCAGCTCCGCTGCGGCGGCTGGTGGGCAGGGGGTGGGGGGGGGGCAGTTCCTCCAACCACCCCTAGGAGTTCCTGCATTTCCCACTCAGTCTCTGCCTCTACTGTCCCCATTCCCATCTCTACCTGCCTAGGTCTCCCCTTCAGCCGCTCTGACCCCACTTCTTCCACACACCCTCCCGGGTGGATCCAGTGGTGAAATCCTTGCTCTTCTCTGAAGTTCCCTCAGACACAACTGAGTCTTTGAACAGGACATGAGCACTGGCTCGGTGGACTTCACCGTTCTCCTTCCACAGCCACCCAGGCTGGCCGTCTGCAGCCAGGCACGCGCCCCTGGGCTCAGCCTGGCAGCTGGGACTCCTCTGTCCCAAGCACCCGTACTTCTTATGGTTGGCCAGGTGAAAGCCCCTCTCACCTCGTCAATCCACATTATTTTACGTTCGTTCAGCTTTCCCTAAGCAGCGTCCTCCCTCTTTCTACCCACACACACTCTTCATCGTCAGCCCTGATCATCAGCTTCTAGATTTAAAACTTCTCAGGGACGAGGATTCTTCAGACTGGATCCCACTCCCGAGATGCGTCACGGTGATGATCACTTGGGTGGAAAGGGGGTTACTGGGACCCCCACCGCTGGTTCCAATGCATGCATTGATCAGCTCCAAGGAGGGAGACGATCTCCTCCCCAACCCCAGTCTGATGCTTTTGTTCACATGACATGTTTTCTGAGCACAGCTCATGCCCAAAGTAGGAGGATGTGGTCACCCTACTGTGCTGGAAACAGGACAAGTTTTCTGACTGTGGTCATTGCATCCGAAAGAGAATGCTCAGTACAGCACCATCTACAGGCGTATTTGTGAGAACGTGTGACTTTCAAAGATAATCGCTGAAAGTTCACTTCCTTTTCATTTTATTTTTTTGTGGGGGAGGGATGTGTCGGGTTAAAAGGTCCATTTCAAGGCCGGGCGCGGTGGCTCACGCCTGTAATCCCAGCACTTTGGGAGGCCGAGGCGGGCGGATCACGAGGTCAGGAGATCGAGACCATCCTGGCTAACACGGTGAAACCCGGTCTCTACTAAAAATACAAAAAAATTAGCTGGGCCTGGTGGCGGGGGCCTGTAGTCCCAGCTACTCAGGAGGCTGAGGCAGGAGAATGGCGTGAACCCGGGAGGCGGAGCTTGCAGTGAGCCGAGACAGCGCCACTGCACTCCAGCCTGGGCGACAGCGAGACCCCGTCTAAAAAAAAAAAAAAAAGGTCCATTTCAGGAAACCTTTTTCCTTTGCCATGAAGAACATTTTGGTGACTTGAGAGAAATGACTTACCTCTCTACGTAATACACTTTTCGTGAGCAATATTAGAACCAATTTATGGGTATTAAAATGGAAGGAATAAAGGCTATATAATGAAGGAAAAACAGGTACCTATTACCATGTCTCAAACTGGTGGGCTCTATGTGTCGAATACTTTATTTTCTTTTGAGAATACTGATTAGGTTATGTATTTTCAACATGGAGAGTGTTTTCACTTACCTTGTGTTTTCGTTTCATCAGTGGCCCTCATACAAGACAGTGAGTGGCTTTAGGCTAGAAATAGATCTTTTTATCTCTCCCTTCCGAAGGCCTGCACAGTCCTAGGCTGAGTTCATAGGAATGAAATAAATATCTAAAGTACAATGGGTGAATGAATGAATGAAGTCCTAACCACCAAACTGGGCTATGAGAACGGCATGTGATAATACGTGGGGCAACGTCTTATAAATGTAAAGTTGTTACTATTATTATTATTATTATTTGAAATGGAGTCTCGCTCTGTCGCCCAGGCTGGAGTGCAGTGGTGCGATCTCGGCTCACTATAACCTCTGCCTCCTGGATTCAAGTGATTCTTCTGCCTCAGCTTCCTGAGAAGCTGGGATTACAGGCATGCACCACCATGCTCAGCTAATTTTTGTATTTTTAGTAGAAATGGGGTTTCACCATGTTGGTCAAGCTGGTCTCGAACTCCTGACCTCATGATCCCCCTGCCTTGGTCCCCCAAAGTGCTGGGATTACAGGTGTGAGTCACTGCGCCTGGTCAGCTGTTACTATTATTAATGACACTGTGGGACCTCTCTGTGGGAACTGCAGATTTATTACTGCATTTCTCAGAGAGGTTAGTGACTGCTCAGACACATTCTCGCTCATTGTGAATGGTCAAAATATTGATTCGATTCAATCAAGACATGAATAGAGAAGTAGGAAAAAATATACTTTTTAAAGCTTATTTACTGCTTACAGGATATTCACAATTATGCCTCAAAGCACTTTACTTTCTTAGCTTTATTGGAAAATATTTAAACTGTGACATGCAATATTTTCAAGTAATTCTGAGTCAGCCAAATGTTGAGTTTTTATCCTGGTTCTCTCAATTATTTGTTGCAAACCTCAGGTAAGTCTATTTCTCCACGTTTCAGTTTTCTCATCCTTAAAATGGGAGCAATAATTCCCACCCCACAGGGTTACTGAAGAGTTCAGCGAATCAAATTAAGTTATATAAAGCTCCTCTCACAAACTTACCACTCATTAAATAGGGTCGCTTCCTTTCTTATATCTTCAAATTATTTCATTTAAAAAAATGATAGCGATGTTAAGTTTGGAATTTCTGGTAGGAATATGAAGTAAAGAAGTGAAAATAATAGAGAACATGACACTGTGTCTCTTCTTATAATTTTGTCGTTCTTCAGAATAAACGCAGTATTCAGATGACACAGCCACTTTCTGTGAGCATTTCACAATTTGAAAAACAGCTTTACATCCCCTGGATCCCGGCACAGTTTTATTCTTTCCTATGGGAGAGGGATGCGAGCTTGGTTGGTGAGCCACAGAGGGATGCCGTCAAGTCAGATCTCATGCAGGGCTTCAGCATCTCAGCGTCTCCTTCCTGGAGTGGCTCGAAGCCCAGCCTCCACGGACAGAAAGCTCTTGCTGAGAGGGAGTTCAGCTGCTTGGCCCGTCAAGGTAGAAGGCACCATTCTCACTTAAGCCTTTTTATTTTAAGTGAAAGAAAGTTACATTCACGCGCCTCAATATTTCTTTTTCCCAAATGGGTTGGAACACTGAAGGAAACCTGTAAACCTCCTTTGTCCTCAAATCCTCCACTCATCTTCTGTGAACCATATCTATTTTGAAGCATGTCTGCCCCGGAACTTTGCAACTGGGCAGAATCCACTGGGCTATAGGAATTTGTCTTCCTAAGTTCTATGCCGAGGGATTGGAAGACATATACTTTGGAAAATGTATAGTTGTAGCTGACAAAATTGCCTGCAATTATGCAGATTTAGAAACAACATGGGTTGTTGTTGCTGTTGTATAACTTTGGTTGGGGGTTTTACGTGCAGTTGCCTAACTGTAGCAGGAAAAATGCACTTAGTCAGATCCTACTGGTCGTGGAGGTAAGTTGTAATATACATCTCCTGCCTGTCTCTGTTGGATCCAGCCAGCTGGGAGATGAGGCTGCGGCCCTGTGTAGTACAAATGGCATTAATGACCTCAAATGGGCACAAGCCAAATGGAGTCATTGGTTTTAGGAACTAACTGTATCCTCTACTTAGATCAAGGATCAAACTTTTATTTTGCCTAGTTCCAAGAAAACATGCTTTTGTTATGTTTACATTGAGCAAACATATAATCAATCCATAAAATGAGGAAAATACAAAATAAATTTTCTGGTGTGATTTTCTTTTTTCAGATTCTCTTATATGCATTAAATAAATCCAGGTTGATTTGTTTTGCCTGAATTTCTCATGATGTATACATTTCCATTCATTCTAAATATGCTTAAAAGTAATGTAGGATGTATGAAGTAAAAATTCTGAAAATTCCAATTTCAGCATATGAGTAGTTTACTGTATCCAAATAAATGATCAAAAGACGAGCATGTAGATTGATCTGTGGACATCAAAGTGGCTGCATTGTTTATTCCTTGTAGAAATTGACATAATATGAAATTTTGCTTAACCATATATTTTATTAGAGTGCACAGGCTTAATTTTATGGTCTAGGATTACAATTTTGCTGATTAAAGCCCTGTCTTCAATTACACCAGAAAACTAGTCTTGTCTCCAAATGAAACAATCGTAATGACTTGACTGCAATTAGAAACCACGATCCTTAAGAATGTGGATGACCCAATATATGTTATTTTAACCGTGTAAAAATATTTGGGTAGGAAGAGGTTAGCATTGGAAAGTGGTCACAGAGAGGTTTCAGAAATCAATAGAGTTTGAATACTGTTGAAATGTGTAATATACCGATTTCTTCATTAAGAAATACACTCCATAATAAATACTAAGCCAGGAATTCTGAAATAAGTTTAAAATTAATTTAAATTAAATAGAGAAGCCCAAAATATCTGACACTCTGCAAACTTGGAGAATAAGAAGAGAAGAATGTGCTGAAGTGTGGCTTTGTTCTAGATGTTCTTATAATCTAGGCAAACATTTCCTGGAAAGGGCTAGAGAGCCATCATTACAGACTTTGAAGGCCACATTCAGTTTCTGTTGTTGATCCTCTTCTTTCTTTCCTTTTTTAACAACTTAAAAAATATAAAAAGTCACAGATTTGGCCACTAGAATGTAGTTTTCAGACCTCTAATCTTTGTGGATATTAGCTTTGTGATTCTCTTTACTGGACTTAAATTATGGGAAAATAAATTGAAACAACTCATGTGTCTTTTAAACTACATTGTGTTTAAAATGTCTTCTGTTTAAACTACACTCTATTTTATGTTTAATCCTTATGTGTCACAATCCTAGCCAATGCCTGACATATGGTAGATTCTCAGAAAATGTTTACCAAATGATAACATTTTAAAGTTTCATCCTTTTTTTTTTTTTTTTTTTTTGAGATGGAGTTTCACTCTGTCACCCAGGCTGGAGTGCAGTGGCACAATCTCGGCTCACTGCAACCTCCACCCTCCGGGTTCAAATGATTCTCCTTCCTCAGCCTCCTGAGTAGCTGGTACTACAGGCGCCTGCCACCGCACCCAGCTAATTTTTTTTGTATTTTTAGTAGAGATGGGGTTTCACCATCTTGGCCAGGCTGATCTTGAACTCCTGACCTCGTGATCCGCCCGCCTCGGCCTCCCAAAGTGCTGGGATTACAGGCGTGAGCCACGACGTCCGGCCTTAAAGTTTCTTCTAATTCTACAGTATTGAAAGGGTTATTTCAATTCCGAATGGTGGTGGTGGTGTGTGTGTGTGTGTGTGTGTGTGTGTGTGTGTGTGTGTTTTCTTTTTTCTTTTTTTTTTTTTTTGAGACGGAGTCTCGCTCTGTCGCCCAGGCCAACTGCAGTGGTGCTATCTCGGCTCACTGCAAGCTCCGCCTCCCGGGTTCACCCCATTCTCCTGCCTCAGCCTCCCGAGTAGCTGGGACTACAGGCGCCCGCCACCACGCCCGGCTAATTTTTTTTTGTATTTTCAGTAGAGACGAGGTTTCACCGTGTTAGCCAGGATGGTCTCGATCTCCTGACCTAGTGATCCGCCCTCGTCGGCCTCCCGAAGTGCTGGGATTATAGGCGTGAGCCACCGCGCCCGGCCGTGTTTTCTATCAATCTTAATAGAAATGTTCTCAGGGGTCACTAAACCCCAACCCCCATCAGTTTTCCGCAGATTTTAAAGTATGGAACCCGATAGAAACAATTATCGAAATTATGACCTCGATAAGCAGTGTTATGTATCATGCAAACATTATAGTAAAGAGCGAAAATAATTGAAGGGTATAAAATAAATTATTGGCTGCTGATTTTTAAAATGTATTTAAGTCCATTTTGTGTTTATTTGTTGGGCATCTCCATTATAAAGTAATACCCTTGAGGGAAAAAACAAAACAAAACAGGACTTTTAATAATTCCTTCATGTTTTTTTCCTTCACTGCCCTCACTCCTACCTCCCCTCCTGCCCCAATGCCGTGAAGCACCCACTACTTGGCACACAGTGGGGCTTCATTAATGTTGCAGGCCTGATTCTCTTGCTCTTCAGACCTGGATGGTCCTTTCCCTCTTCCCTCTTTCTGTCTTTTGCAAAAGGCCACTTCCGCTTGCTTTTCCATTTCTTTAAAGAAGTGTGCGTATTTCTCAATGAGTGTAATTAAAAAAAGACATTTTTAAGATTGCTTTAAGTAAATTGATTTTCTGTTTTTTCCCTTCTAAAATACTGGCACAAAACAAGAAGCCATAATGAGCTGTGATTTGCAACTTTTCATTGCAATCGACTAAGAGGCATTCTATAACTACTGATTTGTTCTATCGCGTGAAGAAAAGAAAAAGGGCAAATGTATCGCATTCTTACTATTAAATGCCAATAGATATCTGACATCTTTGAAAACAAGTCTGATTTTGTATTTCTTTCTCCCAGTTTGAGGAGGAAAAGAACCCGGACTTGTAGATTGTAGAGGTGTTTTGTTCTAGTACTTGCTGCTGTTTAAGGCTTATAAAACAAACAACAAAACACCAAAAACGTGGATTACCAAGTGTCTGGGTTACTTTGGCTTCTCCGCGGTCCTCCTTTGGGGGCCCAAGTCTTGGTGGACTTGTGCTGCAGAGGCCTCAGCTCCCTCAGCAACTGGGTGGGCAGCTACCCCAACGCCCTGGCTGTGGAAAGGGAGGACCCCACAGGGAAGCCCCCACAAGCCTCCCTCCCCCCACCCACACAGCATGGGATGTCAGGGAGACCCTGAAGGGCGTCCTGCCCGCCCCGCCCACACCTGCTCCGGTTCCCGCTGCAGTTTTATGGGCCGTGAGGAGGCAGGTTTGACGCCCAGAACAGCCTCTGCCAACAGCTGCAGACCCGTCAGCTCCCAGACAGTAAAATGTAAAGAGGGGGAGGGAGGGATCACCTTTGAAGTCTGCAAAAAGCATGACTTTGACCACTTCCTTTTTCCTTTTTAAATTGGTGTCCCAGGTATGTTGACAGCAGCTATGGGCCAGCTTTACAAGGAAAGACGCACCTCCTCGGAACACTCAGGTCTGCCGGATTCTCAGCATTTTAATACCAACTCTCCAAGGCTTTCCTGGTTTCAGCGTAACTTTGTGAAGAGAAATGGGTTATTTTAACTGAGGGTGCTACACTTAAGGCCAATACAGATGTGTATCTGTAAATAACACACATACGCAGAGTGCTCTCCATTCAAGTTGAAGGTGAAACTGTACAAAGCCACCACCTCGTGTCCTTCCTGCATCTTCCCCACACATTTTCTCCTTAAATTTTCTTGCTTTTCTCTTAAAGAAATGATAAGGACGTGAAGGGAAGCTGTGGTGTTAACATTTTCCTCTCAATTTCACATCCGAATTTTAATCTCCAATGAATGCTTTTTCTTTCCACTTGGCTTTCAGGGTTTTTCTCTTTTAGTTTAAAAGAAGACTCCAAGATTTTTAGTTATTCTGCCACTTTCACATAGTTTAGCACGAAATGTCCTGGAGGATTGTGTGTGCACCTGATACTGTTCATTCTCCAGGAGATCTTGCTGGATTATGCGGTTTGAGTCTCCAGTTTGAACTATGCACGTGATCAAAGCATGAAAGATTTCCTTCAAACTACACAGCACAAACTACACTGTCCTTATACTTGACAGCTTTGTGATTTCCAAACTTATTTTAACAATGGTCTTGATTTTCTGTTTAATGAAATATAGACAATATAGATCAAATTTAAAATCTCTAATGTCCATTCTAAAATGGGAACTCAGAGCATTCTGAAAGGCCATTTCCAGGCCAGCATAAAGTTGAGAAAGAATCTTATAATCGTCTCTTCAAACGTATTAAAAGAAGCATAAATACTTTATATCTTTCCTTGTAGGGTACAAATTAACCCCAGTAACCAACCCACAGATCCTCATGATATCATTATTGGAGTGTTTGATGGTCTCTGACTACTTAGTAGTAAAATTAACCAATCATCTAACTGCCTGGGACCCGGTTTTCCCACTTGGAAAACAAGGCAATTAGTCTAGATCCCTTCTGCCCAAGGCTGTGGCCACTAGTCACATGTGACTGTAAGTTTAAATTCAATACAGTTAGGTAAAATTAAATTTAATTCCTCAGTCGTACTAGCCACATTTCAAGTGCTCCATAGCCACGTGCAGCTAGTGGCCACTGCATTGGAGAGAGTGGGTAAAGAAAGTCTGGATTGCTGCAGGAATTCCTACTGAATGGCACCGGCAGGTAAAATATGGATTATCCTTCCTGACTGTAAAACAGAACACGGAGGGAACTCCAGGCTACTGGACTCTAGTCCCAAGTCATTCTTACGATACTCCTAACAATAGTTATTCATAGCAATAGCTATGAAAGACAGGGACATTCATTACTTAAATATGTAAGGAGCACTTGTGGTGTGAAAGCAGTTGTATGATAGGCTGGGAACAGTACAAGACATCGTGCCCGTGGGCTAGGTGCTTACAGCCTGACTGAGGAGGAGACTAGCAAACTCAGAACACAGGACCAGATAAGGAAAGAGCCATGCAGGGGATGCTGGGGATCCTAGCATGGGGTGGGGTGCAGGGATGGCCTCCCAATGGAATGCCGATTCTTGTGCCAGGTAAAACCTTATGGAAATTATTCTGTAAGAGCATAATGAGATGAAAATTTAGAACTAGAATTGCCGATACACCTGCCAATATACCCTTGTAACTGCAGAGTTGAAGAGTAAGGTATCTTCTAAAGGTTTTAAGGATGCAAGAAAACCCACAAAACTCTAATCAGCAGACCCAAACTCAATGGAAAAACCTTGGCTCTTCGTGAAAAACTTGTTGGATGAATGCATGATCATAGATTTAGCTTTAAACATGTTTACATGAAAGGCTTCCAGAATCAATCAATTTCTAATATTAACTGCCTACTAGCCAAGCCAGATGGCTCTATAAATTGTGCTGTTATAATTTGGACCATGAATCTATAGGTTCCCTCTACTTAATCAACCAAAATCGAAGAGTACTATTTAAGATGTGAAGTCCACATCTAGAAGAGCAACCAGGATGGATTTGCCCTATCAGATACTGTGGTACTGCCACGGAGATCATGTGAACCAAACAGAAAGCACAAAACAAGACCCAAATGGACTTGGGAATGTAGAGTGTGATCCAGAGGAGCTGGGAAAGAGCAGACCCCAAGTGGACTGCCTGCAGTAGATTCTATTACATGATTACTTCCACTACCCCACAACCCGGGCTGAGCAGAGATTGCTTCTCAAGCTTTTTCAGTTCTCTCATCTCCACTCAATTTGTTGGTGGTCTGTTAGGTGACTTACCTTTATCACTTTTTCCTAAAACAGCGTGGTGTTTTGGTTTATTTTTAAGGAATAACCCCCTTCCACAGTCATATTTTACCGGATTATATAAATATTGTATTACAATCTGAAATTACGATTACAAATATACTTGGCTTTAGCTGGGATCATCAGGGACGACCCCCAGTGAGTGTCAATTTGGAGGATGCTGAGCCACAGAGCCACATGCAAGGCACAGGTCCTGCAGCTTAGCCTGCCTGGGCACTTATCTGTCTATTTCAAGGGGAGTCCTGGGAGTCCTGAGGGCCAGTGTGGCTTAGGTGAGAAACACAGCCTGCAGAGCGAGAGGAGCCCCTGGGGGCTGGGAGGTGGTCAGGGAGCATAGTCCCCCTTACTGTTTCGGCATGTGCTCTGCAAGGCTCAGAGGACAAGGTTGGGGAGGATTAGACATGGTGCTATAAAGGGAATATCATGCAAGCTGTCACCTGGGAATGATCCCTTCCTTCACCCTCTCCTCACTCCCTGATCCACTCCTGCACTTGTTGCTAATCTCCCCAACAGCCAATAGCTTTGGGTGCTTGGGCATCTGTCCCTCCCCATCCTCACTAGGTGGGGGGCAGCCCTCATCCTTCACCATGCGGACCTCTCCTGGCCTCACTGCCTCCCTTCTTTGTCTTCTTATATTAGTTTTTTGTTAGGGTAATAATTTCTTCTTCTTCTTCTTCTTCTTCTTATACTTTAAGTTCTAGGGTACATATGCACAAAGGGCAGGTTTGTTACATATGTATACATGTGCCATGTTGGTGTGCTGCACCCATTAACTCTTCATTTACATCAGGTATATCTCCTAATGCTATCCCTCCCGCCTCCCCCACCCCATGACAGGCCCATGTGTGTGATGTTCCCCATCCTGTGTCCACGTGTTCTCATTGTTCAATTCCTACCTATGAGTGAGAAGATGCGGTGTTTGGTTTTCTGTCCTTGGGATAGTTTGCTCAGAATGATGGTTTCCAGCTTCATCCATGTCCCTACAAAGGACATGAACTCATCCTTTTTTGTGGCTGCATAGTATTCCATGTGAATATGTGCCACATTTTCTTAATCCAGTCTATCACTGATGGACATTTGGGTTGGTTCCAAGTCTTTGCTATTGTGAATAGTGCCACAGTAAACATATGTGTGCATGTGTCTTTACAGCAGCATGATTTATAATCCTTTGGGTATACACCCAGTAATGGGATGGCTGGGTCAAATGGTATTTCTAGTTCTAGATCCTTGAGGAATCATCACACTGTCTTCCACAATGGTTGAACTAGTTTACAGTCCTACCAACTGTGTAAAAGTGTTCCTATTTCTCCACATCCTCTCCAGCACCTGTCGTTTCCTGACTTTTTAATGATTGCCATTCTAACTGGTGTGAGACGGTATCTCACTGTGGTTTTGATTTGCATTTCTCCGATGACCAGTGATGATGAGCATTTTTTCATGTGTCTGTTGGCTGCATACATGTCTTCTTTTGAGAAGTGTCTGTTCATATACTTTGCCCACTTTTTGATGGGGTTGTTTGATTTTTTCTTGTAAATTTGTTTAAGTTCTTTGTAGATTCTGGATATTAGCCCTTTGTCAGGTGGGTAGATTGTAAAATTTTTCTCCCATTCTGTAGGTTGCCTATTCATTCTGATGGTACTTTCTTTTGCTGTGCAGAAGCTCTTTAGTTTAATTAGATTCCATTTGTCTATTTTGGCTTTCATTGCCATTGCTTTTGGTGTTTTAGTCATGAAGTCCTTGCCCATGCCTGTGTCCTGAATGGTATTGCCTAGGTTTTCTTCTAGAGTTTTTATGGTTTTAGGTCTAACATTTAAGTCTTTAATCCATCTTGAATTAATTTTTGTATAAGGTGTAAGGAAGGGATCCAGTTTCAGCTTTCTATATATGGCTAGCCAGTTTTCCCAGCACCATTTATTAAATAGGGAATCCTTTCCCCATTTCTTGTTTTTGTCAGGTTTGTCAAAGATCAGATGGTTGTAGATATGTGGCATTATTTCTGAGGGCTCTGTTCTGACCCATTGGTCTATATCTCTGTTTTGGTACCAGTACCATGCTGTTTTGGTTACTGTAGCCTTGTAGTACAGGTTGAAGCCAGGTAATGTGATGCCTCCAGCTTTGTTCTTTTGGCTTAGGGTTGTCTTGGCAATGCAGGCTCTTTTTTGGTTCCATATGAACTTTAAAGTAGTTTTTTCCAATTCTGTGAAGAAAGTCATTGGTAGCTTGATAGGGGTAGCACTGAATCTATAAATTACCTTGGGCAGTATGGCCATTTTCATGATGTTGATTCTTCCTATGCATGAGCATGGAATGTTCTTCCATTTGTTTGTGTGCTCTCTTATTTGGTTGAGCGGTGGTCTGTAGTTCTCCTTGAAGAGATCCTTCACATCCCTGGTAAGTTGGATTCCTAGGTATTTTATTCTCTCTTATTTGGTTGAGCGGTGGTCTGTAGTCCTCCTTGAAGAGCTCCTTCACATCTGTTAGGGTAATAGTTTCAAAGCACATCTATGCTCATGTCAGCGTCCTTCTCAAGACATTTTAGTGTCTTCCGAGTGCTCTGAAGATAAAGACCAGAACCCTGAGTGTGACCGACACGTCTACCCAGTGTGGTCTGCCTCTGCCGTGTCCCAGCTCTTATCTCAGGGGCCCTGCCCCCTCTCATAAAGAGACCCCTGCACCTCCTCCCCGCCCGGACTCTTCCCAGACTCCCTCCTCCGTCTTGCACCCAGCGAACCCCTCCGCATTGTGCAGAGGCTGGCTCAAGCCTTATACTCCTGGAGAAGCATTTTCTACCTCCTGATAAATGTTGAATCTCCCTTGTATTATAGGTTCTCAGGGATGAGGTAAGTCCCTTTCCCCTGTAGCACTTGCCCAGTTGTAGCTGCAGATGTATTTCTGTGGTCACTGGATCAACATCTGTCTCCCTGGTGGTGAATTGTGGGCTCTGCCAAGGTGGGAATCCTGCCTGGCAGTGCTCCCTACAGGCCCACGTGGCTGGCACAGTCTGAGAGGAGGCTCAAGAAATAGTTTATGGAATGAATAAATGTGATCGAGCCATCTAACACACAGCCTGACACGTAAGACTGGCCATCAATGTGCATGTTTCCATATTTCTTTCCTTTTTCCTATTCTTTTCATTGATCAAATGGGATCACACTGTTTGTTGAGTGAAATTTTTCAGCTTTGGGCCAACGGCCTTTGATGTGGAAAGGAAATGCTGTGTCTTCCACCTTGAAAATGGTTTCTACACACGGAAGTGAGTAGATCTGAGAAAATATTCCAGCAGACACCAGATAGTGAGTTCTCTACACAGAAGGTTCAACATTCAGGATCTTCTAAATTGGTGGTGAGTCGACTGCTCTCCATAAGCCTTAATCCTTGGTAACAAAATGTCACAGCTTCAGATCATACCAAATTGCAGGGTATTTTTAATTATATTAGGCGTTTTTCTCCCCTGTGGAGAGCGTGCAGGAGAGCCAGGCTCTCTTTGATCCCTGGGGGTGGGGTGGGGGTGGGGGGGGTGTGTCCCTGCTGGAACAGCAGGAGGCACTGGGCTGGGGCTGCTCTCTTCACCCCTGCTCCTCCCCACTTATCTGTTGGTTTGTGGTTTGATTAAGGAAACCGACTTGAAAGGGCCAGGCACTGGGTCACCAAGTCAGCTGTGTCCACTAGGAGGAAAAACATACTTTAAAGAAACAAAATGTTTAAGTGATTCACTGGTTAATTTGAATCAGCAGTTACTATCAGAGCTGGGACTTTGTGCTGGTATGTTCCAGGGCTTTGCAAGCATTTTCTGAAAAACGCCGGATTGTATACATTTGAGGTTTGGCTGGGGTTGGGGGGTAGGGACATATCTTGCTGCTTCTTTATGGTCTCCCTGACCCTGACTCCCATCTGCCTTGTAGATGTCACTAGAACCTCTCGTAACTCATCACCTTTCCCCCGCAGCACCTTGCACACCACCAGGAGACGGATCTTCCTGTAACATTGCCTGACAGTCTACGCCCACTCAAAGGCCACCCGTTTCCTGTTGGGCAAGGTCAAGTCCTGGGATGGGACATTCACATTCGCCCTCTCTGCTCAGCCTTTCCAGCTGGCGGTCTCTTCCCCATCTTTGGACTAGGGCACTTGTATTTTAGGCTTTCATGATCTCTTCCCCCATCGCGTATCCTTTCCTTTTTCCCTCCTCAACTCTTCAAAGCATTTCTTCAAAGACCACCCAAAGTGTCCACCACCGTGTTCCGCCTTCCCTCAATCCCCGTAGGCCCTTCCTTTCTACTCCACACCACTCTAGTTGGCCTTTGCTGCAGTCGGCCTCCTGGTGCTTCGACCTGGTGCTTCATCTTCCTAGCCAGCTGCAAACTGCTACAGGACAGATGATTTGTGTTCTTTTTGTATCCCCCTCAAAACAGGCAGGTCCTGCTTTGGGAGGCTGAGGCAGGCAGATCACGAGGTCAGGAGATTGAGACCATCCTGGCTAACACGGTGAAACCCCGTCTCCACTAAAAATACAAAAATTAAGCTGGGCGTGGTGGCGGGCGCCTGTAATCCCAGCTACTCGGGAGGCTGAGGCAGGAGAATCGCTTGAGCCCGGGAGGTGGAGGTTGCAGTGAGCCGAGATCAAGCCACTGCACTCCAGCCTGGGAGACTCTGTCTCAAACAAACAAACAAACAAACAAAAAACAAAAAAACAAACAAAAAACAAAAAACAAACAAAACAAAAACCAAGCAGGTCCACCGAGACGCCTGTCCGACGGCACCTTATCTGCAGGTGTTTATCGTTGCAGGAGCTGTCTCATCTACAGGTGTTTATCGTTGCAGGAGCCGTCTCATCTGCAGGTGTTTATCCTTGCAGGAGCCGTCTCATCTGCAGGTGTTTATCGTTGCAGGAGCCGTCTCATCTGCAGCTGTTTATCGTTGCAGGAGCCGTCTCATCTGCAGGTGTTTATCGTTGCAGGAGCTGTCTCATCTGCAGGTATTTATCATTGCAGGAGTTGTCTCATCTGCAGGTGTTTATCGTTGCAGGAGTTGTCTCATCTGCAGGTGTTTATCGTTGCAGGAGTTGTTTCATCTGCAGGTGTTTATCGTTGCAGGAGCTGTTATCTCGTTTCTGGGTTCAGAGCGGGCTGGCTGCCTGTTGTGATTGAGGTTTACACAGAACTTCTTCCCCTACCAAGGGCAATAAAACCCTGAAATTCAAGTCAGTGTCCTTCAAGGTAAGGTGCACAAAATCACTCATATAGGGGAGGGAGAAAACTTTTCTTCATTTTGTTTTCTAAGAATGAAAAAGAAGTTAAGCCTAACTAGTATTTCATATGGAGGCCGACTGGGCAACTCACTGTCCCATGCGTCAGGCAAAGCTGGGCTCTGTGGGGCCTGGAGCTTTTATAGCTTTGGGGATTCTCTTTAACAAAAACAATCCCAAATAAGTTATGAACGTGAATATTTACTAAGAGTATGACAAAAGCCTATATGGTAATTTTTAAAAAACAGACAGCACACACTGCTGTGACACTGTGCGTGTTAGTAGGGCCTTCTCAAGGCTGTCTGGGACCCAGGCCTCATGGGCAAGTTGCGGTAAAGCGGTTACCCTGAGGGCACCTGTGGGGCAGCCGGTGCTCACATCTCTCACTTTAGCTTCCTGAGCCAAACCGCAGTTTACTGCAGATGACGCCTACCCATGGGCTGCTCATGAGGCAAAACCAGTAGGCGACCTCGGAGAAATGGCAGAGGCAGATCCTGGGGAACCACGAATGAGGTCTTGAAAAGCTGGCCTGAAACGCCCATCCAGTCAAGGCTAAGCCAGGAGAAAAAAGGAAATGGCAAAATTGCTGAAGCCAGAAATGAATTTACATCCTGCTCTCCAAATTGGACAAACTTTCCCGAGCGTACCAGAGCCTGGAGAAACTAGCTAATGAGTGTGTGACCTGGCAGGGCATTCACAATGAAGCAGTGACGCTCACGGTACCCAGTGTTAGCTCCTGCTTATAAGCGAGCCTGGAACAATAGACACCGGGATCCCCAAGAGGGAGAAGGGCTGAACACCTTCCTATCTGGGCGATGGGATCAACAGGAGCCCAAACCTCAGCATCACACAATATACGCTTGTAACTAACCTGCATGCGGGCCCCCTGAATCTAAAACAAAAATAACAAAGAAAAGCAAAGAAAAATGAAGCATTGGAAACTTTCAAACTAACTCCTATACTTCTCAGTGACATTTAAGATCATGCGTTGCTGCATTGGATACTTTACAAAAATTTACTAAACTTAATAAGGATCATTTGGAGGCCTCTTTTGTGAAGTTTCTGTCTTAATAGAGAAAGATTAAAAATCATGTATCACTTGGAAAACATTCTGCTGAGATGAAAATTACCACAATAAGGCTGGGCGTGGTGGCTCAAGCCTGTAATCCCAGCACTTTGGGAGGCCGAGGTGGGCGGATCACAAGGTCAGGAGATCGAGACCATCCTGGCTAACACGGTGAAACCCTGTCTCTACTAAAAATACAAAAAATTAGCCAGGCATGGTGGCCGGCGCCTGTAGTCCCAGCTAGTCGGGAGGCTGAGGCAGGAGAATGGCGTGAACCCGGGAGGCGGAGCATGCAGTTAGCCAAGATCGCGCCACTGCACTCCAGCCTGGACAACAGATCAAGACTCTGTCTCAAAAAAAAAAAAAAAAAAAACAGAAAAAAAATTACCACAATAATATGCAGAAAATATCAAAGCAATAAACTTAAATGTATTCTTAAAGCATATGTTGTTAGGTGACATTTTAGGAAACCTTGCTGAAGGTTCGAAGAAATGAGTACTTAAACAAATTTACAATGTGAGAATATTGTTTTATAGTACACAGAAAGTTTAGATATTCGAATAGGTCTTGGTTCATGTATTCACCAGAATCAGTTTCAATATTGAAATCTGTATTTACCTAAGAGTGACCATTAGTCTGTATGTGTGGGTGCCACTATAGCTGTGGTCAACACTTTGACACACTTCTGTGCAGATCAGTGAGCAGCCACTGCTCTGAGAAAGTCTCTTCCACCTTGACCACCCAACCCACTCCAAACCCACCTGTGAAGGGTGGCTCCTGCACCCCAGGGCTGCCAGCTTCTGAGCACTCAGATGCCTGTGCAATGCCAGCTTTCAAGTATTTTGAATATCACCCACGTGTGTATTCAATAAAGGTATATTCTCAAAAGTAAATAACTTCTTTATTTTAAAAGCAATTTAAAGAAAATCAGAGGTCGGGTGCAGTGGCTCACGCCTGTAATCCCAGCACTTTGGGAGGCTGAGGCGGGCAGATCACGAGGTCAGGAGATCGAGACCATCCTGGCTAACAAGGTGAAACCCCCGTCTCTACTAAAAATACAAAAAATTAGCGCATGGTGGCGGGCGCCTGTGGTCCCAGCTGCTTGGGAGGCTGAGGCAGGAGAATGACGTGAACCCGGGAGGCGGAGCTTGCAGTGAGCTAAGATGGCGCCACTGCACTCCAGCCTGGGCGACAGAGCGAGACTCCATCTCAAAAAAAAAAAAAAAGAAAGAAAATCAGTAAAAGTTAATCAGTAATGTAGTAATGGCTTTGGCAAAAATGAAACACTGATGGTGGGTAAGTTTCTAGACACGACATCACATGTGACATTAATTCACCGTGTCCTTCAAAGGTAAACTTGGCAAAATAAGTTCAACAGAGGAGTGGATGAATGCTGTAGAATGCAATTAATATGGGTAACTGAACAAAGAAAAGGCCTTTTAAATATAGCAGCATTGTCATAATGGCATGCTTCATAAAATGGGCTGTGGCCATGACAGTCTTGTACCATACAGAGGTGACCAGTTACCTCTACACAGACTGCTCAGAAGATTTCAAATTACACATGAATTCCACACTCTGTTATGAGAGCTGCTTCAAATGTGCTGAACTTTTCTATGATAACAAATGACCACTGGACTGTTACCTTGCAGGTAGTTTAAAATAAAAATGTAATTCAGGCCCTTCAAGGTAAAGATAAAATTATCACACTTTATTTTTACACACTTTTTGTTTATGTATTTGCTTTTTAAAGATGGTCTCACTGTGTTGCCCAGGCTGGAGTGCAGTGGTGTGATTGTAGCTTACTGCAGTCTCGAACTCCTGGCCTCAAATAATCCTCCCACCTCAGCTTCTCAAAAGTGAATCCTAGTGACAAGCTGGGATACCAAGTGTGAGGCACCACACCTGGCCTTGACACTTTATTTATTATTAACTAAAGTCCATAGTTTACATTAAGGTTCACTGTGTTGTTCATTCTGTGGGTTTTAAAAATACATAATGTAATGTATCCAGTTTTCACTGCCCTAAAAATTATCTGTGCTCTATTAATCCTTCTCTCCCCATAAACACCCCGGCAACCATAATTTTGCCTTTTCCAGGATGTCTTATAGTTGCAATCATACTGTATGTATGTAGCTTTTTTGGACTGGCTTTCTTCACTTAGTAATATGCATTTCAGTTTCCTCCATGTCTTTCTGTGACTTGATACCTCCTTTCTTTTACTTCTGTATAATATTCCATTGCACGGATGTTCCACAGTTTGCTTATTCATTTACCCTTTGAAAGACATTATGGTTGCTTCCAGTTTTTGGCAATTATGAATAAAGCTGTTACAAACATTTGCATGTAGGTTTTTTGTGAGCATAAGGTTTCAACTCATTTGGCTAAATATCTAGAAGCGCAATTGCTGGATTTTATAGTAAGACTATGTTTAACTTCATATGAAACTGTAAACTCTTCCAAAGTGTCTGTATCATTTTGCATTCCATCATCAATGAATGAGAGTTCCTATTGCTCCACATCCTCACCAGCATTTGGTATTTTCAGGGTTTTTTTGTTTGTTTGTTTGTTTTTGATTTTTGTTTTGGCCTTTCAATAGGCGTGTAGTGGCATCTTGTTTTACTTTGAAATTCCCTAGTGACATGTGACGGTGAACATCTTTCATTATGCTTATTTACCATTGACATACCTGCTTTGGTGAGGTGTCTATTCCTATCCTTTGCCCATTTCTTAGGTGGGTTGTTTGTTTTCTTATCGTTGAGTTTTAACAGTTGATTATATATTTTGTATATATGTTCTTTTAGCAGATATGTGTTTTGCTAAGACTTTCCCCCAATCTGTGGCCTATCTCTTCATGCTCTTAACAATGTCTTTCTCAGAGAAAAGGTTAATTTTAATGAAGTCAAACTTAACATTTTTTTTTCTCTCATGGTTCATGCGTTTGATGTCATATCTAACAATTCATTGCCAAACCCAAGCCCAAGGTCACCTAGACTTTTCTGCTGTTATATTCTAGAAGTTTCGTAATTTTGTGTTTTACAGTGAGGTCTACAGTCAATTTGGAGTTACGCTTTTAAAAGGTGTAAGGCCTAGATTAGTGTGTGTGTGTGTGTGTGTGTGTGTGTGTGTGTGTTTAGCAGGTATTCAGCTGTTCTAGCACCATTTTTTGAAAAGTCTGCTCTTTTCCCATTGAATTGTCTTCACTCCTTTGTCAAAGATCAGTTGCCTCCATTTGTGTGGGTCTATTTGTGGTCTCATTATTCTGTGCCTTTGATCTATTTGTCTATTCCTTCACCAATACCATATTACCTTAATTATTCTAGCTCTACAGTATACCTTTATATCAGGTGGTGTTGGTTCTCTCACTTTTGTTCTTCCATATTGTGTTGGCTGTTCTGGGTCTTTTGCCTTTCTGTATAAACTTTAGATTCAGTTTGTTGATATTCACAAAATAACTTGCTGAGGCTTGATTGGGATTACATTGACTGTGGATATATTTGGGAAGAAATCACATCTTTGCAATGTTGAGTCTTCCTGTCAATGAATGTGGAATATCTTTCCATTTATTGAAATCTTCTTTGGTTTAATCAGAGTTTTGTAGTTTTCCTCATATAAATCTTGCACATATTTTGTAAGATTTATTTCTAAATTGTTGCTGTCCTTCTCCTCCTATTCCCCCTCCCCTTTATCTTCCCACTTCCCATCTTACTCCTCCTCCTTTTTTTGTGGGTGCTACTGTAAATGGCATTATGTTATAATTAACTATTATTATGTTTTTAACTTCAGACTTCAATTGTTCATTGCTGGTATGTAAAAAAGCAATTGACGGCTCATGCCTGTGATTCCAGCACTTTGGGAGGCCGAGGCGGGCAGATCACGAGGTCAGGAGATCGAGACCATCCTGGCTAACATGATGAAACCCCGTCTCTACTAAAAATACAAAAAATTAGTGGGGCATGGTGGCGGGCGCTTGTAGTCCCAGCTACACAGGAGGCTGAGGCAGGAGAATGGCGTGAACCCAGGAGGTGGAGCTTGCAGTGAGTTGAGATTGTACCACTGCACTCCAGCCTGGGCGACAGAGCGAGACTCCATCTCAAAAAAAAAAAAAAAAAAAGCAATTGACTTTCCTATATTAATCTTATATACAGAAATCCTAATATAATCACTTATCATGCAGTTCCAGGAATATTTTTGTCAATTCTTTGGGATTTTCTACATAGACAATCATATCATCTGTGAAGAGAGACAGTTTTATTTCATCTTTCCCTATCTGTATAGCTTCCTTTTCTTGCTTTGTTGCATTAGTTAGAATTTCTATTACAATGCTGGCGAAGAGTGGTATGAGGTGACCTCCTTGCTTTTAGGGGGAAAGCATCTAGCTTCTCACCATTAAGTATGATATTAGCTGTAGCTCCTTTGTAGATGTTCTTCATCAGGTTGAGGGGGTTCCCTTTTATTTGTAGTTTGCTGAGAGTGTTTTAAATGATCATAAATGGGTTTCGTATTTTGTCAGAATTATTTTTTTCATCTATTGCATCTACTGATAAAGAAAAAGAGATTTTCTTTTCTAATATGTTGATGAGATGGATTGCATTAATTGTTTTTTGAATATTAAACAGCTTTGCATACTTTGGATAAATCCCACTCAGTGTATAATTCTTTTTATACAATGTATACATTGTTATATACTATACCATTTGAATGTATAAAAAGTTTTATATATATTCTTTTATTACCTTAATATTTTGTTGAGAGATGTTCATTTTTTGAACATGGCTCAAAATGGTATTTTTGCTCAAATAGTTCTTGAGCAAATGAACATCCTCCATGATCATTAATTTGCTCAAGAACTATTTGTGAAAAAGTCTATCCCATCTCCATTGAATTGCTTTTGCATCTTTGTAAAAAGTCAGTTGGTCATATTTGGTAGGTTTGTTTCTGGCCTCTCTAATCTGTTCCATCGATCCATGTGTATATCTCCCTACCAATATCATATAGTCTTAAATACTGTAGTTATATAGTAAGCTCTAACATTGGGAAGAGTGATTCTCCCACTTTACTCTTCATTTTCAATTTCCTTTTGCCTGTTCTGGCCCTTTTCTTTTCTATATAAATTTTATTTATTTAGTTAGTTTTGAGGCAGGGTCTCATTCTGTGCCCAGGCTTTAGTGCAGTAGCACTGCAGCCTCAACCTTCTGGGCTCAAGAAATCCTCCCATTTCAGCCTACTGAGTAAGCTGGGACTACAGGTGTTTGCCACATACTCGGCTAATTATTTATTACTATTTTTATTATTATTGTTATTCTTGAGACAGAGTCCTAGCTCTATCATACAGGCTGGAGTGCAGTGGGATGATCTTGGCTCACTGCAACCTCCGCCTCCCGGGTTCAAGCGATTCTCCTGCCTCAGCCTCCTGAATAGCTGGGACTACAGGCGTGCACCACCATGTCTAATTTTTGTATTTTTAGTAGAAACGGGGCTTCACCATATTGGCCAGGCTGGTCTCGAACTCCTGACCTCAAGTGATCTGCCCACCTTGGCCTCCCAAAGTGCTGGGATTACAGGCATGAGCCGCTGCACCCAGCCTTGGCTAATTATTTTATTTTATTTTTTATGAAGGCAGGATCTAACTATATTGCCAGGCTAGTCTCGAACTCCTGGGCCCAAGTGATCCTCCCAACTTGGCCTCTCAAAGCACTGGGATTACAGGTGTCAGCCACCAAGCCCGGTCCATATAAATTTTAGAATAATCTTGTCTATGTTTACAAAAATTTGGCTAGAATTTTGATATGGATCACATCATACATATGGATCAATGTGTGAAGAATTGACATCTTTAATAAGTTGACTCTTATAATCCATGAATATAGTTAAGTCTTTCCAACTATTTAGGCCTTCTTTGATTTCTTTTATCAGCATTTGGTAATTTTCAGCATACAGAATCTGTATATGTGTTTCTAGATTTATACGTAAGGTTTCATTTTCTTTGGAACAATTGTGAATGATTTGTTTGTATTTCTACCTGTTCATTTTTAGAATAGAAATGCATTAGATTTTTATGTGTTGATCTTGTGTCCGGCAATCTTACTGAGCTCTTTTACTAGTTCTGAAAGGTTTTTATGTAGGTTGCTTGAGTTCTTCTATATCGACAATCATGTCATCTGTAGTGGAAACAGTCATATTTTCCTTTCCAGTCTCTATGGCCCTTCTTTCCTCTTCTTCTTCCTCTTCCTCCTCCTCTACTTCTAAGTTGTCAAATTTATGATTTAAAAGTTGTAGTATTCCCTTACTATCATTTTAGTTTTTTCTGGCTTTATGAGGTATACTTGACAAGTAAAAATTGTATATCTTTAAGGTGTACAACATGTTTTGATTTATGCATAATTGTGAAACGATTACATTTAAGCTAACTTATTCATCACCTTACATAGTTATGATTTGTGTGTGTGTGCATGTGGTGAGAACACTTAAGATCAACTTTTTTTTTTTTTTTTTTTTTTTTGCGACAGAGTTTCACTGTTGTTGCCCAGGCTGGAGTGCAATGGTGCCATCTCGGCTCACTGCAACCTCCGCCTCCTGGGTTCAAGCAATTCTCCTGCCTCAGCCTCCTCAGTAGCTGGGATTACAGGCACCCACCACCACACCCAGCTAATTTTTTGTATTTTTAGTAGAGACAGGGTTTCACCATGTTTTCCAGGCTGGTCTTAAACTCCTGACTTCGGGTGATCCGCCTGCCTCAACCTCCCAAAGTACTGGGATTATAGGCATGAGCCACTGCACCTGGCCAAGATAAACTCTTTTAGTAAATTTCAAGTATTCAATACAGTATTGTTAACTGTAGTTACCATGGTGTACGTTGGATCTTCAGAATATATTCATCCTGCATAACTGAACCTTTGTACCCTTTGACCAACATTTCCCCATCCTTCCCCTCCAGCCCTTGTCAGCCACCATCTTATTCTGTGTTTTCATGAGTTCCAGTTTTTCAGATTGCACATGTGAGATGATGCAGCATTTGTTTTTCTGTGTCTGACTTATTTTACTTAGCATAATGCCCTCCAGGTTCATGCATGTTGTCACAAATGGCAAGATTTCCTTCCTTTTTAAAGCTGAATAATATCCCACGGTATATTAATATACCCATGTTTTCTTTATCTATTCATTTATCAGTGGACAAATGATAAGAGATAAGATTGTTTCCATATTTTGGCTATTGAGAATAATGCTGCGATAAACATGGGGGTGCAATATCTCTTTGAGACACTGATTTCATTTCCTTTGGATAAGTACCTAGTAATGTAATTGCTGGATCATATGCTAGTTCTTATTTATAATTTTTTTTTTTTTTGAGATGGAGTTTCACTCTAATCACCCAGGCTGGAGTGCAGTGGCACAATCTCAGCTCACTGCAACCTCCACCACCAGGGTTCAAGTGATTCTCCTGCCTCAGCCTCCCAAGTAGCTGGGATTACAGGTGCCCACCACCATGCCTGGAAAATTTTTTTGTGTTTTTAATAGAGACAGTGTTTCACCATGTTGGCCAGGCTGGTCTCAAGCTCCTGACTTCAGGTGATCTGCCCATCTCGGCCTCCCAAAGTGCTGGGATTACAGGTGTGAGCCACCATGCCTGGCCTTATTTATAATTTTTTAAGGAACTTCACACTGTTTTTTATAGTGGCTATACCAATTTACATTACAAACTATGCATAATGGTTCCCTTTTTTCCACATTCTCACCAACACATTATCTTTTGTGAGGGGTAAGGTGATATCTTTTTGTGATTTTGATGTGCATTTCCCTGAAAATTAGTGACGTTGAGCACACTTTCATATACCTGTTGGCCATTTGTATGTCGTGTCTTTTGAGAAATATCTATTCGGTGCCTTACCCCATTGCTTAATTGGGTTATTTGTTTTGCTTGTTCATTTGTTTGCTTTTGGGTTGTTTGAGTTTCTTGTATATTTTGAATATTAGCCCCTTATTAGATATATGGTTTGCAAATATTTTCTCCCACTCTGTAGGTTGTTTTTTTGTTCTGTGGATTGTTTCCTTTGCTGTGCAGAAGCTTTTCATTTTACACAATCCCACTGGCTTATTTTTGCTTTTATTGCCTGTGCTTTTTGTGTCATATCCACAAAACAATTGCTCAGACCAATGTCAAGAAACTTTTCCATTATGTTTTCTTTTAGTAGTTTTATGATTTCAGGACTTATGTTTAAGTCTTTAATCTATTTTCAGTTGATTTTTGCATATGGTATGAGAAAAAGTCCACTTTCATTCTTCTGCATATGGATATCCAGTTTTCCCAACAGTATTTATTGAAGAGACTATTATTTCCCCATTGTGTGTTTTTGGCACTCTTGTTAAATATCAATTGACCCACAGATGCATAGATTTGTTTCTGGGCTCTCTATTCTGTCCCATTGGTCTAAGTGACTGTTTTTATGTCAGTGCCATGCTGTTTTGATTACTATAGCTGTGTTATATATTTTGAAGTCAGGTAGTATAATGCCTCCAGTTTTATCTTACTTGCTCAAGATAGATTTACCTCCTTAGAGTGTTTTGTGGTTCCTTACACATTTTAGGTTTGTTCCTCTATAGCTATAAAAAAATGCCATTGGAGTTTTAATAGGGATTGCATTGAATCTTAGATCTCTTTGGGTAGTATGAACATTTTGACAATTTTTTCAATTTTCAATCCATGAACACAGGATGTCTTTCCATTTATCTGTGTCTTCTTTAATTTTCTTCATCATTGTTTTATAATTTTCAGTGTCAAGTTTTTCATGTCTTTGGTTAAGTGTATTCCTATTTTATTCTTTTTGTTGCTGTTGTGAATGGAATTGCTTTCCTAATTTCTTTTTCAGATAGTTCATTCTTTGTTATAGAAGCACAATTGATTTTTGTTATTTTGTATTCTGCAGCTTTACTGAATTCATTTATGAGGTCTATCTTTTGTTAATATTATTCTTTAATGTTGTTTTAATGATTGAAGGATTGATCTGTACTGATATTCCTGTTTTATTAGTGATTTTTTGTCTGACCTTGGTGATTTATGTTTTTTTTATTTTTGTAAGTCTTGCTAGAGACTTACAGATTTTTTCAGATTTTTTAAAGAACTGCTTTTTGTTTCACTGATTTTTTTCTATTCCTTTCCTGTTTTCGATTTTATTGAGTTATTCTATCTTCATTATTTCTTTCCTTCTGCTTGCTTTGTGTTTAGTTTGCTCTTCTTTTTCTAGTTTTGTGAGGTAGAAACTTAGAGAAATGATTTCAGACTTTTCCTCTTTTCATATATATATGCATATATATGACATTTATATATGTCATAAATTTTCCTTTTAACACTGCTTTAGCTGCATCTCACAAATTTTGACACATTTTGTTTTCATTATTATTCAGTTCAATATATTTTCAGATTTCTTCTGAGATTTACTTTTTGATGTTTAATTATTTAGGAGTGTGTTGGTTACTTTTCACATATTTAAAGATTTTCCTTTGTCTTTCTGTATTGATTTCTAGTATGATTCTCTTATGACCAGAAAACATACTTTGTATAATTTTAATTCTTTCAAATTTATTGATTTTTAAAAATCATCTAGGATATGGTCTATCTTGGAACATTCATGGATGTTTGAAAAGAATGTGTATTCTGCTATCTTGGGGTGGAATGCTCTAGAAATCATGCTGACTGACGGTATTGTTCAGTTCTTTATCCTTGCCAATTTTCTGTGTAATAGTCCTATCAGTTGCTGAAAGAGAAGTGATGAAGTGTCCAACTATAATTGTGAGTTTGTCTATTTTTCCTTTCACTTATTCCTTTTTTTTTTTTTTTTTTCTGAGACAGAGTCTCACTCTGTCACCCAGGCTGGAGTGCAGTGGCATGATCTCGGCTCGCTGCAACCTCTGCCTCATGCGATTCTCCTGCCTCAGCCTCCCGAGTAGGTGGGACTACAGGCGCACACCACCATGCTTGGGTAATTTTTGTATTTTTGGTAGAGGCAGGGTTTCACCATGTTGGCCAGGCTGGTCTCGAACTCCTGACCTCAAGTGATCTGCTTGCCTCGGTTCCCAAAGTGCTGGGATTACAGGCATGAGCCACCAACATGTGTAGATGGCATGTAGTTGGGTAGTGTATTTATATCTATTTTTGCCAACCTCTGTCATTGAACTGATGGATTTAGATTAGAATTGATATTTAGGGTTTAAGTCTGTCACTGTATTACTTGTTTTCTGTTTCTCATTTCCTTTTCTTTTCCTTCCTGTAGATTACCTCAGCATTTTCTAGAATTCCCTTCTACTTTATTCATGTATTTAAAAATCATATAACCTTGTATTGTCCTCCTGGTGATTGTACTCTCTCTCTCTCTCTATATATATATATATGCACACACACACATATACATATGTATAGATGTAACTTATCATAGCCTCCTCATATAAAAATGGTACCACTTTGAGTGAAGTATTGAATGTTTACTTCCATTTAGGCCCCTTGACACTTCCTACTTTTTAAATAAAATGTTCCTAAGTATTTTACATTGAGCACTACATCATATGGTGTTAGGTTTGCTTCAGCCATCAAATATGATTTAAGAAACTTTCGAGAAGGTGAGTCTATTGCCTTTACCTCTATTTTCACCCAGTGTGCCAGCCTGCTAAGACTGCCGTAACAGCATACCACAGGCAGGCAGCTTAAACAACAGAAATGGATTTTCACACAGTTCTGCGGGCTGGAAGTCCAAGATCAAGGTGCCAACAGGAGTGTTTCTCATGAGCCTCTCTTCTCAGGGTGCAGACGGCTGCCTTCTTGCTGTGTCCTCACATGGCCTTTTCTCTATGCAAGTGTGTCGCTGGTATCTCTTCCTTTTCTTATATAAACAACAGTCCTCCTGGATTAGGGCTTCACCCTCATGACCCCATTTTACCTAACAACCCGTTTACGGGCCCTATCAAGAAATACAGTCACATCGGGGATTGGACTTTCAACACGTGAATTTTAGAGGAATGCAATTCAGTCCAGATTGCTTTTTTCTATTCAGAAAAAAAATTAAACAATTCATGAATTTCTGTGTCATCCTTGTGCAGGGGCCATGTTAATTTTCTCTGCATGGTTTCAATTTTAGTCTAAATGTTGCCAAAGTCATCGTGCCAATAGGTTTTTGAATACTTAAATAACTGCTATTGACTGAGTCTCTTTCTCACCATAGAACTTGGAATTTAGAAATTTTTAATGATATAGACTCATTTTCAAAAGCAAGTTAACATCTCTTCATCTCAGTTGACAGGACCTCAACATACCCCTAAAGCATTATACGTTTACCAGTGTATTGGGGCAGTTGGTGACATTTGAATTAGTCTGTAAATTAGATAATAGTATTATGGCAACCTTCAACTTCCCGAATTTCGTCATTTTACTGAAGTTATGTAAGGGAATAACCTTTTTATTGGGAGATATATGAGGAAGTTATTTAGGGGCTAAGGATCATTATATCTGTAAATCACCCTCAAATGATGAAATCTGAACATAATTAAGTGCATATGCAAGTATCTACACATATATGCAAAGAGAGAAAGAGAGACGTGAAACATGTTTTATGAGACAATGTGACAAAATGTTTACGATTGATACATCTAGCTGAAGGAGTCATTTTATTATGACTGCAACTCATGTGTAAGTTTGAAATGTTTTCTAAATTAACAGTTTGAAACTTACACATTAAAAAACAAAAAACCCCACTTTACCTGGAGGTATCATGCATTCCAAGATAAAAATAGAATGAGTTCTACTTTTTCTTCTGTAAATACTATTATTAGTAAAGACAGATTTACTAGAAAACAAAATTACGATGTGAACCTCAACTGTATTCAGTAGTCAGTGCGTGTTTCCAAGCATGGATAAGAGCGTCAGAGAATTAATAATAATCAATTGTTATTGATTTCCTTGGGATATCTTGGGAGACCCAATGGTGTTGTCTGAGATGGGGGATGCGGGGAATGTGGGCTAACCCTAAGCAAATGGACGAGTTTACTTGGAGTTAGAAATAGTTTGAAACAAAATCTGGAAGCAAAGAAATTTTCTGCAGTTGAAGACTGGAAGAAAACCAACTAGATTCCTGTACTCAGACAGTCAATTGGATAGTGTTCTGATTAAAGTGGGTGGTTACTTATGTAAACCCTTGAAAACAAGGACACGTATTTGAGAACTCAGGTAACTAATTTGACAGACCATTTCAGAGCAGTGAAACATTCAAAATGGGTTGGGAAAATGAAAACATAAAAAAGAAACAGAGGCCATGCACTGTGGCTCATGCCTATAATCCTAGCACTTTGGGAGGCTGAGGCAGGAGGATCACTTGAGGCCCTGGTTTGAGGCCAGCCTGGGCAAGATAACAAGACCCTGTCTACACATACACACACAAACACACACACACACACACATAGACACACACGTAGGCAGGTCTGTGGCCAGGGCGTTGGGGCCCCTGTTATAAAGGACGCAGATGAACGGTCAGGTGGGGAATATGCAGGGTGAGGTCTGAAGGGTCCTGAGTGCAGCAGCTGGGGGGTGCCACCCTCCTGGCACCTGGATACGTTTACTAACCTGGAAGCTCATCAAATACAGTTATTAAGAGATTTTATAGAGGTTGATTACCAGCACCCCCACTCCCTTTCCCAGAGGCAGGTGGGTGAGGCTGAAAGTTCCCACCCTCTACTGGCATGGTCTTTCTCATGCCCACCCCATCCTGAGGCTGTCCCAGGACCCAGCCTCGCTTACTTTGTTAGCAGGCACTCAGGTGTGATGGGAAGGGGCTCCTGGCCAACACCAAAGACAGCCCTGACACTCAGGAAAGGCGTTTAGGGGCTGCGTGCCAGGAATGGGGGACAAAAACCCAATTTATTTAAAATAAAATTTTTTAATTTAAAAATTGTTTCAGAAATTAAAAAAAAATAATTTTTTTTTTTTTTTACTTTTGAAAGCTGTTTAACTTTTTTTTTTTTTTTTTAAATGAAATAGATTTCTTGTCATTCCACAGGGTGGTAGAGATCAAATCCAGGATGGGACATGAGGGCTTAACCCTAACCCTAACCCCTAACAGGAAAGACCTGTGCTTCTCAAGCAGGGGAAGCACCCCCAGGAACTGAGGAGAAAAGGGCCCTTCAAGAGCAGGTAGTGCACAATTCCTGGGCATTGACTGCACCTGAAGATACGCGCAAAAAACCATTCTTACAACGAGAAAGCAAACACAAGTACTTTAAGCAGTAAAAGGAAAGTTAACGAGATTTTTTGAGTAAAACATGTGACTTCAAAGAGATTTTTACCCTTGAAGTGAGCTGAGTCCCAGATGTGCTGGGCTGTGAAGTCGCCTTCCTCTGACACTGGTGGGTCTTCAGGGAAGCCGGGGAGAAACTGTATTAGTCTGTTTTCACCCTGTTGGTGAAGACATACCTGAGACTGGGTAATTTATAAAGAAAAAGAGGTTTAATGGACTCACAGTTCCACATGGCTGGGGAGGCCTCACAATCATAGTGGAAGGCAAAAGGCATGCCTTACATAGCCGCAGACAAGAGAGAGTGAGGACCAAGCAAAAGGGTTTTCCTCGTAGAAAACCATCAGATCTCGTGAGACTTACTCACTGCCATGAGAACGGTATGGGGGAACTGCCCCTGTGATTCAATTATCTCCTACCAAGTCCCTCCCACAACAAGTGGGAGTGATGGGAGCTACAATTCAAGATGAGATATGGGTGGGAACACAGCCAAACCATACCAGAAACAGTACCTTTTTTTTTTTTTTTTTTTTTTTAAGATCTATAAATATAAAGGCAGTGTAGAAACCTCAGGGAGCCTGGACTTGGCACAGCCTAGAACTAACACAGTTCAGATTCGCTTTGCCTGGAGGACTGGAAGGATGGGCCTGCCTGGGGTATGAGAGACCAGAGCTTTCTGGCAAAAATCCTCAGCCCAAGGTTAGGCACAGTGCAAATTTGGTCCCAGGACATCAGGCCAGTTTGAGAGGCCCAAAGAGCTATGCCTGAGTCCCAGAGGCCAGTGGATTAGTTCAAGAACATTAAACCAAGGTGTGTGTTGCAAGAAATTTCGCTAAGGTGTTTGTTGCAAAAGATACATTAAAATCTTAAGTCCTGGGGCCTGTGAAGTGGCCTTCTTTGGAAATAGGATTTTTGCAGATGACATCGAGATGTGAGCTAGGATGAGGTCATCAGGGTGGGTCCTAATCCAACATGACTGATGTCCTTACTGAAGAACATCTGAAGAGGAGGAGAGACACACGGGGTCATGGCTGTGTGAAGACGGAGGTGGAGACCGGGCTGACGCACCAGCAATGCCAGAAGAGGGAAGAGGGGAGGGAAGCTTCCCAGGAGGGAGCACGGCCCTGCCGATACCGTGATGTCAGGCTTCTGGGATCCAGAACTGTAAGGGAACAAATTTCTGTTGTTTAAAGGCACCCAGTTTGTGATGCTTTACAACACACCACAAATGATGGATGACGAATACAGCATCCATCATAACACAGAAGCCCAGTGACCCAGCAGCCGCGGTGGCGCGCTCTGGCAATTTCCAAAGAGACCGCTGCTAGCGTCCCAGCAGTTATATCCACACTGAGTTAGACACTAATGGGGTTTGGGACACAAGACCCTGAAATCTGGCACCTTGCATATTCCCGCAGTTCACTGCCATCAGGTGACACCCGCTCTGTGTACTCACCCTTTTCCACCACTGTCCGCTCTCCATCAAGCTTAGCCTAAAGATACACAGGCCTCCCTGTGCCTTTTGGTCTTCATATCTAAAGGTGCCTGTGTCATGTAAAAATTACATACAATGAAATAAATTCGCCTGCTTTTCTCTTGTTTATCTGTCTTTTATGATAGGTGTCTCAGCCATAAACCTAGCAATGGGTGAGGAAATAACTTTTTCTTCCCTTACAGAACTGGATTCAGCACCGCAAAACTGAAACCGCCTCCAGAAAAGAGCCTCTTGCGAGAACGCAGAGGCTTGCCTTTCTCTCCTGTCGCTGAGAGTCCCTGGCTGGCTTGGGGACCCCATGGTGCTGCTCGCTCTTGCCTGTTGCTGGTGGGGGCTTCCTGCTCCTGACCTCATACTACCTCTGCGGCAGAGGGCCTGAGACAGAGGGGATCCCTGCCCATCCCGCCAGCCCTCTTCTCAGGAAGCTTCTGGAATCTCCACCCAAAAACTTCACTGACATTCTGCTGACCAGAGCGTGGTCATATGGCCACCCCATCTCACAAGGGGGCTGGAAAAATGCATTTTCTTCAGCTGCGCACCTTATACCCCACAGCAGTACCTACGGGCCTGGTAGTGAGGAAGAGGATGGGTAACGGAAGTTAGGTCAGCAGCTAGCAGTGTTGGCCACCAGGGGAGAGTCACAGCCACTTTCTGGGCCTGGTGGTGACTTCACATTGGTTGCCAGGAGGATGATTTTGAAGATACCGTAAGTGTTAGTAATAGTAACGCTGCTACCGGAGTGCTAGGAATGATGGCAGCTGGGGCTGGAGCTCCTGCTGAGCTGGGGAGAGAGAGCCTGGCTGTGCTTTCTTGTTTCAGTTTGTTTTGCTTTGTTTGTTTTACCTGCAGGCCTGTCGAGCCCTCTTGTAACTAATCTTCCAGTGTCTGCCGCTGAAGGTGTCCAGTAGCTAACTTCAGGACTCTGTCATCCCCTCTTCATTTGGGGGAATTTCCTCTACTTACTTGAAACATTCAGATTTTCCACTGTCAGTTTTGGGTGAATGAACTATGCTTATTACTTTTAATAAAAGTCTTCAAAATCTCATCAGTGCCATGTCTTTTTCTTAGGCCTTGAAAATCATTCTTGGTTTATTTTTGAGAAATATTTAGGCCAGGTGTCGTGGCTCATGCCTGTAATCCCAGCACTTTGCGAGGCTGAGGCAGGAGGATTACTTGAGGCCAGGCTGGGCCACATATCGAGATTCCGTCTCCACAAAAACTAAAAAATTAGCCAGATGTCATGGTGCATACCTGTAGTCCCAGCTACTTGGGAGACTGAGGTGGAAGGATGACTTGAGCCCAGGAGCTTGAGGCTGCAGTGAGCTATGACACTGCCAGTTCACTGCAGTATGGGCAACACAGTGACACCCTGTCTCAAAAAAAACACCAACATTAATTTAAAAAAATTCAAATAGTCATGAAAATCGTTCTTGATTTCAGTTTTAGAGTGCTGCTTATTATTTTGAAAGACTTAATCTTAGTTAAATTGTATGTTCTGTTTCCAAATTTCTCCTTACTTGTAACTTAAAATTGATGTCTCCTTTATATATTGAAATGTCGTTTCTGAGATATTTCAGTCGTGAGATTTTTTTCGGTTTGGTGCTATTCTGGTGTCTAATAATAATCACTTAGGAAAAAACACAAAGATAATTTCCCAGGCTTAAGTGTTTTTTTTCTTTAGTAGATTCAATGTACCTTTAATTTCACTAAACACATATTGAGAGATTCACTTCCCATTTTTACACAGAGCCCGTCATAATGTCCTAATTAATAAGTGTGCTCCATATACTTGGGACTAAAAGAACAGAAAATTTTCCTGTTTGGATAAAAGTCCTGATGCTCATGTTTGACAGCGATACATGCTATTTTGGGGAATTTAACAGGATGAAGCGATGCCTAGCGACCCGAGGCTGCATTTTTTTCTGCCTTGTTTGACGCACACACACCCTGTCTTGTTCCCATACCAGCCCTGCCCCGCAGCAGCCGCATGTCCGCTGTGCATTTTGTGTTTGTCGTGTACCTGTGCAAAGCCCATGTTGTTCTGTCTGCATGTTCTTGTCTCCTCTGTTCCTTTTTTCCATTCAGTGCCTCCAGGTCTCTATGTCTGTCTCGAATCCGATGCTTCTCAGCACTGCACCATCATCTGTGGTGAGGCTTCCACTCCATTTTCCTTATCTGTTGTCCCTGGATGGTTTAGATTTGTGAAAGGGGCATTAAAGACAGGTCAGAGTAACCAACTGTGGTAACATCAGATGGAAGAGTGGCCCAGGCCAGGGAGACCCTGTGCAAAACCTCAGGTGGGAGTAAGCCTGCCGCTTACAGAGAACAGAAGTCAGGCTGGCCTCACTTGCACCGAGGGCATGGCTATAGGAGGATGCATAGAGGTAGAAGGGGCCAAATTAGACAGCCGACCTCCCTGAAAAGGGACTCCTGAGAAATTGAAAGGCAGAAATGGTCAATTCTCTTTAACCAGCTAAAGCGTTTGAAATTCCCACTATGTGCCAAGTTTTCTGCAGACTGTGTCTTCACCCTTACAATGGATTCAGTGTTGTGGTCCTTACTGTACTGATGAGGCTCAGGAGGCTCTGAGCTGAGTCACTCATCACAGTCACAGGAAAAGAGCCGGCCTGGGATTTCCACCCAGAACAACTCCACTCGCCCATACAGGCGCCCCTGCATCTCCACAGTGCAACAGACCGCAAGACCCTGCTGTCCTGAGTGACGGTGAGTTGAGCCAGCCATGAAGGACCTCTGGGTTTTCTCTCAGAGATGACTGAAGGAAAAGAGTATGGGCAAATCTGAAAGGAGATTAAGAACTGAAATCCCCAGGCCAGGCATGGTGACTCGCCTGTAATCCCAGGCACTTTGGAAGGCTGAGGTGGGTGGATCACTTGAGGTCAGGAGTTCAAGACCAGCCTGGCCAACATGATGAAACCCCATCTTTACTAAAAATACAAAAAAATTAGCCAGGCATGCTGGCACACACCTGTAATCCCAGCTACGCGTGAGGCTGAGGCAGGAGAATCGCTTGAACCTGGGAGGCAAAGGTTGCAGTGAGCAGAGATTGTGCCATTGCACTCCAGCCTGGGCGACAGAGCAAGACTCTGTATCAAAAAAAAAAAAAAAAAAAGAACTGAAACCCCCAAAACTTGTGAAACCAGCCCCAAGAATAACAGAAACAAATGAGGAGAGAACTATTAATATTGCAGTATATCTGATACATTTGTATAAACTTAACCAGAAAATAAAGGAGCTAATGCAGTAGCTGGCGTCTGTTACGATGAAATGCTGTCATGATACAGATGAGCAGCCTCTGGAGCCATCTGAGCAGAAGCCCGCTAGGGAAGCAATGGGGCCACGCCTCACAGCTGGGACTGGGAGCCACGCCTCACAGCTGGGACTGGGAGCTCCCACTGACATTTGGTTTCCGAGCCACTCCGGCTGCACTCGCAATCTTAGCCTTGAAGTCCAGTAGGTACCTTGCACCTTCTCTCTGGATGGGCCCCAACAGTGCAAAACAATAGGGTACATTTTCTGCTTTTAAAATTGTAGTGAAAAATTGGAGGAACACACTTGGCTGATAGAATGAATAAAGTGTGGTAATGAAGAATATTTGTAAGAAGATCTGTCTCATTTCCCTCTTAGGGCCTTCTTTCTTGACTCATAGAGGAAAAAAAGTGTCAACAGTGAGAAACTGCAGAAAAACTACCCAAAGGACAGGGAGGGTGAGCTGCCTGGGGCTCCTGAATCATTTCTGCAGGGTCTCTGTGCCTCCTTCCTTCCTTCCTCCACCCACAGGGTCTTTAGACACCCTGATTGATGGAGTCGCTGTGAGCCTGAGAGAAGGCCCAAGGTGTTGGAATTTCAGAGTGAAACTCAGAAGAATCGATAGTGGAGAAGAAAATAAAGGAAGCAGATCCAGCTTTCTTCATCGTGAAAATAGTAGTGGATCCTGGCCGAGGCACTGGGTGAATGTTAGTAAAGGCCGGGAGTGACCTTTACTAACCTGAAAAACAAGTCACAAAGCCAGCTGTGCCTGGCTTCATCTTCCAAGAGCATGTCAGGGATCAGTGTGTCACCTTATTGATACTGGAGCGTCTTAGGGTCCGTGCAAATTCCTGAAACTCATGGAATTTAATGGACAGATCTTCCTCCAGGGACTTACTGTCCTGGATTATGAAAACTACAACTGGACTTTGCTTACTTTATTCATCAGGCTCTAGGTGACCCATGGAGGCTGCAGAATTCTGCCGCCGTTAAATGTGTACTCATAAACACAGGGATATACCAACTTAAACAGCACACAGCTCTTCAGTGGACAAGGAGGGAGTTTGACAAGATGCTCTTGGTAGGGACTCATTTTGACCATAAAATTCTATAAACATAAGTATTTAGAAATCTAGGGACCAGGTTACAACCACCACTCTAACTGGATTAACTGGAAACACACACACACACGCACACAGAGGCATTTCATTGATGAAACAAATCCTGTCATATAACTAATACAGTCTAGCTTTAAATCCTATTCATCAAGCAAAGAATCCAATGGCAAACTGAGTGCATGTTTTGGGGCTGTCTGTAAGATATCCCAGTCTCTGTTTATTTCCAGTTGCTCTTCCCAACCCATACTCGACTATAGCGTGTCCCTCAAATGGGCTACACCATAGCAATCACCTGCGTACTTGATAAAAACACACAGCGCCCAGGGCTTTCCCCTAAGATTTTGATTTAGGGGGTCTGGTTGGGATGCAGAACCTGTATTTTTATCACACTTCTCATGTCATTCCTTTGATTCTGATGATTAGATAAGTCTGGGAAATCCTGACTTAAGTAAACTGCCCACGACTATTGCTGGCCCAGTTACATCTCGTTTAAGTGAAATTACATCTGGCTTAAATGAAATGATGGTTCCTGATCATAGCACTGATCCTTTGGAGCACCGAATGAGAACGCATTTGGATTGATCTATAATGGTTTCCTCATCACAGACCTTGGGGTGGTCTCAGAACTTTCTGCTACACAATCATTCTCTTAGCCCTTTCATTTTTTTTCCTTTTTTATTGAGACAGGGTCTCACTCTGTCACCGAGGCCAGAGTGCAATAGCGTGATCTTGGCTCACTGCAACCTTTGCCTCCCAGGCTCAAGTGATCCTCCCACCTCAGCCTCCCGATAGCTGGGACTACAGGTGTGTGCCACAAATGCCTAGCTAATTTTTTGTATTTTTCTTGGAGATGGGGTTTTGCCATGTTGCCCAGGCTTGTCTTGAACTCCTGGGCTCAAGCAATCCTCCTGCCTCAGGCTCCCAAAGTGCTGGGATCACAGGTGTGAGCAGCCACTCCGGCTTGCCCTTTCATTTTCCCTTAGTTTTATGTTCCTAGTTGTTTCTTGGCTAACTTTCATCTGTTTGAAATTTTCTCTAACCTAACATTCTATTACTCAGAATGCAATTGGGTTTTATTTTAGCTTTTAAGCTACCTTTATGTATTTTAAAATTATTTTCTCCTCATTTTTAAAATTTAGAATGACATAATTTATGGCACTATTTTTGAATCCTTAAAATATTATTTTAAATACTGTACATAATACCATCTTTCACTGTGTTATGCTAAGACAACATCCATCTCTTTTTTTACCAGTCTTAGCTTAGGTATCTAGCGCTCTATCCGACATCTTGATCTCCAGCGGCAGGAGCTTTACCTTCTTGACCAATTGACACTGGAAAGTCAAGGTGGAGGTCAAGTCAAAGCATCATAAGTGTCAGCTGGGGAGAATATGTGCTAAATGTCATCATCATGGAAAATTTTACAGTATGTACCTACTGTACAATTGCAATACATTGATTTGCACGTTGGCAATATAAAGAGGTTTAAATTCTCATCTTTGACAATCTTAAATTCTAGCTGCAGAGGTTAAGATGTGAATGTAAAACATTTTTTAAAAAGCGGAGGTTAAGATAGGAACGTAAAACATTTTTTTAAATTAAATATTTCTTTCAGAACAGGATTATTTATAAATCAGATGAGAAAGATTCCCAAAGCAAAATCAATCTTTGATGCTTGTATCAGATGTGTTCTATCTCCTTGTAATATGGAATTCTTCAGAAGGTAAGTTCCTTTCTAAAACATATCTTTTTTTTTTATTTTTTTTTTTGAGATGGAGTCTCGCTCTGTTGCCAGGCTGGAGTGCAGTGGTGCGACCTCGGCTCACTGCAACCTCCGCCTCCCGGGTTGAAGCGATTCTCTTGCCTTAGCCTCCTGAGTAGCTGGGACTACAGGCTCATGCTACAATGCCCAGCTAATTTTTGTATTTTTAGTAGAGACGGGGTTTCACCATGTTGGCCAGGATGGTCTCGATCTCTTGACCTCGTGATCCACCCGCCTCGGCCTCCCAAAGTGCTGGGATTACAGGCATGTGCCACCATGCCTGGCTCTAAAACTTGTCTTAATCTATTTTTTTATATTGTTATTATTTTTTTTGAGACGGAGTTTCACTCTTGTTGCCCAAGCTGGAGTGCAATGGCGTGATCTCAGGTCACTGTAACCTCCATCTCCCAGGTTCAAGTGATCCTCCTGCCTCAGCCTCCTGAGTAGCTGGGATTACAGGTGCTTGCCACCATGCCTGGTTAATATTTGTATTTTTAGTAGAGACAGGGTTTCACCATGTTGACCAGGCTGGTCTTGAACTCCTGACCTCAGGTGATCTGCCTTCCTCGGCCTCCCAAAGTGCTGGGATTACAGGCGTGAGCCACCGTGCCTGGCTCTTAATCTATTTTAAATACAACTTTGCACAGCCATATTCACAGTCTTTCATATTAGATATATTAAGGAATTGCTATTCTATAAAATGGTATTAAAACTATTTGCCAGTAAAGGAAGGACATATGTCTAATCAATAGGAAAGAACCAGGCATAATGTAAATGTAAAAAGTAAACAACAGTAACCCCTGGCCTTTGAGACTGTCAAGGAATTTAGGAAGCAGAAGGTAGAGGTGAGAGAAAAGTGGACATCATCTTTGAGGATCAAGAACAATTCCCTCAGGACTAGAAACTGACAAATTATATTACTCATGTCAACTGAAAATTAGCATTGCCCCTACCAAATATGCATGTATTGACAGAATAGAAATAACTCTCAGGAATGCACCTGCCAACAGAGCGTGGACTGTATCACTCCCTGAGCAATGACACTACATTTCCAATACCACACTGGGCTGGGCTGTAGGTGCAGAGTCAATAATGAGCACAATTGCATAATTGGTAGATAAGACAAATCCAAAACTTAACATTAGAAAGACATACTGTAATAATGGCAAAAGAGAGGAATAGAGATTGAGGAGAGACATTTCAAAACCTCTCCATTGTCTACCCTAACTGCACGCCTATGGTAGCTCCATCCACTAATCTTGGGCACACCAGGCACAGTCCCTGTTGCCTTATACATAGTATACTTGTATACCGTCTAACGCTCAGCAAAACCTCGCAAGATGGGTACTGTTACCTTTGCAATGTTACAGAGAAGAAAGTTGAGGCTCAGCATGAGATGTAGCCTGGTCAGAGTCAGGATGGTGGAGGAGGTAAAATCTGCCCTCTGGCCTGCTGAGTCCAAATCCCGTATAATCTGTGTGTGCCTTCACTGCAGCTGTGTGAAGATTGGCCTCCCTATTCCCCTGATACTGAACAGGTCCACAGTGTACCCAGGTGGACAGAGCCCAGTACCCGGCCCGAGGTCACTCCCTACATGGGAGAGTTTGGACTGGAACTTCCTTCATCTGGCCCCAAGCCCTCTTTCATGAGCTGGGGGTAGGTGAAGCAAGCCAGAGAGTGGGGATCTGGTCAGTGGCGGGCAGTGCCCATCCCCCAGGTAGAAGGGACTGTAGGGTACAAAGGGAGGTGTGGAGATGGGGTGGTAAGGAGCTGAGAAACCACATTCTGTCTTTAGAGCCATTTTGAAATTAGGATGAGTTGAGATGGTAGCAACCAGCTCTAAAACTGGGGCCTTTTTCCTCAACAAAGAATTTGAAAGCTGTGCCAGATCTGCTGGAATGTCCTCTTGGCTCTGCAACAAGGGAGATGGGTGGTTCCTAGCTCCTCCAGAGTCAGCCCTGGCCAGATAGAAGGCAATCTTCTCCAGAAACCAACCAGCCCACCGCGAGGATGCTTCCCATGGAGCAATTTAACAGAACGTCCAACTGGGAGAATCCTGCAGATTGTCACTGCAAAGGAGTGGCTTTGTGGTCATTTGCAGGGAGAGGTGTCTCTCTCATTTAGTGACCAATTCAGGCCCCGGCTATTAGCATTTGAATCAGGCAGCCGTGCTGTTTTGGTTGAAAAGAGAAACCAAGCCTTTGTTGTTGCAATTTAAGGGCTTAAGTAATTTTCTAGCATCCTTTAATCAGCTTGAATAGTTGGGGAAATGGCAACATATAGGAATAGTGTGTTCTGGCCTCGGAAATGCAAATGCCGCCCCTGGTCCTGAGGCTTTCCCACGGGAGCCTGGATCCTGCATGTGGCAGCTCCTGGGGATCGGAGGGTGTCTCTTGGCCAGCCATCCTTTCCATCAGAATTTCATTGAGCATCTTCAGAATATTCTCTTTGTTTGGATTAAACCAATCCAAGTAATTACAGAAACACAGCAGGGCTGGATCGAAATGCTGGTGGTCTAGGTCTTTTTTTCTTTCAGCCAATCCATATATATTTCTCACACACAAAAGGAGGCAAAAGGTGGAAGGTATGTGGCCCGTCCAAGGATAATATCCAAGTAGCTTAGTGCTTAACCTTCAGTGAAGGTAAGGCTCCTTCCAGGTGGCATGGAGTTATTTCAAGTAGTTTATGGCATTTAATTTACATGATTAGGAAACATCCTATTTAGTTTTGTAGCTAATAAAAATTACAAATTTTAAGTTTAAAAAGATGGAAGAACAAGTTTTCAAAAATCCTGTTTGCTCTTTTCCCTTTAGTTTGCATTGCATTTTCTTTTTTTAATTGTACTTTCAATTAATATTTGACAAATAATAATTATATGTATTCATGGGGTACATGGCAATGTTTTGATACATATATAGTGATCAGTGCTCTCTGTGGCTGTAGGATGGCTACAGTTAACAATAATATAGAATATAGTATCAAACAGCTTAACAGAGGATACTGAATGTCTCCAACACAAAAAATGAGAAATGTTTGAGACGATGGATGTGCATTGCATTTTCTTCTTTATAAATTATATTTCGTAATTGAAAAATAATAATTGTACTTATTCATGGGGTACATGGTGATGTTTCAATACATATAATGTATAGTGATCAGTGCTCTCTGCTGCTGTAGGATGACTATAGTTAATGATAACATATTGTATAGTATCAAACAGCTACACAGAGGATATTGAATGTCTCCAAAGCAAGGAAATGACAAATGTGTGAGATGATGGATGCACACTACATTTTCTTACAGTGTGTGTATAGAGACATGAAGATCTAGGATTCTCAGACATGGAGATGACCGAGCAAAACTCTTTTGGAAAACAAAGTGTCTTCGGAACAGTTGACGTGTCTGCAGCCAACCTCAGAATTTACCCAAGTCTGTTTATTTTGCACACAGCGGGTTGAACAGAAGCCCTGAAACCTGTGGATGCTCCTCTCCGCACAGTGAGGGGCTTCAATTCCTGGACCAAACAGACAGTGACCGGGCTGACCCTCAACCTCCTTGCTGAGCGTCCGAGGACAGGGGTCTGCAAAGCTCCCAGAGGTTGCTGCAAGCCCACCAAGCCCGGCCAGTGGGGAGTTGCCAGGGCCCCTTGCCTTTGGAAGAGCCTCGCCTTGGGGCTCCCTGCTAGGGAGGACGTGAGAAGGCAGCCACTCTGAGAGGTTCAGAGATAGCAAACGGCGAAAAGTCCTCCTTACTGCTGGGCCAGGCCAGGCTCACAACCATGCCAAAGCGCTCCTGGCATGAAGACACCGTTTCAGAAGGCATCCATGCACACCAGACCGCATTCCCTCTACTATTCCAGCTAAAATCTGTGCTTGCTTCCTTTCCCCACTTCACTTCCCCTCAAATAAGACAGGCAACTTGGCTCAACTAGGTCTGGCCCACTCCCTTTACTTCCTCTTCCTCTTTTCTGCTACCCCATCACTTCCTCCAGGAAGCCTTCTTGGATCTCTGGCCTTCACTCACCAACTCCTGCAGAAACTGGGGCTGAAATTACCTTCCTTGAATTACATTCTTTAGCTGTTTGAGAAGTAGAAGTGCCTCGGAGGCAGGTACCATTTCCTCTGATTACTGTGTCTCCTCCAATAGGCCTGAGTGCTTTCCCAAGAAAAGCAATTTGTCAGCAGCTGTTCCTAGGAGCTGATAAGAGACTGTGTGTTTGTTTCTGCCTTGGTGCTTGCTGTGTGGTGTGTACAGAGACAAATGGCCTGCAGGGCCGCGGGGCACCTGTCTTGCCTCCACATGAAGGGGAATCAGCCCCGACCTGCTGCTCTGTGGCCCTTTGGGCACCTCGCAGCCCTCCTCAGAGTCCCGGATGGCTCTGATGTCAGCCCAGCTGGGGAGCATCAGGCATTCATTTATTGGCTCTAGAGCCAATAATTCATTTATTGGCTCTAGAGCTGGTTCAAAAGTGAAACAGCAAGGACAAGAATGACTTCATGTCCACACAGAGCTGTCGTGAGAACCAAGTGAGGGAGTGCAGGGAAGCTTTCACTGCAGTGTTAGCAGAGAGACCTCCTTGTGACTGTCACCAGAGGGCAATAATTCGACCTGGGACAGGGCCCACAGGTAACCTGCACTCCCTTGGCCTCCAGGGCTGGACGAGGTCTGAAGGGAATTCCCCGTGGAGCACAGCCTCCTGGCCTCTGTCCCCATGATGTAGGTGGGGGAGGGGAGGGGACACTGTGCACTGAAGTTGTATCTTTTATTAGCATTAAGAGAACTAGGCACTTCTGAGTGCCTCTCTGTTCCAGGCAAGCTGCAAACTTCTTCATAAAAGTGATGTCACTTCACCTTGAGCCCTGTGAGTAACTAATCATTGTCACATATTGCAGATCAGAAAACTGAGGCTCAGAGAGGCTAGAGAGGCACATTCATGCTCACAGCCCGCGAGCAGCAGAGCCGGTACCGAAATCCTAACCTGTTCCGGGAGGCATCTGCTTCCACAGAGGGTGCTCTTTCAGCTCCCAGCTTCTTGGGTTTAGACCCGTTAGATACCAGGCTTTATTTGTAATTCTCTTCCAGAGTAAAAGGGAAATACAGTTTCTGTGGCTCTAATAATAGGTGGGTTTTAATGTCCCTCATACACGATCCATACAAGGCATGCGTGCAAGAACGCACGCGGCCTGCGATGTGGGGGGCTTTGTTCATCCTCCTTCCCTCAAGATGAATCCCTGCCCAAGGATTCCAGCAAGAAAAAATATTGAGGACATTATAACAACAGCCACTGTGTATTCAAGGAGTGCTGAGTCCGACAGCTTTCTCCTGTGTTTGCTTTTCTCTGTTTGGTGCTACCCCCAGCCAACTGCGGAGGGGAGCGGCTGGTTTGCAGATGTGGATGAAGAGGGCAGAGCTGGAGGTCTGGCCAGAGTCCGGTGGGTCAGGAGCAGCACAAGTGAGGCCTTGTCCTTCCTTAGCTCTAGATCTGGGGGTGGGGGGACGTGGAGTCGGAGAGCTGGAATTGTGAGTGTCTGGCGTTTCCCCACTAGGTAGCACTGGACTTCATAACCTGAGTTTCTGTGGAAACAGAAAAGGCATCAGTAGACAGTGGCTACCACCTAGGATTCAGAAAGGTCCAGTCCATTTGCACTCCACTGGATCTTGATGTGGAGGTGATTTAATTCTGGATCTTGATGTGGAGGTGGCCAGAGGACAGAGAAGTCAGCTTTGGTTTTAGAGAAATAAAGATCTAACATTGAATCTGTCTTAAAGACAGAACAAAACCAGAACCACCGCCACCTTTCTGTGCCTGGATTCCCTCCCACTTTCCTCCGTCTCCATGGCGGGTGTCACCTGGCAAAGCTGCCCCACAATCGGCATCCAAGGGGGATGAACTCACAGACGATCACAGGAGGTCTAACTGGTATTTCTTGGCAATAAGGTACTATTTTCCAAAATAGCAAAGAATTTTATGTATAAATACACATTTTAATAATCATCACTAGTCCAACTTTACCACATTTTGTTTTAAAAATTAATTTTCATATTCTGAATGTAACGAAAACAACAAATGTGAAAGTAGCCTTTGCTTCCCAAAGCTGGAGTGCACATCCCATGCCAACACCAGCAGGCTGCGGTCCAGCCCAGGGAGACAGGGACAGAAGCCCGGCTGCCCACAGCCTCCAGCACTGCTTCCCCTCAACTTCTTTTTTTTTTTTTTTTTTGAGACAGAGTCTTGCTCAGTCACCCAGGCTGGAGTCCAGTGGCATGATCTCGGCTCACTGCAACCTCTGCCTTCTGAGTTCAAGTGATTCTCCTGCCTCAGCCTCCCAAGTAGCTGGGATTACATGCACCCGCCGCCATGTCAGGCTAATTTTTGTATTTTTAGTGATATGGGGTTTCACTATGTTGGCCAGGCTGGTCTCGAACTCCTGACCTCAAGTGATCCGCCCACCTTGGCCTCCCAAAGTGCTGGGATTATATACAGCCATGAGCCACCATGCCCAACCCCCTTGACTTCTTACAATTCAAGAGCCTGTCCAGGAAAACAGATTCTCAGCAGAAGACAAGAAGACACCAAGTGGCCCTATGTGGCATGTGAGTAGTAAAAAAAAAAAAGAAAGAAAGAAATGAGAAATACTTGCAAAACAACAACAAACCCTCACACTACAGTGTTTGAGAAGAATTTAGCAGGGGAAAGGTAGAAAGAATTGGGAACTAAGAAACCTGAATTCCAGATTTGGTCTGGCAGTTTCCATCTGCAGGCTTCAGCCAGCCCTGCACCACCTTCTGCAACCCTTTCTGGATGTCCCTAGGGGAGGGGATGCCAGCTCTGGGCTCCCCCAGGCCGTTCATGTCCCCATCACATTTTCCTTCCCTGGTGGCACTGAATATGGCTGCTCATCTACTCTGTCTCCACCACCCTCTGCCCATGTTGGGAGCCCCGGGAGGGCCAAGGGCTGTGCTGCTCCACACGATATCACCTGCTTCTAGCTCAGGTTTTCTTCCACAAGATAAATCCCGCTCCTCCTCTTCTCACAGTGAAGCAGAGGAGCATTCTAGCTGCTCCGGTCAGCATGCCTGGCCTGCAGCATCCACTTTCCTGACAGCCTGCGTGCCTCAGCCCAGCTCGGCCTCAGTCTTCTTCTTTGTGTGGTGGATACAGTGATACCTTCTCCTGGGCTTGCTGGGAGGATTACATGCAGTAATGTGAGTAAGGTGCTTGACAGAACGCCTGGCCTGGTACGGGCTCTTGGAATGTTGAGTTCTTTGCATAAAGTTACATAAGTTACATCCATTCAGGTAGCAGTTGTTAAGTAGTGTACTTATAACAGAGTACCTGTGCCGGGCACCTCACATTCGTGACCAATAACCCCATAGAGAAGGGGAGATGGAGGCTGCAGGCCCCAGCGGGTCCTCGGCTGAGTTGGGCATCACACAGGCTTGGCACTGAAGCCTACGCTCCCTCTATGACCACCACGGCCTCCCTGTGTTCTGGACACAAAATCACGTGGAGTATCCAATTTAGGGTTTGCAAACTCACATTCAAGAAGTAGATGTCATTTGTCATCTAGTGCTGAAATTGACCCAAAGCTGCATCATTTGGTGTGCCTGCCTCCAGCTAGGGGGAGATCCAGATGCAGCCTGTTCTCTGGTCACATGCAAAGTGTGTTTGTGGACAGCCATGTTTAGCATTAGCCCAATTCGATGTGGCATAGTAAAAACACTGGGGTTCAGGCTTGTCAACACCTGCTTATCTATTTGGAGTGCTTTCCAGGTTGAGTGAAATGAACAGTTAATGTTTTTATTTATTTATTTATTTATTTATTTATTTATTTATTTATTTATTTATTTTTTAGACAGCGTCTCACTCTGCCACCTAGGCTGGAGTGCAGTGGTGCGATCTCGGCTCACTGCAACCTCTGCCTCCTGGGTTCAAGAGATTCTCCTGGCTCAGCCTCCCAAGTAGCTAGGATTACAGGTGCACACCACCACACCTGGCTAATTTTTGTAGTTTTAGTAGAGATGGTATTTCACCATGTCGGCCAGGCTGGTCTCGAACTCCTGACCTCAAGTGATCTACCTGCCTCAGCCTCCCAAAGTGCAAGGATTACAGGCCTAAGCCAGCTGAGTTAATAGTTTAATTAAAGTATCTTGCATCTTAAAATGTACCTCTCACAGTCTCTTCTCATAAATACGCAGCGCACAGCAGGTGACTTTTACAAAGCCCAGGAAAACTGGGTTCTGGAGCGGCCTGCAGAGCAGAGACCCCATGTTCGCTGCTGGCCATGACTGGTAAAGGGTTGGAAACTCTTCTCTATCTCAGGGCGGCACTGACTTCTGCCTTCTGGAAATGGGATGGATGTTGTTCCTCCGGGCATGCTGGTGTGGCTCCAAAGCTGAAGGCAGAACTCTGCCTGAATTTTGTCCAGGGAATTGCAGCATAGTTCCTTTTTCCAGGATAGACCCCAATTCTATCAATTTAGAATGTTTTATAGACATTAACTTTAAGCCAACCCATACAGCCTATGTAAATGCATCAGTCACTATTCCGGATTGTCATGCAAGTTGCAGGAGAGATTGTTTTTATCCCACCTGCACACACATACAGACACACAACATCTTTGTTAACAGGGATTTGTTTTCATTTATCTCATAACTGGTTTTGGTGTAGATTAGTGTCTCTTGCCAGAAGCAGAGGCTCTTTTCTTTAGCCAATATCTGTGATCTCAAGATATCCTCCAGAACAGAATTATTGAGTATAAAATGCTAATCAAATTGTATATACTCTATTTTCAAAATCTCAAAAAATGTTTCCGTGATTTCCCCAGTGTTCACAAGTTCCAGTTTGAGTTAAAATAGCCTTGTGGGCCAGGCGCAGTGGCTCACGCTGTAATCCCAGCATTTTGGGAGGCCAAGGCGGGCAGATCACCTGAGGTCGGGAGTTCGAGACCAGCCTGGTTAACATGGTGAAACCCTGTCTCTACTAAAAATACAAAATTAGCCAGGTATGGTGGCACATGTCTGTAATTCCAGCTACTCGGGAGGCTGAGGCAGGAGAATAACTTGAACTCGGGAGAAGGAGGTTCCGGTGAGTTGAGATCATGCCATTGCACTCCAGCCTGGGCAACAAGAGTGAAACTCCATTTCCAGAAAAAAAAAAAAAAAGAAAAAGAAAAAAAAATAGCCTTGTGGAGTCACATAATCAGGAAAGGAGGTAGGAATATTGGTAAATGTAAATGTAAGCTCAGTGAAAAATTTACAAGTAAAAGTCTTCAGAGAGCCCACTGAATGCGGAATCTGTTGGCAAAGTTATAGTAGATTGGGGCGCTTAAGTTAAGATTCATGAAGTTGAAGGGTAAACCCCTTAAAATATGTTGTCTACAATTATGTACATGTGATTTTATTGGAGAGAGGCTCCCTGGTGTGTTTTTTAAAGTTACATTCTTAAGGAGATCTGTAATCCAAAAAAGGTTAATGCCGCGAAGTTGAATGAAGTGGACAAACCTTACATTTGCAGAAAAAAATGAATTGATATTAACATCCTTGTAAGATGTTAGAAAAGAATAGAAAAAAAACAACTTAAATACAATCTTGAAGAGAAGGCTCTCTCTTTTTGTAGATCACAGGAGGGGTGAACCTCCTTCTCCTGGGATGACCGCAGCTCCCCTGTCCCTGGAACAAGCAGTTCTGACACTTTGTGTTGTGGATGGCTCCTGCCTTTTCTCTGCCCAGAGGAATGGAGGATGTGGAACTCCCTGAGATCAAAGAACAAATTAAAGTGGGAGAAGTGCGGCAGGGTGCTGGCAGGATGGGAGGCTTGGCCAGAGCGGGACACAGAGGGCAGGATTTCTGGCTTGGAGCAGCTGAGTGAGGGAGGTCACTGGGCTTCCGGGCCTTCAGAAGTAGATGGGCCAGCAGCCCAGAGACAGAAATATGGAAATCCAGGGATAATGGCGGGAGTTGGAGGGCTATGAATTATTTCCTAATTCCCTGGTAAGAGGTAGTGGGTGGTACATCCCCCTGGCACTTTGCCTTATAAATTCTGAAGGTGAAGTGCCAGGGGGAAGTACCACCCACTACTCTTACCAGGGAATTAGAATATATATATATGTAAAAGGAATGCATATATAAGGAATATCTATATATATGTGTGAGTGTGTATATATATATATTCTTTTTATTCATTCTAGTAGTCTAAGACAGTAAATCAATATGGGGTCAACTGTGTGGATTAAGAATTCAGCCGGGCGCTGTGGCTCACGCCTGTAATCTCAGCACTTTGGGAAGCCGAGGCGGACGGATCACAAGGTCCTAGCTAACACGGTGAAACCCCGTCTCTACTAAAAATACTAGCAAATACTCTACTAAATACTAGTAAACACTCTACTAAAAAAATTAGCCGGACGTGGTGGCACGTACCTGTAGCTACTTGGAGGCTGAGGCAGGAGAACCTCTTGAACCCAGGAGGCGGAGGTTGCAGTGAGTGGAGATCGTTCCACTGCACTCCAGCCTGGGTGATAGAGCGAGACTCTGTCTTAAAAAAAAAGAGAATTCAACTATGGTATCGTCACTAGATGAAAAGGATAAGAAAATGCTGAAGTTCCCCCCAAATAATGAAATGGCTGCTTTCTTTCTCTTGAATTGAAAGTTATGATAAGCAATGATGGCATCAAGTAAATAGTATGTATTAACATGGTACTTCATTGATATTTTTACTTTTTGTAGAAACCCAGAACCAAGAGAAAGAAGGGTCAGTAAAATCAGACTCACAACGAATTTGGATAATGGAAATTATCAGACACAGAAAATGCAGTTAGTGTTATTAATAAAGTTAAATAAATTTTAAAATGAAGTTCTAAATTGTAAATATTAGGAAACTATGAAAACAAATCAAGGATGCTTGAAAAAGAACGAAATAGAGTTTTTAGAGTGGAAAAATAAAATAAATGAAAGTAAATATTCAGTGAGTGGGCTGAACAATAGATCAGGCAAACCTGAAGATAGAATCAGTGAACTAGATAGAGCAAAATAAATTATCTGAAACACAGCACTGAGAAACAAGGCGATACCACACAGAGGGGTTTAGAGAAAGAGGAGGCAGAGTACAAAAGCCTAATGCTCTATCAGTTATGAGAATACTATAGCAATAGGCCCAGAAAAGACAAAATGAGTAAAGGGCACACAAAAAGACTTCCACATATATGGACAAAATTTACAATAAAAGACAATCTCTTTAATACCTGGGAGATTCTGGGAGAACTGCATACAATTAGGTGAAAAAAAAATAACACAAATCAATTCTATATGCAGTGTAGATCTAAATGTTAAAAGTAAAATGGTAGAGCTTTCTTTTTTTCTTATTATACTTTAAGTTCTAGGGTACATGCTCACAACGTGCTGGTTTGTTACATAGGTATACAGGTGCCATGTTGGTTTGCTGCACCCATCAACTCATCATTTACATTAGGTATTTCTCCTAATGCTATCCCTCCCCACTACCCCCACCCCCAACAGGCCCTGGTGTGTGATGTTATCTGCCCTGTGTCCATGTGTTCTCATTGTTCAACTCCCATCTATGAGTGAGAACATGCAGTGTTTTGGCTGGGCATGGTGGCTTATGCCTGTAATCCCAGCACTTTGGGAGGCCAAGGCAGGTGGATCCCTTGAGGTGAGGAGTTCCAGACCAGCCTGGCCAACATGGTGAAACCTCGTCTCTACTAAAAATACAAAAATTAGCCAGGCGTGGTGGCGGGTGCCTGTAATTCCAGTTATTCGGGAGGCTGAGACAGAAGAATCACTTGAGCCCAGGAGGCGGAGGTTGCAGTGAGCAGAGATCGCACCTTGCACTCCAGGCTGGGTGACAGAGTGAGACTCCGTTACAAAAAAAAAAAAAAAAAAAAAGAGAACATGCAGTGTTTTGTTTTCTGTCCTTGTGATAGTTTGCTGAGAATGATGGTTTCCACCTTCATCCATGTCCCTGCAAAGGACATGAACTCATCTTTTTTATGGCTGCATAGTATTCCATGGTGTATATGTGTCACATTTTCTTAATCCAGTCTATCATTGATGGACATTTGGGTTGGTTTCAAGTCTTTGCTATTGTGAATAGTGCCGCAATAAACATATGTGTGTATGTGTGTTTATAGTACATGATTTATAATCCATTGGGCATATACCCAGTAATGGGATGGCTGGGTCAAATGGTATTTCTAGTTCTAGATCCTTGAGGAATCGCCACATTGTCTTCCACAATGGTTGAGCTAGTTTACACTCCCCCCAACAGTGTAAAAGCATTCCTATTTCTCCACATCCTCTCCAGCATCTGTTGTTTCTGACTAAAAAGTGATCGCCATTCTAGCTGGCATGAGATGGTATCTCATTGTGGTTTTGATTTGCATTTCTCTGATGACCAGTGATAATGAGCATTTTTTCATATGTCTGTTGGCTGCATAAATGTCTTATTTTGAGAAGTGTCTGTTCATACCCTTTGCCCACTTTTTGTTGGGTTTTTTTTTCTTGTAAATTTGTTTAAGTTCTTTGTAGATTCTGGATATTAGCCCTTTGTCAGAAGGGTAGATTGCAAAGATTTTCTCCCATTCTGTAGGTTGCCTGTTCATTCTGATGATAGTTTCTTTTGCTGTGCAGAAGCTCTTTAGTTTAATTAGATCCCATTTGTCTATTTTGACTTTTGTTGCCATTGCTTTTGGTGTTTTTGTCATGAAGTCCTTGCCCATGCTTATGTCCTGAATGGTATTGCCTAGGTTTTCCTCTAGGGTTTTTATGGTGTTAGGTCTTACATTTAAGTCTTTAATCCATCTTGAGTTAATTTTTGTATAAGGTGTAAGGAAGGGATCCAGTTTCAGCTTTCTACACGTGGCTAGCCAGTTTTCCCAGCACCATTTATTAAATAGGGAATCCTTTACCCATTGCTTCTTTTTGACAGGTTTGCGAAAGATCAGTTGGTTGTAGATGTGTGGTGTTATTTCTGTGGCCTCTGTTCTGTTCCATTCATCTATATATCTGTTTTGGTACCACTACCATGCTGTTTTGGTTACTGTAGCCTTGTAGTATAGTTTGAAGTCAGGTAGCATGATGCTTCCAGCTTTGTTCTTTTGGCTTAGGATTGTCTTGGCGATGCAGGCTCTTTTTTGGTTCCATATGAACTTTGAAGTAGTTATTTCCAGTTCTGTGAAGAAAGTCAGTGGTAGCTTGATGGGGATAGCATTGAGTCTATAAATTACCTTGGGCAATATGGCCATTGTCACGATATTGATTCTTCTTATCCATGAGCATGGAATGTTCTTGCATTTGTTTGTGTCCTCTTTTATTTCATTGAGCAGTGGTTTGTAGTTCTCCTTGAAGAGGTCCTTCACATCCCTTGTAAGTTGCATTCCTAGGTATTTTATTCTCTTTGAAGCAATTGTGAATGGGAGTTCATTCATGATTTGGCTCTCTGTTTGTCTATTATTGGTGTGTAGGAATGCTTGTAATTTTGGCACATTGATTTTGTATCCTGAGACTTTGCTGAAGTTGCTTATCAGCTTAAGGAGATTTTGGGCTGAGACGATGGGGTTTTCTAAATATAGAATCATGTCATCTGCAAACAGAGACAATTTAACTTCCTCTTTTCCTAATTGAATGACCTTTATTTCTTTCTTTGCCTGATTGCCCTAGCCAGAACTTCCAACACTATGTTGAATAGGAGTGGTGAGAGAGGGCATCCTTGTCTTGTGCCCATTTTCAAAGGGAATGCTTCCAGTTTTTGCCCATTCAGTATGATATTGACTGTAGGTTTGTCATAAATAGCTCTTATTATTTTGAAAGACGTTCTATCAATACCTAGTCTATTGAGAGTTTTTAGCATGAAGGGCTGTTGAATTTTGTCAACGGCCTTTTCTGCATCTATTGAGATGATCATGTGGATTTTGTCAGTGGTTCTGTTTATATGATGGATTACGTTTATTGATTTGTGTATGTTGAACCAGGCTTGCGTCCCAGGGATGAAGCCGACTTGATCGTGGTGGATAAGCTTTTTGATGTGCTGCTGGATTTGGTTTGCCAGTATTTTACTGAGGATTTTCACATCGATGTTCATCAGGCATATTGGCCTGAAATTCTCTTTTTTTTTTGTTGTGTGTCTAACATGCTTTGGTATCAGGGTGATGCTAGCCTCTTAAAATGAGTTAGGGAGGATTCCCTCTTTTTCTATTGATTGAAATAGTTTCAGAAGGAATGGTACGAGCTCCTCTTTGTGCCTCTGGTAGAATTCGGCTGTGAATCTGTCTGGTCCTGGGCTATTTTTGGTTGGTAGGATAGCAATTATTGCTTCAATTTCAGAACCTGTTATTGGTCTATTCAGAGTTTCAGCTTCTTCTTGGAAGTCTTTCCTTTTTTTTTTTTTTTTTTTTTTTTTTTTTTTGAGATGGAGTCTCACTCTGTCGCCCAGGCTGGAGTGCAATGGCACAATCTCGGCTTACTGCAACCTCCACCTTCCTGGTTCAAGTGATTCTCCTGCCTCAGCCTCCCAAGTAGCTGGGATTACAGGTGCCCACCACCAAGCCCAGATAATTTTTGTATTTTTGTGGAGACAAGTTTTCACCATGTTGGGCAGGCTGGTCTTGAACTCCTGACCTCAGGTGATCTGCCCACCTCGGCTTCTGAAAGCGCAGAGCTTTTAAAATATAATATAGGAAATAACTTCATTCTGCTGAGATAGAGAAAGAGTTCATAAAACGGGAACAACAATCATTTAGCATTAAGAAAAATATTAATACATTAGACTACATTAAATTAAAACTACTTTTTTGTCAAAAGACATCCCTGAGTTAATTAAAAGGCAAGACAGAGTAGGATAAAATAAATACAACATTTATAACTGACAACTGGCTTGTATCCAAAATATAAAATAACTCCTACAAAGAAATAATATGAAGAAACAACTCAATACAGAAAAGCAAAGGAGGTTTGAACAGGAGGTGTGGAAAGGGAGATGACTAAATGGCCAATGAACCTGCAGATGTGCTCAGCTGCTTTATTTACCAGAAACGCAAACAAAATCACGATGACATATCATCATACTGACAAGAATGACTAAAATGAAAAAAGATGGACAATACCAAGCGCTTCAAGAGATGTGGGGCAACCGGAATTCTCAGACACCGCAGGTGTAAATTAGCATCACTGCTTTGGAAAGCCATTGGCATTATCTCCTAACGGGGCATAGGAACAGCCTGGAATGCTGCAATTCCACCCTAGGCACATCCCTTGCAGGCTCCTATATGCACAAAGAGACAGATAACATTCAGAGCAGCACTGTTTATTACAGTCGCACACTGGAACCAATCCAGTGTCCATCAACAGTAGGTTGGATAAGTTGTGGAAATTTCAGATAATAAAACCCTATACAGCGATGAAAGTGAATGAAGTTGCCAATGACTCTCATGTACCTCACAATCATAATGTGGAATAGAATGACATGGACCCAAAACAATGCAACCTGTGATCTTAATGAAAGTTCAAAAAGAAGCAAAATCAAATGATTTATCTTATGGATGTGAGTTAGCTTGTAAAATAATACAGAAAAGCAAGGAAGTAACTATCATAATTTCCTGGAAAACGGTTAACTTTGAAAGGGTTTGTGATTGGGAAGGGAACTTTTGGAGTTTTGGGAATGTGCAGTTTCTTGACCTGGGTTGTGGTTACCTACATACGTTTGCTTTACAATGAAATTTTATTAAAGTGTTTACATAAACATTACAAAAAAGTTATAGTTTTTAAAAAGTTGCTATTTATTTATTGTAAAACCCAAAACTATAAAAATCCTAGAAGACAACCTAGGCAATACCATTCCGGACATAGGAACTGGCAAAGATTTCATGATGAAGACACCAAAAGCAATTGCAACGAAAGCAAATATTGATAAATTGGATCTAATTAAACTAAAGAGCTTCTGCACAGCAAAGGAAACTATCAACAGAGTAAGCAGACAACTTACATAATGAGAGAAAATTTTTGCAAACTATGCATCTGACAAAAGTCTAATATCCAGCATCTATAAGAAACTTAAACAAATTTACAAGAAAAAAAACAACCACATTAAAAAGTGGGCAGAAGACATGAACAGACACATTCAAAAGAAAACATACATGCAGCCAACAAGCATATGAAAAAAAAGTTCAATATTAGTGATCATTAGAGAAATGCAAATCAAAGCCACAATGAGATGCCATTTCACACTGGTCAGAATGGCTATTATTAAAAAGTCAAAAAATACTGGGTGAGGTGGCTCACGCTTGTAATCCCAGCACTTTGGGAGGCTGAGGGGGGCGGATCATGAGGCCAGGAGTTCGAGACCAGCCTGGCCAAGATGGTGAAACCCCGTCTCTACTAAAAATACAAAAATTAGCTGGGCGTGGTGGTGTATGCCTGTAGTCCCAGCTACTCGGGAGGCTGAGGCAGGAGAATCGCATGAACCAGGGAGGTGGAGGTTGCAGTGAGCGGAGGTCATGCCACTGCACTCTAGCCTGGCAACAAACTAAGACTCCGTCTCAAAAAAAAAAAAAAATAGAAAAAAGTCAAAAAACAACAATGCTGACAAGGTTGCGGAGAAAAGGTCACGCTTATACAGTGTTGGTAGGAGTGTAAATTAGTTCAGCCATTGTGGAAAGCTGTGTGGCGATTCCTCAAAGAGCTAAAAAGAGAACTACCACTTAACCTAGCAATCCCACTACTGGGTATATACCCAAAGGAATATAAATCATTCTACCATAGACACATCCACATATATGTTCACTGAAGCACTATTCATAATAGCAAAGACACAGAATCAAACTAAATGCCCATCAATGACAGATTGGATAAAGAAAACGTGGTACATATACACCATAGAGTACTATGCAGCCACAAAAAAGAATGATACCATATCCTTTGTAGGAACATAGATGGAGCTGGAGGCCATTATCCTTAGCAAACTAACGCAGAAACAGAAAGCCAAATGGTGCACGCTCTCACTTACAAGTGGGAGCTAAATGATGAGAACTCATGGACGCAAACAGAGGAACAACACACTGGGGTCTACTTGAGAGTGGAGGGTAGGAAGAAGGAGAGGAGCAGAGAAAAATAATCTGTACAGCAAACCCCCATGACATCATTTTATTTATTTATTTATTTATTTGAAACGGAGTTTCGCTCTTGTTGCCCAGGCTGGAGTGCAATGGTGCGATCTCAGCTCACTGCAACCTCTGCCTCCCAGATTCAAGCGATTCTCCTGCCTCGGCCTCCCAAGTAGCTGGGATTATAGGCGCCCACCATCAAGTCCAGCTAATTTTTTGTATTTTTAGTATAGATGGGGTTTCACCATGTTGGCCAGGCTGGTTTTGAACTCCTGACCTCAGGCGACCCACCAGCTTCAGCCTCCCAAGGGGGGTTGGGATTATAAGCGTGAGCCACTGCGCCCAGCCCAGCCCCCATGACATAAGTTAAGTTATATAATAAAACTGCACATGTACCCGTGAAACTAAAATAAAAGTCTTTAAAAATAATACAAATAAATAAATATTTTTTGGAGGGAAAATAAAATAAAAAGCTTTCACTTAAAAAGTTGCCATTTGGCTGGGTGCGGTGGCTCATGCCTATAATCCCAGCACTTCGGGAGGCCGAGGCAGGTGGATCACGAGGTCAGGAGTTCGAGACCAGCCTGACCAACACAGTGAAACCCCGTCTCTACTAAAAATACCAAAAAAATTAGCTGGGCGTGGTGGTGGGTGCCTGTAATCCCAGCTACTCAGGAGGCTGAGGCAAGAAAATCGCTTGAACCCGGGAAGCGGAGGTTGCAGTGAGCTGAGACTGCGCCACTGCACTCCAGCCTAGGCGACAGAGTGAGATTCCATCTCAAAAAAAGAAAAAAGTTGCCATTTGGCCGGGTGCGGTGGCTCACGCCTGTAATCCCAATTTGGGAGGCTGAGGCGGGTGGATCACTTAAGGTCAGGAGTTTGAGACCAGCCTGGTCAACATGGTGAAACCCTGTCTCTACTAAAAATACAAAAAATTAGTCAGATATGGTGGCAGGAGCCTGTAATCCCAGCTACTTGGTTGGCTGAGGCAGGAGAATCGCTTGAACCTAGGAGGCAGAGGTTGCAGTGAGCCAAGACCCCACCATTGCAGTCCAGCCTGGCAACAGAGCAAGGCTCCTTGAGGGGGAAGAAAAAGTTTCCATTTATGGTAGCAATAAAAATTAATTATCTAGGAATAAATTTGGAAAAATATTTGCAAGCCCTTCATGGAGAAAGTTATTAAGCATTATTAAGAGACATTTTAAAAAAGACCTAAATAAGCAGAGGTGCTGCCTTCATGGGCAGAAATCCTGTACGTTGAAAAGGTGTCAGTTCTCCAGTCTGATCTTGAGATTTAATGCCATTTTAATAATTTTTCTTGGAACTTGACAAGCGAATTCTTAAGCTTATATAGAAGAGCAAAGATCTGTAATAGATAAGACATGATAGTAAGTGGTGGGAGCTTGTCCTATATGATATCAAGCCCTAATTTAAAGCTACATAGCACTCAAAATGGGACAGATAAAAGTATCAATGAATTAGAATAGGAAGCCCAGAATCAGATAGCCCAGAATCAGATGCAGAAATGATTTATGTCAGATTTATTGCTGATCTTTGGTGAAGCAATTGATGATTCAATCAATGATGCAGAGTCGACCAGTTTTCTCCACTGAAGTTGGATCTCTATCTCATCTTAGGCACGGAAGTCAATGCTAGGTGGACTAGAGTCTGAAATGTAAAAATGTAGAACTATACAATGTAAAGAATATGGAAGACTGTCCTGGGGATGGAAATGGCTCTTTCAGATAAAGTCACAAAGGGCATAAAATGCAAAGGAAAGGTGTGATATATGTGATTATATTATGTTGGGAATCTCCGGTCACAAAGGACATCAATAAGGAAGTGAAAAGGCCAGTCACAAAGTAGGAGAATGTTTTTCTACTTATAAAGCTGACAAATGATGAGTACTGGCATTGTAGAAAAACTCCTGTAATTGTTTTTTAAAAAATATTCCATGGCATACTCAAAAAGATTTTGTGGGAAAATTGGAAAAATGTGATTTAAAACCATGACATCCTTTTTTTATACGCCTCACACTGGAAAACCTCTTAAAATCTGACAGTATCGAGTATTGGCTAGGATGCAAAGCCAGGGGAACCCTTCCTCAATGTTACTGGAATATAAAATTAGTGCAACCTCTTTGGAAAACAATTCAGCATATTCTAAAAATACTGAAGACAGACACTACCTAGAAATTTCCCTTCTAGGCTTATATTCACCTACAGGAACTTTTGCACATGGACATCAAAAGATATAACAATTTTCTCATGAATCTATGAGACAAATAGGAAAATTTGGACACTGGCTAGTTTTTGATGACATTAAGGAGGTCTTGTTTATTAATTTTAGGTGTGATAATGATATTATGGTTATGTTTAACCAAAAATAATCCTAGGTTTTAGGGATACATACTGCAGTACTTCCTTTATGGATGGAAAGATGTCCAGTAATCCTTCTAAAATCATCTGGGGGTGGGGGTGATTAGGGTGGGGAGACAGGTAGAGCAATATTGTCCATGTGTTCATGACACTATTCTCTAACCATCACCCCTGGTCTGGTCTACATGCCCATGCCGTTGGCAGGGAAGGCCCGTGCAGCAGAGAGCCAGAAAGTGCGGATGGTGCAGAAATGAGGAAGTGAGGACCTTCCACATAGGTGTGCGGACCGGCCCCGCCTGTGTTCCTTTGCTGCTCACTATGTGGTTTAAATGGATACATTAAACTTTGTGATTTGAGGATCTTAATTTGGCTGGTGAGCTATTCTGTTTTGTGACCTCTGTGACAGCTTTCCTGGGGGTGAACTGCAAGGCTACCTTTGCATCAAAGTTCACTTCCCAGGAGCCTGTCACAGCCCCGCTTTCAGTAACCGCGTCCTCAGTCACAGTACCATGTGCGCTCCCTTCTAGCATGGGAAGAGAATGGTGAGGCCAGTTACTCTTTTGCCTTATTTCTTAAACAAACTCCTTTAATAGCATAGAAATATGTTTTTAATTTTCAAATAGCATGTCTAATATGTTACATGTATGACAATCAGTTGAGGGGGGACCCACAAAATGATGCCCTCACACAGTGTGGGAAGAGGTGCCATGGGTGGGATGGGGGAGGATGGAAATTAGTTTTGGGTAAGGGAGTCTGGATGAATAGGCACTAATAAGTAGTCAGTTAATTAAAGACTAATTTAATTTTACTAGGACTTTGGCTTCCCTACACAATGTTGATCTCAGATCAAGACTTGGGTGGCAAGACCCTCTTGACTGTCTAGTTAGAATCAACAGACTGGGGCAAAAGTCATTTTGGTTAAGAAAGGGGGAACAAAGGATTTCCAAAAAGACAAGATGCCTCTAATAATTGTTAACTGTTAATAACTGGTAAATATCTATTAATTCAGACCACTGTTAATTTCAATCTAATCTCTAAATTTGAGTACTCTCCACCAAGAAAATGTGAGGCTATTGTTCAAAAATGATGGCTTATTACAGTAATAAGGGCCATAGAGCTCATAGCCATAGAGCTCACATGAATTCAACTCAGGTGAGTTCAACTCAGGTGAATTCAACTATAAATAACTCAGGTGAATTCAACTATAAATGTTTAGCCAAAAACAGAACAAAAATATCTAAACTTTGTACCAAAATGCAAGTCAGCAACTTCATCCAGTGCAATGTAAAAGCTAGAGGAAAGCTTGGCTGTATTGGGTTTATTACAAAATGCTGTGCACAAAAACATATTTTCTTTGTAAGCAAATAAAATTTTAAAGATATTTGAGCCACACACTTCAACTTTAAAACCTGCCCCTTTTAGATAAGGTTCTGGTCTCTTCTCAACAGATCCAGGGGAGAAAAGAGCAGGCCCCAAGTTTCCAGCTGGCCAGACAGGCTGTGGGTTACATTTCATTCCCTGGCAACATGGGAAGAAGTGAAGCGGCCAGTGCCTTGGTTTCCTCATCTCTAAGCAAGCCATCAGACCACCGCATGAGAAGGTTGTGAAAGTCCTTGATGACTGGGATAATTTTCTTAACGCGCTTGGAACCCAGGCCTTCCAGCTTTCCCTCCTCCTACTCTGCCTTCCTTGAGGATCTGAGTTACATCCCGCTGGTTTATCTCCAGTGCTATTACCTGGTGATGACCAGTGAAGGCTCTAGATTCCCACAGGAAGAAATTCTGGCTCCCAGGTTTATGCTCCTTATTTCAATTTAATTTTATTATTATTATTTTTATTTTTGAGTCTCGCTCTGTTGCCCAGGCTGGAGTGCAGTGGCGTGATCTTGGCTCATTGCAACCTCCACCTCCCAGGTTCAAGTGATTCTCCTGCCTCAGCCTCCTGAGTAGCTGGGATTATAGGCATGCACCACCACGCCTAGCTAATTTTTGTATTTTTAGTAGAGATGGAGTTTCACCATGTTGGCCAGGCTGGTCTCGAACGCCTGACCTCGTGACCCACCTGCCTTGGCCTTCCAAAGTGCTAGGATTATAGGCGTGAGCCACCGACCGCACCCAGCCCTATGATCCTTATTTCTAAAGTAGGCCGACATGTGATTTTTGGACAACCCTAAAAGCTCTGTAGGCTCACATTAGACCTGTGACTGCAAATGCAGGTGTGAGCCCTCCACTGGTGAGCTCACCCAGTTCCATGACTCCATACCACTCCTGTCCTGCCAACTCCTGGATGTATCACCAGCTCGGACCTCAACCCTGAGTGCCAGGAGATCCCACGGCCTAATGGGCCCCTCCACATGGCCGTGTCTCTCAACCCTCCACATCCAACCTGTCCAGCAAACCCTGTGGGCTCCACCTTTGAAGTTTGCCTAGGGTTTGACCCCTTCTCCCTGCCCACCTCACTGGGCCAAGGAGATGACATGTCTTACTCTAATCGCTGCAGTGGCCCAGTTAGGTTTCCTACCTCCAATCTTGTCCCTGTCATTCTCAACACAGCAGCCAGAATAAATCCCCTCCTGCATCAAATCACATCAAAAATTGAATTGTAATCTTCAATATTACATATTCCTGTGGACTGAATTGTAAGGGCACTTGGGAAAATTAAAAAGTTAATGAGCTGTGGGGACGGAGCTAGGAGTCACTAAAAATTTAGTCATGTATTCTTCCATTCCATCGGCAATGACTAAATGCCTACTGTGACACCTGGTGGGTTATTGCTATCATAGGCATGTATTTTTTTAAAAAAGAAAACGTTGCCGCTTTTCCTCCTCCCCATGTGATCAGAAGACGAGAAAAGACTTAAGAAAAGAAAATAGCCTAAGTAGAATACAATCCTTTAATAATATTTTGAACTCCCAGAGAGATATACATACATTACTGTTTCCAAAAGAACACAGAAAATTTGTCAAACCTATTTATAATGAAAGAACAAATGGAGAAGGAAGCCAAAATATATATAAAGAATTTTCTTGCCTGGGTGCGGTGGTTCACCCCTATAATCCCAGCACTTTGAGAGGCTGAGGCAGGAGGATCACTTGAGCCCAGGGGTTCAAGACGAGCCTGGGCAACATAGCGAGAGTCTGTTTCTACAAAAAATAAAAAATTAGCCAGATATAGTGGTCCCAGCAACTTGGGAGGCTGAGGCAGGAGGATCGCTTGAGCCCTGTGGGCTGAGGCTGCAGTGAGCCATGACTGGGCTACAGCACTCCAGCCTCAGTAGCAAAGTGAGATGTGGTCTCGAAAAAAAAAAGAAGAAGAATTTTCTAGACTGGACATAGATTTTGAAGCTAAGGATGATGGAAATAGCTGAGCGCTCATCATTCAGTGCACCTGTTCTGCCTTTCTCAGGGAAGGTGTTCCCGGAAGCACACTTTGAGAGTGAAGAAGATACTGATGACCTCCATCCTCTGCAGGTCTGTTAATTGAAGTACCTTCTTATAAAGGACTCAAAAAATAAGCCTGTGGTTCTATGCCAGGCAGGCAGCGAACCAATGTATTTTAGGAGGGACCATTCCTTACTTCAGGATATAGCTGAAAACAACACCCAGAACTAATTTTTTAACCTTCGCAAACCTTTGTATGGAGCCAACACTCCTACGTTATAAATTGTGAAAGAAACTCGGGCTAAAGATACCACATGATTTTCACATTTTAAGGGCATGATTTACCTGATCTTTAGTCCTGCACTCTAGCCAAATAGCCAACTGATGTTTCACTATATGTATTTCCTGTTGTAATAATAAAGTTCTCACATTTTTAGGTTTCAAGGTTTCAATTAGGTTTGGTCATCTTAACACAATTTTGCTTTCCCACAAACATGAGAAATACATGCAAATATGTGCTGTGCATTCAAACCTCTCCAGGCAGCACTGCACAAACTTCCTATGGCATGCCCCTGTTTTCCTTTCATTGCCTCTCATCTTAATCCCTCTAACACTCAAGTGAAGCACTGTAGTGATAACCTTGATACAGGTTTCTTTTTAAATCCAGTTCCTGAAGTCAACCATGTTCGAATGTTATACGTGAGCTGATAATCATCCAAGGAGTTAATCCTTGTCTTCCTACTCTTGTTTTGGAATTACCATAGTCCATTAGCGTAACTTGGAATTCTAGTTCCACACTAACTGTAACCTTGGGCAAACTTCTTCACCTCTCTGATGTACATTTCCTTTTATTATGACCTTTTTTTTTAAGGAGGGGATAACAGTACTGACTTCACGGGGTTCTTTGGAAACTCAGAATGATGTGTTTAGGCCTAAGCATTATTTGGCATCTGTTTTTCTCTCTGGTTGCCATACCTGTGATTATAGTTCAGCATCTCTGCCGGGATTGGAAGTTATTTACGTGGTGGGATTTTCTTCCCCCAGCTCCTATTACTGTCTTTCAGATGACTAAACTGTTTTTTATTTATTTATTTATTTTTATTTTTTTATTTTTTATTTTTTATTTTATTATTATTATACTTTAAGTTTTAGGGTACATGTGCACAATGTGCAGGTTAGTTACATATGTATACATGTGCCATGCTGGTGTGCTGCACCCATTAACTCGTCATTTAGCATTAGGTATATCTCCTAATGCTATCCTCCCCACTCCCCCCACCCCACAACAGGCCCCAGTGTGTGTGATGTTCCCCTTCCGGTGTCCATGTGTTCTCAATGTTCAATTCCCACCTATGAGTGAGAACATGTGGTGTTTGGTTTTTTGTCCTTGCGATAGTTTACTGAGAATGATGATTTCCAATTTCATCCATGTCCCTGCAAAGGACATGAACTCATCCTTTTTTATGGCTGCATAGTATTCCATGGTGTACATGTGCCACATTTTCTTATTCCAGTCTATCATTGTTGGACATTTGGGTTGGTTCCAAGTCTTTGCTATTGTGAATAGTGCCACAATAAACATACGTGTGCATGTGTCTTTATAGCAGCATGATTTATAGTCCTTTGGGTATATACCCAGTAATGGGATGGCTGGGTCAAATGATATTTCTAGTTCTAGATACCTGAGGAATTGCCACACTGACTTCCACAATGGTTGAACTAGTTTACAGTCCCACCAACAGTGTAACAGTGTTCCTATTTCTCCACATCCTCTCTAGCACCTGTTGTTTCCTGACTTTTTAATGATTGCCATTCTAACTGGTGTGAGATGGTATCTCACTGTGGTTTTGATTTGCATTTCTCTGATGGCCAGTGATGGTGAACATTTTTTCATGTGTTTTTTGGCTGCATAAATGTCTTCTTTTGAGAAGTGTCTGTTCATGTCCTTTGCCCACTTTTTGATGGGGTTGCTAAACTTTTTTTTAGATCTCAAAAGTAGTTAAACTCAACTAGTTTCCCCACCACCTCCCTTTTCTAAACACTCACACTTGAGTGCAAGCACACCAGATTCCTTTCATATGTGGTTGTATGAATATGGTGGGTGAAAGAGAGAAAAAAACTTGTTTCTACTTTTCACATACTTTGCTTCTACTTCTCACATATTTAACTTAGTCTAGTGGAAATAACCTGCATTTAATGAGACAAATCAGAAATCAAAATGCCACTCCATTTTTTTTACTCTTTTCTCTGAGTTGCCTTGTATATACAAGAGGGAATACTATCTCCCATCAATGCCTAAATGATAATGTATGCACAATTCCTCGCACGTAATAGGCGCCAATGAATGTCAGCTCCTTTTAGGGTTCTGGGGCTGGGACAGCTTGTCACCTTGGAGCTGTGACTATCGGTCGTAGAATGTGCTAATTCTAATTTCCAAATGGGCTTTTCTCCTCTGAGGTGTCTTTTCAGCCGAAGTCCCTGTGGTGGGAACCACTGATTCTGAATCTGTTCTCACAGGTGTGCTAAGTCCTTCCCCTTTGTCTCATTTTTACTATCAGTCTGGTACTTGATCTGTAGGGAGTACAGCCCTTTACTCCCCGCCCCCATGGCAGCCTCAGCCCTAGCTTCCCTTTGGGCTTCTCTCTCTCACCCTGGTCCTCCCATTACCTCCAGGCTGCAGCCTCCTCCCCTCTCTCCCGCCATTAAGTCCTTCTGCAGATTTCAGCTCTGTTCTGCTCTTGTCTTCCGTTTTTTCCACTAGCCTTCAATAGTCCTTTCAAAGTATTCTTATAATTCAATCACTTTTTTTTGGTTCATTGTCTTTGCCTACAATATTGATGGGAATTTCTATAGGAACCCTCTAAAGTGCTCCATTTCCAGAATTATTGCAAGTCTCTTCTGGAGTTCTTCCTGCCTGTTCCCTTGAGGGTATTGCAATCCCATCCATTTCCGCCCCTGTTTGATCTCATCTCCTCCTAGTTTATGTTCCCTCACCACATACTCAGCACTTGGTCTCACCTAACATTTCCTGCCAGGCTTCACCCCTCCTGCCGTGACATCTCACTTGTTCTTATTAAATAGGCGATTGTGACTTTTGAGTCTCCACTGTCATTCAGATTAGACTGTTTTTCTCTCAGTTTATTGATCTCAAGTTTGCTCCATATTCGGACACTTTATAAACCTCGTAGGCTCTCTTTCCTCATGTGCCCAGGGGCTCTGTAGGTCCTGCAGCGCCACTCTGCCTTCCTGAGTACCCTTGTTCTTCAACAGGAAGCGCTACCTCCCTGGACTCTCTGGTGCCAAGCCCCACCCCTCTCCTCTCCCCAGCGGCCTCTGGGGAGCTCCTGCTGGTTTCTCCCACCCCTGCTTCCTCAGGCAAGTGTCAGGCCCTGGTGCAGAGCTCAGAGCCTGCCTGCCCTGCGGATCCCTTCAAAACAGTGATCACAGCATGTTCTGATTAGGGACATCATGTCAACCTTTCCTGCTAAATGGTGATTATGGAAGTTGGAGCTGGTCCAGCCAGAGTATGTGTGTGTGTACGTCTACCCGCATTTATTTCCAACATTCTTTTCTGCCAGATATTTTATTCAGGGCCAAAATAGGATTTTTCAAAATTAGTTGTAGAGGAGGGAGAAAGAACATTTCCAGTAGTATGACATAAACAGGTATATAAATATGAATTAAACGATTGCGTGGGGGTCCCCAGTCATGATTACTGGAGTCATTTTCAGCCTGCAAGCATGTTCCTGCCCCCGCATCTTCAAGCCTCCCTTGGAATAGCTCACTTGTAGTAATTCTTAAGGTCTCATTTAATACACAATTTTCACAGGAAACCCTTCCTTTACTCTCTCCAAAACACCTGACTATTTGAATCAATGAGCGGGTTACTAGAGAAGGGCCCTTGGAGTTTCAGAAGCATCCTGCATTTTAGTAAATGTGAAGGATTGATGTTTTGTTCATGATGAAAGTGCTCAGCAGCATATGTCCAGTGGATCTGAGGACAGTGCTACTGCTGTTTCTTAGATAGACATGCTACTGCATTTCCGTGTTGCCAACGCAGCCACTCAGCAAAGGCCTGCTGAGTCCCTGCCACCAGTCAAGGGCTGGTTTCACCCTGAATAAGGCAGGCCCCACACCTCTGTCTTCCCAAGGTGGCTATGAAAGGGGCATCCATCCAGGGCCCCTGAGAGTGCAGCCCTGCAGAAGGCATGCTGGGCAGTCACCCCTATGTAAGAGGGGGAGGAAGGAAAAGAAAAGGCCGTGGAGACTCCCAGAAAAGGCTGAAAGGGAAGCAGGGAGAGCGATTATTCAGAAGACACAGAGGAAAAGCAGCCTTGGGAAAAAATAAACCATAAGCACCAGAAGATGCAGAGAACTGTGGCCTCTAAGAAGCAGAAACAGGACATTAAGGAGCAAAAAGGCTGCTCTAGAAGGCCATGGAATAAGACGACAAGGGACGTGGAGGAAATAAGGATTACCAGAAAACTGAGCTACAACAGAGAAATAAAATCTGCATTGGAGGCAGTAAAAACCAAAAGTGACATGGAGGGAAATTGACAGAGTGGTGTGGAAAAAACATTTCACAAGCCATTTAATATATGCAGAAAGATCTAAGAGCTGAAACAACACAGGGGGAGGAGGCGGGAGACTAGGCAAGGATCCTCAGATTTGGAAGTACAGATAACCCCTGAAGTGGAAACAGTACTCACCATCATACCAATCAGAACTAAAGAGACTTGTTGAGTTGGAAAGGGCTTTCCCTGCATGCCAAGCAAAATCAGCAGATTCCCACTGAAACTATCGCCAAGAAACTTATCATCCACAAGGCATTGAAAAAATTAAGTATCTGGGCAGAAAAACTCAAGCTACCCTTCTCTACCGAGGAAGAGATCAAAATCCAGCAGCCCGATTTCTCCTCTGGAAACTTGAATTCCAAAGAGATAGGAGCTGAAGCACTAGAGTTTTAAGGAGAAAGGTTTGGGATTGTCACATTCCCAAACATTCAACTGGGCAGGTTGGTTTGTTGTTAATCTGTGAACTCCTGTCACTAAAACAACCACACACTGTCATGTGTGACGAAGCCCACTGACTCCAAAAAAATAGCTTGGATGGGATCAGGTTTTGAGACGCAGCCTGAGGCTGACGGTAGTCCCTGCGTCCACCCCACATGGCCACAGCTTCCCTGCAGATCAGGGAGCACATCACGAAGCCTTCTCCCTAGAGCAGCAGGGAGGGGCCGGCTGTGCACAGGGTGGGATCCTTGTCCTGAGAGGAAGACTTTAAAAAACCAAGTCTCTGTTCTTTCCCACAAAACCACAACCACCTCAAACAACCCAATGGGCTTTAAAAATTTTTCAATGGTAAAGAGTCTAAAGAATTACGTTACACACCTTTTAAAGCAATAACAAAAGCCATTGGGTTTCTTTTAATGGGAGAGACAAATAAACCAATTGGTGGCAGAATTATTGGCCATGAAACATGGCTGTCATCTCTAATGTAGAACTTGTGACTGTTTGCGATCAGTCCGCTTAGTCAGTGTGGGAGAAGGAGCTCATGAGAAGAACAAAATGAAAAAAAGACGAGGAACACCCCAAAATATGAACATTGCTTAGTGCTTGAGGTTAGCATTTATATACATAGAGAGAGATAAACATACAGCCAGCCCTCCATAGCCACAGGTTCCATATCCGTGGTTGGTTGAATTGATAGAAAACATTCCAAACTCCCTCTCCCCAATAATGAAAGAATAAAAATTATACAAATAAAAAGCAATACAGTATAACTACTATTTGCATAGTGTTACATTGTATTAGGTATTATAAGTAATCCAGAAGTGATTTATAGTTCATGGAGGAAGTCCATAGGTTATATGCAAATACCATGCCAAGGGACTAGGGCATCCCTGGATTCTGCCATCTTTGTAGGTCCTGGAACCAATCCCCCACAGATACTGTGGGTGACTGTTTTACATATATATGAAGACAGATACATATATAATATTTCTACAAGGAGTACATATATAATCAGAAAAGAAATTCATTTGTTTTTCTTGCAGAAAGAGAGGGACTAGAGTGTGGGGTAAGAGTCACGCGAGGCTGTCCTCCACCCCTCCTTGAGCCTGTTACAGCTTCATTGTTGCCTGCTTCTAAAGATAAATGGCTTTGCTTTTTCAGAAGGGATTGGGCCCAGGAAAACTGCCTCTCTGGGAGTCGAGTGGGGTGTGTGTGTGTGTTTTCTTATAAAATGTTTCAAGCATGTTTTCGGTGGGACAGTTGCATCCTGAGGCCCAGCCATAAGGCTTTGTCTTGTTTTTCTCTGAATGGCTGGGCTTGCCAAGGAGAGATAGACCCTGGGAGCGAAACAGCTGGCGGTGCCTCAGCCCCTCTTTCCTCCCAAGGAAGCGCATTGTTATTAACTGGGAATTCTTTATAGCCGGGCTGGAGGAAGTTTTGGCTGTAAACTGTCATGCACTGCAGCCTTCGCTGAAAAGGCGGAGGGAGTGGGCCTGGTCCTGGGAACCGAGGAACAAAGATCAGAAAATCAGCCACAGAAAGGGGAGGAAAAATAAACGTTAGAAAGTGAAGACAGGTGACACTACACAAGTGCTGGCCAAAGTCGGTGACTTCCAACCTCTACCTCCTCCGACTTGGGTGGTTCAATTCCTGGGTCGTACTCTTCAATGCTTCAGACATTCTCTCTGGAGAGTAGAAATTTTATTACGCGTGTTAGAAACGGAATATTCTTTCCTGCTGAAGTTGTATTCTTATTTGGCCGTGCCCCTCCTGTTCGGAACAGTTTTAGAGCGATCTGTTAAACCCTCCAGTCTTCTTTGGCGCTTCCCGACTGTGGGAAAAGCGGCCGCGACGCCGTCCGAGCGCAGGGGAGGGATCCAGCCTTCGGGACTCCTTTGCCCTGAAGCCGCAGGAGAGGTTTCGCTCCCGTGCCTAGGGTTCCGAGGCCCTCAATTGCCTGGGACCCACCCTCGTTCCTCCTTCACCTCCCCTCCACTTTTCCCTTTTATCTTATCCTCGGGAGGCCTTGGGCCAAAGCGATGACCTCTTAGACATTTTAATACCCGGAGTAAGGAGAGTAACACGCACCACGCTCTCCCCCAAAGCCCAGGACCCGATGAGCCAGTGAAGGCGTGTCAGGAGGGTCCGGCGTCAGGAGCAAATGAGGTCCTTTTGGTGCCTCTTTCTAGAAGGAAACTTCCCCACCTCGGGTCAGCCCCCTGGGAATATCCATGCATCCCAGACATCAAAAGACACTGAGAAATGCGGACAGGGACTAGACGCTCCGGCTTCCTGACTCGTCGGTGTAAGTTGGAGAAGGGAGAGAAGGAGCCCTGTCCCCCACGGGCGGCAGGCACCCTTCCCCGGGACTGGCTCCTGGCAGCCCTCCGCATACCGCGAGGCGGGTCGATCCCTCGAGTCCCGGGCGGGGATCCCTCCTTCGGCTTCCCCAGCAATTCCCGACCCCGGAGCGAGCCCGGCTGGGCGAGGGGCGAGGGGCAGGGGGCAGGGGGCAGGGGAGACTTAGCGCGGGGCGCAGATACCATGTCCGCGGGAAAGCCCCCTTGCTAGGGCGCAAGACTCCTCTGAACTCGCTGCCCCACCCGATGCGCAGGCTTTCTCTAGAGGGGTTGGGGCTGGGGTGCCCGCTCAGGAGACCGGGAAACAGAGGCTGCTACCCGAGGCAGGCCCTCGTCCAGCGAATGGGCGAGGTGTGCAGAAGCGCAAAGCCAGGCCTTGGAAGGGGGAGCTTCTGCCTCCTTCCCCCTTCCTGGGCTCCCGTTTTAGGAGGAATGTTACTGTTTAAAGAGACCCCACTGAACTATTTCCTGCTCATTGTCACCTCTCCTTCGCTCTCCTCGCGTAAGTTCTCACCGAAAGGTAATAAAACAACCGCTGCCGACACCGCTTGGCGCTGGGCCGGGCGGGGAAAGCGCCCCGAGTCCCACTAGTCCGGACCACCCCGCCAGCCCCGACCTTCTCCCACCTTCCGTGAAAGCAATGACACAGCAGAAACCACGCACACGCCTGGCACACTCGATGCGCGCGCTGACCTCGGCAACAAGTCCTGTTTTTATAAGAGAGCGAGGAGGACACTTCTCAGAAGGGGTTGTTTTGCTTTTGCTTATTTCCGTCCATTTCCCTCTCTGCGCGCGGACCTTCCTTTTCCAGATGGTGAGAGCCGCGGGGACACCCGACGCCGGGGCAGGCTGATCCACGATCCTGGGTGTGCGTAACGCCGCCTGGGGCTCCGTGGGCGAGGGACGTGTGGGGACAGGTGCACCGGAAACTGCCAGACTGGAGAGTTGAGGCATCGGAGGCGCGAGAACAGCACTACTACTGCGGCGAGACGAGCGCGGCGCATCCCAAAGCCCGGCCAAATGCGCTCGTCCCTGGGAGGGGAGGGAGGCGCGCCTGGAGCGGGGACAGGTGAGGCCGCGCGAACGTTCCAGCCTGGCGCGGCTGCGGGATCCGGGCGCGCTGGGAAAGCGAGGAGGACCCCGCGCGGGAATCAGGGAGCATCGCAGGCTGCCGGGCAGCCCCTCGCGGAAGTGCGGGCTGGGGCGGGCTGGGGCGGGCTGGGGCAGGCCGGGGCGTCCAGCTTACCTTCCTCCGGGGCTTGCCCCGCCGCTTTGATGGAGGTGCAAACATTTGGAGAAGGGCGGGGGTGTAGGGGCTGGGCCGGGGCTCGCAGGGCTGGGGCCCCGGATTTACATGAAACAGGCGTGCGGGAGCCCATTGTTGGCCCCCGGCCTCCCAGACCCGCCCGGCTGGGTCTGATATGGCCGCTCTCGGCCAATGGGAGGCTGCCCGGCACTTCAAAGCGTGCGCGGCCCAATCCGCCGAGCACCCCAGCGCTGCCGCCGCGGCTCTATTTATGGGGAGGGCACTGAATTTCGGTCCCCAGAGACCTACACTAGTAGAGCCTTGGGGAGTTCAAGTGGAATAACTTCTCCCCACCCCTCTGCCCCCGTCCCCTCCCCCCAAGTCTTGGTCCGCGCCCTCCTCCCGGGTCTGTGCCGGGACCCGGGACCCGGGAGCCGTCGCAGGTCTCGGTCCAAGGGGCCCCTTTTCTCGGAAGGGCGGCGGCCAAGAGCAGGGAAGGTGGATCTCAGGTAGCGAGTCTGGGCTTCGGGGACGGCGGGGAGGGGAGCCGGACGGGAGGATGAGCTCCCCTGGCACCGAGAGCGCGGGAAAGAGCCTGCAGTACCGAGTGGACCACCTGCTGAGCGCCGTGGAGAATGAGCTGCAGGCGGGCAGCGAGAAGGGCGACCCCACAGAGCGCGAACTGCGCGTGGGCCTGGAGGAGAGCGAGCTGTGGCTGCGCTTCAAGGAGCTCACCAATGAGATGATCGTGACCAAGAACGGCAGGTGGGTGCGCGTCCGGAGCCCGCGCGCGCCGCGCTCTCCAGCGCCTGGGCAGCCTGGGGGACCTGGCAAGTTCCCGGAGGTCGAACCCTTTTTCTCCTGGAGGAGGGCTTTGTGTTTGTTCCCGCTCTGGTTAACTCCCTCGAGTGCATTTCTACAAGCCCCTCTTCTGGGGCTTTCTCCGCGGAAGCTTGGGGAGGAGGAACGCGCACTTCGGTGTCCCGACCTCGGAGGCATCCCGGGACCCGCGAGGCGCGCCCTGGTCCCCGCCTGTCCCCGCGGGATGTGGCCTCCTGCACTGAAACCCTTCGCCAGGTCCTCTCCTCCCCTCCCTCCCGAGGCCGTGGAGATGGTGAGGAGGCCACCTGGACCTGGCAGGGCTCGGGGAAGGGGGAGCTTGGGAGTCACCCTCGGACGTTCCCCAGGGGGCTCCTCTGTGCCCCGAAATAACTGAGGCCTCTGTGCCCAGCTTCTGCCTCCGGCCTACCTGGTCAGTGTCGGGGTCCTCCTGCGCCCGCCCCGTGTTTTCCAGGAGGATGTTTCCGGTGCTGAAGGTGAACGTGTCTGGCCTGGACCCCAACGCCATGTACTCCTTCCTGCTGGACTTCGTGGCGGCGGACAACCACCGCTGGAAGTACGTGAACGGGGAATGGGTGCCGGGGGGCAAGCCGGAGCCGCAGGCGCCCAGCTGCGTCTACATCCACCCCGACTCGCCCAACTTCGGGGCCCACTGGATGAAGGCTCCCGTCTCCTTCAGCAAAGTCAAGCTCACCAACAAGCTCAACGGAGGGGGCCAGGTAGGTGTGAGGAGCCCGCCAGGTCTGGGACCAGCGAGGAGGGGGCCGCGCTGCGCCTTCTGCACGGGGGTTGTGGGAAGGGACGCTGCTTGAACGGGAGGCGACGTCTGCCCTGGAGAAACTGCCACAGCCTTCTCTAATAAGGCCTTTAGCGCTGTTTATACTAAGCTGATAACATCCACGCCTGGCGAACGGGGAGCGGGAGCACTCCCCTTTGAAGGACTGGAGCTTTTGGGGAACTTCCGTTGTCTAGCCCTAAACTCTCCTGGGGGTGGAAAAGATATCAGCCTTGATGGCAAAGTCGCATTTAAATTTAAACATGCGCCACAGTACTTACTGCGTGGAGTCGGAACAAACTTGTAAAGTCGTGCTTTTCTAAAGAACATTCTTTAGTCGGGGATTGTTCCTGGAAGACCCCAGGTTAGGCAAGTTGCAAACAAGCTCAGTCTTTTAAAAATGACCATAGCCTTCCTGAAAGCCTTAGTACTTTATTCCACCAGGTGAAAGGATTTTGTGATGAGCATTCATTGCTTTTAATGGTGTGTAGCATCTCACATCCCTTTTCCAAACAAGCTGTGGGAATAGCACATATAAACCGCGGAGAAGCCTCCCCTGGTGGAACCCCACTTCCCTCAACAGCAGAGACACTTTCTTGGGATCCAGAGGACTTTCTGCATCCTGGAGAAATGGATGTTTTGCTGTTTTAACGCAGGCCTTTCAGTGCCACCAATCCTGTATCTGTCTCCCTCAGATCATGCTGAACTCCTTGCATAAGTATGAGCCTCGAATCCACATAGTGAGAGTTGGGGGTCCACAGCGCATGATCACCAGCCACTGCTTCCCTGAGACCCAGTTCATAGCGGTGACTGCTTATCAGAACGAGGAGGTGAGAAGGACAGAGGCGGATCGCTTTCCCGGTGTGCTGCGGTGTGGTGTGCTGCTCCGTGGAGATTCTGGAGGAGCGGGGAGACGCGCTAACCCGCACTGAGAGGAAGGCTTCCTGCCCTTTCAAATAATATTCCGGAACTTGAAATGGAAGCACAGGAGAGAACTGTTTAAATTAAGTCCCCATTCAAACATTTTCCCCTTGAATTCTCCATACAAGTGTTTAAAACTAGAAACAACTTCTCAATGCTCAAAATGAAAAGATCCAAAAAGCATTCAGGTTAAATGGTGTGAGAATTTCTTGAGAACAAGACTTGAGTGAGAGAGGGGCATGTCCTTCCTTGGAAATCTTCCCCAAAGGGTGGGGGGGCAACCCCTCAAATCTCTGCAGTGTGAAGACTCAACTAGATACAAGCTACTGCATAGGTGCCTGTAAATCTATGCCTAAGCCCAACCCCAAAGTACTGCAAATTCGACATTAGTTGGATACCTTGTTGGTGTTGACGTTGACCGAAAACTAGAACTTCCAGGTCTCTATTTCCTAAGCAGCCCCAGACTGTGTTTTCAGCCATTTCTGATTTATACACATGGAACATTGTTAGTAGTAGGTTAAATTTATTGTGAATCCCACTCAGAACATTGACATTGAAAATTTTTCATAAGCATGCTACTCTGTACAATTACTCAGCTATTTTCAGTTCCAAATAGAAAACTGTATGTGGAAAGAAGTCTGATTATATTTGAATATTTAAAAGTGGTACTGGCATTTCTCAATTTCTTGGTGCCAAATTAAATCCCCTGGCTAATAGGGAATATACTAGTAAATGCAATTTCTTGTTTTTCAGATCACAGCTCTTAAAATTAAGTACAATCCATTTGCAAAAGCTTTCCTTGATGCAAAGGAAAGGTGAGAGAATTCTAACTATAAATACCCTTGGGCAAAGAAGTATGCAGAAAGATGAAATATTGCTGCACATACTCTTTTCTGAATTTCCTTATTTTTGAAAATTCGATATACTTTTTTTTTTTCATTTTGATAGAAGTGATCACAAAGAGATGATGGAGGAACCCGGAGACAGCCAGCAACCTGGGTACTCCCAATGTACGGTTTGTTGCACTCTGTCATGTCATTCTGCGTCATCGGGACTAGACTTGCTGAGAGCTGGGAAGTGGAGATGGAGAAGACAAGGGTGTTTCTGGGTGTGCCTGGGATGTAAGATTGCCTTTTTGCCATGCGAGGCTCTTGGCCCTGTGATGTTGAAGCTGTGTTGCCCATCTAACCTCTGCTCTAATCGGGGCTGTGGATACTCTCCTGGGTGCTTTTGTTTTGCCGTGAGGCAGCTGCCACCATGCCTGGGGTGGATCATTGAGACCTAGCTGGGTGTTTGGACTCTCCTGTATTAGGTAGGCAACAGGAGAATCTAGCTCATTACCTCCTCTTTGAGGCTTTCATTAATGGTTGAAGAGCCATCTTTCCAATGATGCTTAGGAACCAAATTTTTCCTTAGCCCTTTGGTTCTAGGAATGTCTCACCAGCTCCTGTGGCTCTGAGGATGAGAGAGTTGGATTTAAGTCTAGCTCCCTCTAGGACTTTCAGGAGTCAGAGTGCAGGATAGAGGATTATACGGCAGCATTTGTTGGGAGAAACGCTCTCTCTCATCCTGGTCCGTCCTCTCCACCCGGGGAAGGGACTTGGAGATATTAAACAATGAACGCGGTAGCACTGGCTGGTCAAGAGGCTGGATGAATCAACAGGGCACACTCCTCCTTACACAGGCATTTTCTATTCTGTAGATTTTTCATCATTTCCTAGGCTGATTGAACAACCAGAAAGGCAGTCACTTGAGTAGAGTGAGCCACTGCTCTGGCCAGGGCCGGCTGGGCAGCCAGGGCACGTCTGCACCCTTCCTTCCAGTGCTGCCTGGAGAATTGTTAGTAGTTTGGAAATTGAAGCCACAGTAGTTGTCCCGCTAGGGGTTGCTTTTTCTCAATCAAAACAACAAAGCTTGAAGAGTGTAGAAGAGGACGGGCACGGTGGCTCACGCCTGTAATCCCAACACTTTGGGAGGCCAAGTTGGATGGATCATTTGAGATCAGGGAGTTAGAGACCAGCCTGGCCAATATGGTGAAACCTCATCTCTACTAAAAATACAAAAATTGTCAGGCATGATGGTGGGCGCCTGTAATCCCAGCTACTTGGGAGGCTGAGGCATGAGAATCCCTTGAACCTGAGAGGCGGAGATTGCAATAAGCCAAGATCACACCACTGCACTCCAGCCTGGGTGACAGAATGAAACTCCCAGTCTCAGAGGAGAAAAAAATGAGTGGACAAGAAATTGTAGTTTTAGAGGAAGGAAGGGGAGTCTTGGAAGAACTTTCTGATTCTCCTGGGGAGAATGGGGGGAGCTTAAACCAGGAGAGTGAGCAGTAAAAGGGTCTACCCCCAGCTAGGAAGGCACCTCCCGTCTCTGTGGGTGGCAGGAGGAGAAGGGGAGGGCACCCTTGTCTAAGCACCACCCCACCTCTCTCAGCATCTCTCACCTGCTCTCTGCCTGTGGTTACATTGTATTCATGCTCAGTGGAGGAAAGCTCACCTGCCTTGGGGAATAGTAGATCTCAAAGCAATCCAGAGGATTCTCAGGAGGAAACAGCTTAGGTTGCCTGAGGCCAGGCTCCTGGGTTTACTCAGGTACACACAGGATTGGAAGCCTTGGGTTACCTGTGGTAGTGAGTGTGGGGCTGATGGCCTCAGATGTCTTGTGAGGCAGACTGTGTCCTAAGTATGAGACACTCAGGGTGCTTCCCCCATCAGGGGCCCCTGAGGGGAAGGTGGGAAGTCACTGGCCTGGGCTCTGCTCTCTGGAGTGATGGAGGGACAGTCCCTGGCCTGGGCTCTGCTCTCTGGAGTGATGGAGGGAGAGTCCCTGGCCTGGGCTCTGCTCTCTGGAGTGATGGAGGGAGAGTCCCTGGCCTGGGCTCTGCTCTCTGGAGTGATGGAGGGACAGTCCCTGGCCTGGGCTCTGCTCTCTGGAGAGATGGAGGGAGCACTAATGCAGGTTACTCAGCACTGTCTTTTCTCACAGCAGGGGGGTGGCTTCTTCCTGGAACCAGCACCCTGTGTCCACCTGCAAATCCTCATCCTCAGTTTGGAGGTGCCCTCTCCCTCCCCTCCACGCACAGCTGTGACAGGTACCCAACCCTGAGGAGCCACCGGTCCTCACCCTACCCCAGCCCCTATGCTCATCGGAACAATTCTCCAAGTGAGTCCTCAGCCTCATTCTGCCAGGGGTTGGTGGGTGGCTGCAAGACCACTTTGGGAAAGGCATTCTGCAGGAGTCTAGAATCTAAAAAAATGGAGACGGTTTTCTGGAACACATACCCAAGCCCAGTTTTTTAGTAGCTCAAGAGAAGATCTTCAATTTATGTCTCCGCCACTGCCGCTGCTGGCGGAACAACCACGGACACCCAGATCAGAGGCTTGCATCCTTGCACAGGCCTCAGAGCTGCTGCTCCAGGTTTTGAAAATGACAGATTCCTGGGCCTCTCCACAGAACCATGGTCGATCCTTAGGAGGAGAGCCCAGGTTTGAGTCTTCTATGAACCTCTCTAAAGTGACAATGATGGGCAGCCAGGCTCAAGAATTCCTGACTACACCAGTGATTCTCCAAATACGGTGCCCAGGCCAGAGCCTCAGCACCACCCGAGAGTGGGCACAGTCTCAGGCCCCACCCCAGACTGACAGGCAGCAGCTCTTGGTGGGGCCCGGCAATGTGTGCTTTTTTTTGAGACGGAGTCTCGCTCTGTCGCCCAGGCTGGAGTGCAGTCGCACGATCTCGGCTCACTGCAAGCTCCGCCTCTCGGGTTCACGCCATTCTCCTGCCTCAGCCTCCCAAGGAGCTGGGACTACAGGTGCCTGCCACCAGGCCTGGCTAATTTTTTTGTATTTTTAGTAGAGACGGGGTTTCACCGTGTTAGCCAGGATGGTCTCGATCTTCTGACCTCGTGATCCACCCGCCTCGGCCTCCCAAAGTGCTGGGATTACAGGCGTGAGCCACCACGCCTGGCCAGTGTGCTTTTAAAAGCCTTCCAGGCCATTCCGATGCATGCTCCAATATTAGGAACACTGGGATAGACCATAAAGATCCCCTGGCCTAATTCTCTCTATAACACTGTATATGTCTAGACTTAATTTTGTCTGGCTCCAAAAGAAGGAAAATAGCTAAAGAATACCATAAAACAATTAAGCAATTAAAGCTGATTTGAAATGAAAGGACCTTATTGGGTTAGGAAGTCACTGGGACTTGTTCAACCAGAGGCTAGACTCTGAGGCAGGAAGATCTTATTTCTAATTTTGCCTGGAGTAATGGTTTCTATCGCCCATTCTTATGAAGTAATCACTGGTAAAAAGGCAGGGTAAAGTTATATTTATTTTTAAAGATAAGTAATTCCAAGTCAGTGATTGTAAGTAAGATTCAATGTCTACAGGGCATCTACTGATAATGATGATAAGGGAAAAAGCTTGGGTTTACCAGGGTATGTTTTCAAATACATATATTTGGCAATAAATCTTGCCCCTGATAACCATGTAAATAGACTAATGGATTGTTTTCTACAGTTAATATCCCATGTACATTTTGTTTTCAGTGTTACGTAGCTTCAGTTATTGGTGGTATTTCACTGTACTTTGTTGTTCTTGGAAGACACCATCTATAATTGCACTTTGTTACCTTCCCCCCTTAGCCTATTCTGACAACTCACCTGCATGTTTATCCATGCTGCAATCCCATGACAATTGGTCCAGCCTTGGAATGCCTGCCCATCCCAGCATGCTCCCCGTGAGCCACAATGCCAGCCCACCTACCAGCTCCAGGTAATGTATGTCCAGGACCTGGTGCAAAGCATCCTGGGAGCTCTGCCTGTGACTTCACGCTGTTTCCATTCCCATAGGCCCTTAGTCCTTATTCTCCTTGGTCCCTGTGGGTGGTTGGGTCTTTATTTAGAATTCTTTATTAGCCAGCTATGCCCAGGGATTGCAGGTGACATGACTGCCGAGTTCCTGTTTGCAGTCTGTTCGCTGGAAGGACTGGGCTCCTTTACAACCCAGGTGTGGAATGGGAGCTGCGCTATCCCATCCCTGAATGAAACCAGGGTCCCCATCCTGGTTCTGCCACTTACTGGTTCACGTGATGGACAAGTCTTTTAGCCTCTCTGGGCCTCAGTTTCCTCACATATAAAAGGAAGGTGGTAAAAAAATAACCCAGCCTCGGCCTGTCTCCTACAGGGTTGTTGGGGTCAGTAGGTAGAGCTTAAAGAGATCGTTTCGGAACCTTTTCCAACAAAAGCTAGTAAATGAAGGAAATGAGTTTATTGGCTTTTCTATGGATACAGGCTCGAAGTCTTTAATATATGTGCTAGGTAACTGGTAAACAATGATGACTATTTTGTTACCAACTTGCAAGTTATGCAGAGGGAAAAAGGCTTACAAATTAAGCAGGCTGGTAAATGTCTTACATTTCTTCATAGGATGAATATAAAAACCTAAAATACCAAAGCTAGAAGTCAACCCTCACTTTCTAGGGAGGAAGGAGGGCCAGAGATATTAAATGATTGGACCAGCTCACAGCAGAGTGAGCCTGGAATTAAGTGATCTTGACCTCAAAGGCAATGCACTTCATTTTCTAGAATACCAAAATATGCCTGCGATCTTAATTCTTGTCTAGAAAACAGTTCCTTCATAATAAGAATTCAATTGCCCGCGGTTAGAAACAGAGCAACAATGCGTAAACAAGCGAAGCTTTCAGGGGCTCCAAGAGCATCGCCCCAGAAGCCTGCACCCGATCAGATGACCCGCACACTGCAAGCTGTTGACAGAGGCCCCACCCGAGGGTCTCAGTGTGGCTCTAATTGGGCATCTTAGAACCTGAAGCTTTCATTTGTAAAATGGCATAAAAATCTGCCTTGATTAACTCAGACTTGTTTAAAACAGTATGGTGATACAACATAAGGTCTCATTATTCACTTGTAGAAAGACAAGGTTATTTCCCAAAATAAAATCTTACCATAATTGAATGCTATCCACTTCCATGTGCTTAGACTGGAGAATTCAATAGTCATTTCCACCTTCCTCATTTTATGCCTTGAGAAACACAGCCTATAAGTAGTCTCAGGCAAAGTGTAATGTGACACAGCTAGGTAAAGGCGGAACTGGGAATGGCTTCCTAGTCTGACTGCCAGGTGCTTTTCTTGCTGCTGGGCACCATGCTAGCACACCTATGTACTGAACAGGACAAAGTGCAGGGAATTGTGTCTGTACTGGAGTTACTCTAAGGAATGTCTGCTGCTTAGTGTTTGAGGAGAGGCTGGTCTTCATCGTGAGAATCACTGCGGTGGTGGGGGTGGGGTGTCCTAGATAAAAACATGTGTACTTAAGCCCATCCTCAGTAACTTTTGGTTGAGACTATCTGAAAAGTTTTATTCTGAATGAGAGTGCAAAACTACTGGTCTGAGTCTTTCTTTTCTGTTTTGTGTGTTTGTTTGACGGAGTTTCACTCTTGTTGCCCAGACTGGAGTGCAATGGTGCAATCCCAGCTCACTGCAACATCTGCCTCCCGGGTTCAAGCGATTCTCCTGCCTCAGCCTCCCAAGTAGCTGGGATTACAGGCATGTGCCACCATGCCCAGCCAATTTTTTGTATTTAGTAGAGACGGGGTTTCACCATGTTAGTCAGGCTGGCCTTGAACTCCTGACATCAGCTGATCCACCTGCCTTGGCCTCCCAAAGTACTGGGATTACAGGCATCACCCACTGCGGCTGGCCTGGTATGAGTCTTTCGCAGTGAAACTTAACAGCGCTCTTTCATGAGCTCTGAATATGTGAATAATCTTTTCAGTCATCTTCCTGATGATTTTGTTTCTTATTAATAGATACGACAATAACTTCTATACATCACAGAATGTGCTTGTGAGTCCTTTAATAATTTGGAGAAAATGACCTGTTTGAAAGAAGAAAACTGTCATATTACACAGTCACTCCGAATGGGATTTCTGGTGTGTTTTTCCATCCTTAGCTGGCCTGCAGCCCCTGCCCAGGCCCTGCTCACTGGTGTCTTTCTGTTGCAGTCAGTACCCCAGCCTGTGGTCTGTGAGCAACGGCGCCGTCACCCCGGGCTCCCAGGCAGCAGCCGTGTCCAACGGGCTGGGGGCCCAGTTCTTCCGGGGCTCCCCCGCGCACTACACACCCCTCACCCATCCGGTCTCGGCGCCCTCTTCCTCGGGATCCCCACTGTACGAAGGGGCGGCCGCGGCCACAGACATCGTGGACAGCCAGTACGACGCCGCAGCCCAAGGCCGCCTCATAGCCTCATGGACACCTGTGTCGCCACCTTCCATGTGAAGCAGCAAGGCCCAGGTCCCGAAAGATGCAGTGACTTTTTGTCGTGGCAGCCAGTGGTGACTGGATTGACCTACTAGGTACCCAGTGGCAGTCTCAGGTTAAGAAGGAAATGCAGCCTCAGTAACTTCCTTTTCAAAGCAGTGGAGGAGCACACGGCACCTTTCCCCAGAGCCCCAGCATCCCTTGCTCACACCTGCAGTAGCGGTGCTGTCCCAGGTGGCTTACAGATGAACCCAACTGTGGAGATGATGCAGTTGGCCCAACCTCACTGACGGTGAAAAAATGTTTGCCAGGGTCCAGAAACTTTTTTTGGTTTATTTCTCATACAGTGTATTGGCAACTTTGGCACACCAGAATTTGTAAACTCCACCAGTCCTACTTTAGTGAGATAAAAAGCACACTCTTAATCTTCTTCCTTGTTGCTTTCAAGTAGTTAGAGTTGAGCTGTTAAGGACAGAATAAAATCATAGTTGAGGACAGCAGGTTTTAGTTGAATTGAAAATTTGACTGCTCTGCCCCCTAGAATGTGTGTATTTTAAGCATATGTAGCTAATCTCTTGTGTTGTTAAACTATAACTGTTTCATATTTTTCTTTTGACAAAGTAGCCAAAGACAATCAGCAGAAAGCATTTTCTGCAAAATAAACGCAATATGCAAAATGTGATTCGTCCAGTTATTAGTGAAGCCCCTCCTTTTGTGAGTATTTACTGTTTATTGTAGCTGGTGGTAAAGACCTTATCCCCAAAAAGCATTTTAATCTATTAAGAACTTTAATATTGTATCTAATTAGTTGCAAAACTGGAAGTGAAATTTGCATAGACTTAGTGCTAATTGCCACAGCAACTTAAAAGATGTTAAGTAATTTTTAAGAGATTTACTCAACATTGAATCATGGATGATGTGGATAAAGACAGAACCTAGAACATACTGATGTCATCAAGATGAATATGGGCTGTCCACCCTATTCAAGCTAAAGTACTGTACATAAAATAAATGGATAAAAAGTTATCATTTGTCAATGAAAAGTGTGGTTACCGTAGCACTTTGAACAAAATGGCATTTATAAATATCTTTCCCGCTGCTTTTTCTCAAAAGCAAAACACAACTGCAATGGCGCTGGATTGGGACAATTTCTCCATCTAGTGGCAGAATCCTTAATGTTGACCCTACTTCCAGCTTAGTATTCCAAACCTTGTATTCCTTAGTATTCCAAGTACACCTTAGTATTCCTTAGTATTCGAAGTTACAGGTGGCCAGTAGGTTAGAGCTGGGTTAGTAATGCAGGAGTGTCAAAGCGGCATTATGAATATACTAGCAACATGGACATTAAGGCTCAGGGGTATGATATCGCCCACAGGCGTAGCAAAAGTTGTTTTTTCCAAGTCAGCGTTGCTAACTTTACCACTTGTCCAACTCTGACTTCTTTGGACTCCACTTACCAGTTCTAGGACAAAGTGGTGTTTAGTTTGTTTGTTTTTGCTTTATTGAGTATAAATCCAGAGATGACGTGTAAATAGCTAGCTTTTTAGCATCATTTGTGCCTGCTTTCCAAGCAGGACATGCTTATCGTAAATTATCATTTAAAAGTTTTTCTTGGTTTTACGACTACTCATTTGGCAATACCCCCAAATCAGGAGATTGATTGAAGTATTTTGGGAGAATACATTGATTAAACCCACTGTCCAGGTAGTGTTGGGAAGTAGAACTAGTTCCAGACATCTGGACTGTGGCTTCTAATTGCATAGGTGCTGGTTCTGCTGGAGGAGGTCTGGGGGACATTTGGGAAGGGGTTAAGGGCAGGCAGTGCCACCCTGTGATCCCAGTGTCCGGTGATCCCCTCTGCACAGTCCACCACCTCACTGAACCCTTGTCCATCTCCACAACCCTGACTGCCTGGGTTTTGTATTTTCAGGGTCTGTTCCAGTGCTGGCCCCTTTGCGGGCATCAGTAACACTAATAGTGTGGGAATAAGAGGAAAACGTTGTCGACTGAGCTTGGGCAGCTGAAGCGTACAACTGGGGAACGTGGCCCCACTGTGGGGGCTGTGGGGAGACTGAGTCACATGCCCCTCCCCTGGGACCTTAAGCTCTGAGGTTGGGGGGAAGACCATTTTCACATGTGGAAGATAGATGACGACTTGAGAGTTTGAGTTTCTAAAGGTGTCCCAGAGTTCAAATTCTAGGAATTAACATTTTAATAATTCAAACATGGTCTTTCTGGTTATGCAATGTGGGCAGTGGCAGCTGTATACTGGAAAGAGCCTGGAATTTGGTATAAAAGGCCTGGATTTTGGTGTTCATTTGGCTGACTTGCTGTGAGACCCTAGGAAAGTTATCTACTCCCAAACTTCAATTTTCTGAACTGTAAAAATGGAGGAAGAAAATGCTTAACCATCAGGGTGGTTATAAGAAATAAAAGAAATAATTGCCCAGCGCGGTGGCTCATGCCTGTAATCCTAGCACTTTGGGAGGCCAAGGCAGGCAGATCACCTGAGGTTGGGAGTTTGAGACCAGTCTGACCAACATGGAGAAAACTGTCTGTACTAAAAATGCAAACTTAGCTGGGTGTGGTGGCGCATGCCTGTAACCCCAGCTACTTGGGAGGCTGAGGCAGGAGAATCGCTTGAACCTGGGAGGCGGAGGTTGTGGTGAGCCAAGAACGCGCCATTGCACTCCAGCCTGGGCAACAAGAGCAAAAACTCCGTCTCAAAAAAAAGAAAAAAAAAAAAGATATAATCTTAGAGAGTTAGACATCGCAGTTAAGATTCTGAGCCCATAAGACTCCTTGTAAACCCAGCTCTGTTTATGAAGCCCTTATAACAAATAACAAGACGCTGCTGCACATGAGAAACTCATGTCAAGCTCTCAGGCCACCTGCCGCAATTTGGAAGGCACATTTCTCATGTCTGTTGGGAAATTCCTCTGAATTATCCTAACATTCAGGTGAGTGCTGACCAAAAAATATTTAGTTCACTCTTGAACATGGAATTCTACAATCTGAGCACCCTGTCTTTGGGGTTTCAGTGGAATTGACCAATATGTAAGGTGGGAGTGATCTTTAAACCTGCAACTGTTTTAATATCTGTGACCTGATCCTATTTTTTATTTTTGTATTGTTTTTGTGACCGGGTCTCGCTCTGTTCCCAAGGCTGGAGTGCAGTGGCCTGATCATAGCTCACTGCATCCGAGAGCTCCTGGGTTCAAGCAATCCTCCCACCTCAGCTTTCCAAGTAGCTGGGACTATGGGTGCACACCACCATATCCGGTTAATTTTTTTTTTTTATTTTTTTGTAGACATGGGGCCTCACCATGTTGCTCAGGCTGGTCTCGAACTCCTACGCTCAAGTTATCCTACCACCTTGGACTTCCAAAGTGCTTGGGATTATAGGTGTGAGCCACTGATCCTAGCCTCTGATCCTCTTATTATATGTATTTTCCTCTGAGAAGAGATAGTAGTGATATATAGGAATTATGCTTTCTAGAAAGACTTTTTTTTTTTTTTTTTTTTTTTGAGACAGGGTCTTACTCCAGTCACCTAGGCTGGAGGGCAGTGGCGTGGTCTTGGCTCACTGCAGCCTCCACTTCCCAGGCTCAAGCGATCCTCCCACCTCAGACTCCGGTGTAGCTTGGACTACAGGCACACACCACCACGCCCAGCTGACTTGTATTTTTTTGTAGAGACGGGGTTTCACTATATTGCCCAGGCTTGTCTTGAACTCCTGAGTTCAAGCGATGCACCTGCCTCAGCCTGCAAAAGTGCTGGAGTTACAGGTGTGAGCCACCTCACCCAGCCAAGAAAAAAAAATTTGAATCGTGCATTTAAAAGGTGAATTTTGAAGACTATATTCCTACTTAGGAATATGGGCAAATCAGTATATGGCATCTGTACAAAGATTAAGACAGTTTACTTATAATCAGGTTTAAAACAGCCTAATCATTAAAACTAGAAGTTAATAGAAAGTTAAAGAGATCCACGACTGTGTTAGTCAGGGTTCTTCGGAAAAACAGAACAAATAGGAGATAGATATTATATATTTGTACTTATGTTTATATTTCTACATATGGAGAGGTTTATGATGAGAATTGGCTCATGCAATTATGGAGGCCAGTAAGTCCCACCATCTGCTGTCTGCAAGCTGGGTAGCCAGGAAAGCTGTCAGCATAATGAGTCCAAGCTGAAAGGCCTGAGAACCAGGTGTGCAGTGTCTGAGTGCAGGCAAAGATGACGGCTCCGCTCAGGCAGAGAGAGCGAACTCAGCCATCCTCTGTCCTTTTGTGCTAAATGGCCCTCAATAGATTGGAAGCTGCTCACCCACATTGGTGAAGGTGATCTTCACTCTGTCTACCAATTCAATACTAACCTCTTCCAGAAATGCCCTCACAGACACCTAGAAATACTCTCTTACCAATTCTCTGGGCATTTTTTAGGCCAGTCAACTTGACACATAAACGTAACCACTGTAAAACCCCAATCTGTTTTCTAGCATACTATTATATTTTAGAAAGTCTTGTGTATTACTAAACAGGAAAATTATGGTGCTGTATAATATAGATACTCAACTTATTACGACAACCTACCGAGAAATACGAGTGCTTTGATATTAAAGCTCCTCCGCAATTTCTAAGGCACTAGTTTTGAGAATAAAAGCTTATTTTTCTTATATTTATGCTTATAATTCTAATATCTTTCTTATCATTAAAAAGAAGAGGCTAGGCTGGGCATGGCGGCACACACCTGTAATCCCAGCACTTTGGGAAGCCAAGGTGGGAGGATTGCTTGAGCCCAGGAGTTTGAGACCAGATTGAGCAACATAGCAAGACCGTAGCTCTACTATATATATATTTTTTAATTAGCCAGGTGTGATAGGACATCTGTGGTCCCAGTTACTCAGGAGACTGAGGTGAGAGGACCACTTGAGCCTAGGAGGCCCAGGCAGCAGTGCCATGATTGTGCCACTGAACTCCAGCCTGGGTGACACGCGTCTTAAAAAAAAAAAGTAATTCCAAAGAAATAAATAATTATACATATAATGAGACTGCAAAAATTTAATAATTCTCAGTTTGGGAATTTTCTTCCTTGATATGTATTCATGTAAGCCAATTATTGGTAAATCAACTTTCTAAACTCAAATCCTTTAAAAGTGATTGTGTTTCATCTTTGTAACAATGACGCACTGTAGGATATAGAAGTGAAAATACAGAGATGACATCTTCTGATCCATTTAGAGACTTGTACAATAAACAAAATGTCAAGTTTTGTCTGTAAGATTTAAATTTCCTATACTTTCTTTTCGGAAACCATCTAAACGTATCATTACCCCCTAAAGGTATCATTATCTAAAACAGTACTTGAGGCTATGCATATTTAATATAAAGGTGAGTCTACCGTTGAGGTTAGCCATTATCTAAATACCTGGAGGGTAAAGCCAACCCATTATTTGCACACACATCAGCAAAATAAAAGCTGACTATTATATGCCACTCAGTTATTGTGGCTCTTTGGTCAATTGCCATCTTCCAGGAAAGCCTGTTCATCAAACAAAGCTAATTTTATTAGACAGGAAGGGATAACATTGCCTCTATAGTTATAGTTATGTCTAAAACAAGGGAAAACAGAAAAAGCTTTTTACAGGGTTTGACCTAGGTCATACAATTTAATCAGATACTGCAAGGCGGAGAATCAGTTGGTATTTGGTGGAGTTTAGGACATCAGCTCTGGAGTGGAGGCTACAGTGGGTGGGGTCCTGGAGTGAGTCTTGATGGGAAGCTATTTCAGCTGGCCCAGTTTCGTCTTCCAGGTGCAAAGTATGTCCTGGAGCAAGCAGCTATTTTTTTTTTAATGCATGATTTCAGTATTTAACATAAACAGGGAAAATCAATCCTAGTCTCATACTGCTTAAAACAGGGACAGAAAATTCTGTTGGTTTTAGTTTCCATTATACAGCAAAAGCTAATTGCTACAGATGGTCACACAAAAGACAACTGCAATGTTAACTCTTGGCATTCATTAGTAGTTTAATTGTTATAAACAACAACACTTGTTACTTTGGACTTATACATATGTCAGTAGACAAAACAAATAACTATAAGAGCTCTTACAGTAATAACATCCAAGTGTTTTGGTAAAATAGTTTATGCTCACTACAATTAAGAATAACTTGATTAACACTTGAGGGTGAATTCCTACAAAATAATGGGTGTATAATGATGATTTTGCACAATTGCATGGGTTTTGACTTTATCCTAGACAGAAATAGAGAGTATGTACCCTCATGGGTAATATTGCAGTTTATCTAAAAATTTTCCATGCAAACTAAAAGGCTAAGTCATCAAATTATATCAGAACAAAGGTTGAGACTTTTGCTCCCATGACAGTTCATTGAAAGGAATAAAAAGACAAATGGCATAGATATTATTATTTCCTCTTATGTACCATCAATGGTGATGAAACATCCCTTCAATTCTGACATCAAATAAATATAAAGAAGTTCATGAAGGCAAACTTTTCGGCAAGCAATACATAACATCCATGCATCAAGTTAAACAGGAAGAGGGATTGGGTGGACATGAAGAAACTAATTAACCTTTGACATAAGCACCAGAGAAAGGAATTGGAAAATACTTTTTTTATTCTTTAAATCTCTCTAAAAGATAATTGACTGTTCAGCAAAAATAATGACAATGCATTATGGGTTTATGATATGTGCTAAAGCAAATATATAGTAGAAATAGCTGTAGGGTTGGGGAGAAATGAAACTATAATATTGTAAGGTATTACATTCTACATTATACTATATGTATTATACATCAAGTGGTATAATGTGACTTGAAGGTAGACTGTGATAAGTTAAAGATGTCTGCTATAATCTCTAAAGCAACAATTAAAATAACAAAGACAACAAAGGAGATAAAATACAATTATAAAAATATTCAGTTCAAAGAAGGCAGAATAAGAGAGAAAAGCAAATAAAAAGATGGGACAATTGGAAAACAAATAGCAAGATGGTAATTTTAAACTTAGCCATGGCTGGGCATCGTGGGTCGTGCCTGAAATCCCAGCACTTTGGGAGGCTGAGGCAGGAGAATCACTTGAAGCCAAGAGTTTGAGACCAGCCTGGGCAACAAAGCAAGGCTGTCTCTAAAAAATACTAAAAGAATGAAAAACAAACAAACAGGCTGGGCATGGTGGCTCATGCCTGTAATCCCAGCCCTTTGGGAGTCCGAGGTGGGCAGATCACGAGGTCAGGAGATCGAGACCATCCTGGCTGACATGGTGAAACCCCGTCTCTACTAAAAATACAAAAAATTAGCCCTATGTGGTGGCGGGCGCCTGTAGTCCCAGGTACTTGGGAGGCTGAGGCAGGAGAATGGCATGAACCCAGGAGGCGGAGCTTGCAGTGAGCCAAGATCGCGCCACTGCACTCCAGCATGGGCGACAGAGCAAGACTCCATCTCAAAAACAAACAAACAAAATAACAAAAAACAAACAAAACAAACAAACAAAAATTTAGTCATATCAATCATCACACTAAGTGTAAATGGTCTAAACATTCCAAATAAAAGACATAGATGGTCAGATATAATTTTTTTTAAAAAAAGATCCAATTATATGCTCCATACAACAAATGCAATTTAAATACAAAAGCACAGGGCTGAGCATGGTAGCTCACTCCAGTAATCCCAGCATTTTGGGAGGCTGAGACAGGAGGATCACTTGAGCTCTGGAGTTCAAAACCAGCCTGGGCAACATAAGGAGACCCCGTCTCTGTGAAAAAATAAAAAAAATTAAAAAAAAATTAGCATTCCTGTGGTCTCAGCTACTCAGGAGGCTGAGGTGGCAGGATTGCTTGAACCAAGGAGGTCAAGGGTGCAGCAGGCAGTGATTGCCTCACTACACTCTAGCCTGGGCAGCTAAGTGAGACCCTGTCTTAAAATAAAATGAAATAAATAAATAACCACAGGTGGGGCGCAATGGCTCATGCCTGTAATCCCAGCACTTTGGGAGGCTGAGGTGGGCTGATCACCTAAGGTCAGGGGTTTGAGACCAGCCTGGCCAATATGGCAAAACCCTGTCTCCACTAAAAATACAAAAATTAGCTGGATGTGGTGGCGCATGCCAGTAATCCCAGCTACTTGGGAGGCTGAGGCAGGAGAATTGCCTGAACCCGGGAGGTGAAGGTTGCAGTGAGCTGAAACCATGTCACTGCACTGCAGCCTGGGAAAGAGAGTGAGACTCTGTCTCAAAAAATTATATAGATATAGACATAGATATAGATATAGATAGAGATATAGATAGAGATACAGATACATCTATATATATAGAGAGAGAGAGAGTGAGAGAGAGAGAGAGAACCACAAATAGATTAAAAAATAAGATGATGGAAAAAGATGTGCCATACTAACAGCAGTCAAAAGAAAGCCAGAGTATCCATGTTAATAACAGAAAAACTAGATTTCAGGGTACAGAATGCAGCCAGAAGGAAAGCAGATCAAGCAGGAACAACGGGTTTGGGAGCCAATGCCAGGATGCTGAACCTAGGCTTAGGTGAGTTAAGTTCCTACCTCCAGAGCAGGGGGCCTGGCAACATCTGCCCAGTGGGGTTGGTAACTGTGAGGCATCTCCGGTTCTCTCGCTTTTCAGATGGGAGCATTCATTGACTTTTTATGTTGGGTGTCAGGGGCAGAACAGGCCTCTGGATCAAAAGGAGCTTCACCCAGGCCTGATATATAGATCATGAGATCCTGGATTTTAAGCCCAATGCTGTAATTAATCGTTTCCGAGAGTGACTACTGTGACGGCTGGCATTATTGGCCCTCATTCTTTGCTCTTTCCTGTATCCATGCCCTTCACCATGTAACTTTTCAGTTTCTCCCTCAAAAAACAGAGCCTGCTTTTCCACTCCTTCACTTCTCCTGGTTTGCCATGTGACCTGCTTTGGCCATTAGAACATTAGCAAAAGTTGACAATGTGCTAGTTCTGAGACTAGGTTTAAAAGGCCTTCCCTGTCCTCCCTGCCCCTTGCTTCTATGGCCTTCATGAGACCCTCCCCAGGAGTGAACGTCCTTTCGTTCTGGACCCAGAGGGTACACACGTGGAGTGGAGGCAGCGAAGCAGAACCACAGTGCAACACCGCTTTCCAGGCACCTGCAGCCCCGTGAACACTGTTTTATGCCACTAAGATTTTATGGTGGTTTGTTATGCAGCACAAGCAAACTGTTATAGAAATTGGTACCTATAAGTGGAGCAAGAACGTAGCCAAAACTGAAAACAAGTGGCATTGGCTTTGGGATATCTGATGCGAGGCAAGGGAACTGGTTTAAATCCGAGAGAATGGCCACCCATGTGAACCAGTGCAAAGCGCTGGGAAAGCTGTTTACCTGCAGTAACTGGGAGGAGAGGGGAAATGTACACCATAAACTTGCCGACTTGGCTGAGGTGCTCCCACGCAGAGCATTGTGAGCGCAACCAGGCTCCGCTCAGCTGCATAAGGCAAAGACCTACAAGATAGACATGAGCTCAGGAAGGAAGTGGAAATATTGAGAGGGAATTTAGAGATTCCAGAACCTGCTAGGAAAACAAAATAATTTCTTGTCTTCAGTCTGTATAGACAGGGGACAAAGATCAAATCTAGAGTACCGCCAGAATGATACGGTTTCAGGATAAAGACAAAATAAAGATTGAGAGGGAAACAACCTTTGCCAAGACCTGTGATGTATTATGGTGGTTTATTGAAAACCCTTCCAGCTGGACAAAAGTCTCCTAAAAATCGTGAGGACATGATCCCCCCACTGCCCACCCAGGCAACCATGCGGCCTGAGAGCCCCATCAGCCGTTGGGTGTTTTCTGAGCTACCCATGTTAGGAGGTGCACAGCAAGCATCTACCCTCAAATGGAAACAGGAGTTTTCTCAATTCTCGACATTGCCTCAGCTGAGCTTGTGACAAAAGTGGGCATGAAGGGAGGAGAGAGGCAGGAGCTGGAGCTGTGGCTCCTCACCCCAATGCAAAAATTACTTTGAATCTCAACATTTCCCCCAAAGAGAGAACCATTACCTATCATAGATCAAAGTTCAAGTTATGCAAGAGGGAGCGCCAGGTGGGTATTACTGGCCAAGTCTCAGACTGGCTTTTTACTCCTTGGTCACTCAGATTTAGTAGAGATGATGCCAGGTTCTGGTCAGGAGCTGGGCACTGTTAGAAAATGTATCTGTTTTGCTCAGAAGAAGCACTTTTCAGTGGAGCGATCTGTCTCATTGGCTACTGCTAGGCCAAATGAAAAATGCTGTAAAATCTATTTCGTAAGAAGGTGCATCTGTACATCCTGAACTGTGGGATGTCAGCTTTAACACTAGCCTGCATCAGGACCTTCCTGCCACTGCTATTAGGGTGATCACGGGTTCATTCCCTTCCTCCTGCACAATTACTTCCCTTCATGGAATCCCCTTTAAAGCCAAGGTTTCTTGAGCACTTTCTTTTCCATGAGGTCTTGTGTGTTGGGCTGTTGGTGTTTTAGAATTCGCTTTCTATTCCCGTTTGCCACTGTCCGTGTTGTTCCGCAGCTGGGCATTGATCAGGATGCATTTGAAAGACGTTAGCAAGATCCCACTTTCCTCAGTCCCTTCTCTATTTTATTTATTGTTGAATATTTCCAATGATCCAAATCAAAGTGAATAAAAAATAGCTACTTTATTGTTAAAAAAAAAAAGAAGGCGCATCTTTTCAATAATTCACCAGAAATTTTAATCAACAGTGGACAAAGAAACAGAAGATTGGGCCAGGCGCCGTGGCTCAGGCCTGTAATCCCAGCACTTTGGGAGGCCGAGGCGGGCGGATCACAAGGTCAGGAGATTGAGACCATCATGGCTAACTCGGTGAAACCCCGTCTCTACTAAAAATACAAAAAATTAGCCGGGCGTGGTTGTGGGAGCCTCTGGTCCCAGCTACTCGGGAGGCTGAGGCAGGAGAATGGCGTGAACCCAGAAGGCGGAGCTTGCAGTGAGCCGAGATCGCGCCACTGCACTCCAGCCTGGGCGACAGAGTGAGACTCCGTCTCAAAAAAAAAAAAAAAAAGAAAATAAAAAAAAGAAAAGATTGTATCATACCAGAGGAAGAAAGGGCCACCAGAGAACACAGAAGTAGGTATTGTGAGAATGAAAGTGTTTGAAGAGGATTTCAAAATGTTGGAAATGGCCCTACCTTCAACTCCATGTTATATTAGAGACTCCAGAAGATGACCTCAAAATAGAGAAGAGCCATTGAGCCTGAAACCACCTGATGTTAAAGGTTAGAATATTAACAAAACATAGAATAAACAACAAAGCTATGAGAGATCTAGAAATTAAACGTGATTCTGATGACTCTCAAGTTTGAGCTTGTCTTTGATGCAAGGCACAGGACTTGAGGAAAACACTCTGAAACTCTTGAAAATGTGCTGGCCTTTGAATGTAAGATTCAATAGCTAATAAAGATGCCACCATGCTGGAAAGCCAGAAATATACAGACATGTTATGAGTCTACAAAGAATTATCTAAAACTAAAGAAGTAGGCTGCGTGCGGTGGCTCACGCCTGTAATCCCAGCACTTTGGGAGGCCAAGGCGGGTGGATCACGAGGTCAGGAGATCGAGATCATCCTGGCCAACGTGGTGAAATGCTGTCTCTACTAAAAATACAAAAATTAGCCGGGTGTGGTGGTGTGCACCTGTAGTCCCAGCTGCTTGGGAGGCTGAGGCAAAAGAATCACTTGAAACTGGGAGGCAGAGGTTGCAGTGAACCAAGATCGTGCCACTGCACTCCAGCCTGGGGGACAGAGCGAGACTCCATCTCAAAAAAAAAAAAAAAAAAAAGAAAGAAAGAAAAAAGAAAGAACTAAAGAAGTAAACATATCTTAATGAATTCAAAGAAAGGACATTCAAATTATCAACTCCTCTGGGCATAAAGGCAATGTCAGATTGCAAAGGGCAGTTGCTACCAAAAGCAGAAGGCTGGGTGAGCTCCATACAGAGCTAAAACACAGAGCAGATGCTTTTGGGTGACTTAGAAAGATGCAGAAGATTTCACTTACACTGGGAGTGAAAACGGATTGTGACCAATTTTGATTCTCAGGGCAGGAACATAACTATTAAAAAACAAGCAAGCAATGGAATGTATTAGCAGTGGAGAGCCAGCTGATCACTAGAATGAGAAAATAAAAGTTGAGGAAGAAAAAGTAACAAATATTTTCTAGCTCAACCTGTATTAACAACACATGCTAAGAAAATGTGTAAACAAAGCCAAGTGAGGAAAGGATTCAGTTAGGCAAAAGCAATGTGAATCTTGTTCAGGGTTGTATTAGTTGGGGTTGTATGAGTCAGGTTTCCTTGGAAGGACAGGACGAATAGGAAAGATGTATACGTGAAAGGGAGTTTATTAAGGAGAATTGACTCATACCATCACAAGGTGAAGTCCTACAATAGACCGTCTGCAAGCTGAGGAGCAAGGAAGCCAGTCCAAGTCCCAAAACCTCAAAAGTAGGGAAGCCGACGGTGCAGCCTTCATTCTGTAGCCAAAGGTCCAAGAGCCCCTGGCAAACCACTGGTGCAGGTCCAAGAGTCTAAAAGCTGAAGAGCTTGGGGTCTGATGTTTGAGGGCAGGAAGCATCCAGTATGGGAGAAAGATGAAGGCCAGGAGACTCAGCCAGTCTGCTCTTTCCATTCCTGTTTTTATGCTGGCAGCTGATTAGATGGTGCCCACCCAGACTGAGGATGGGTCTGCCTCTCCCAGTTCACTGACTCAAATTGTTAATCTCCTTTGGCAACACCCTCACAGACGCACCCAGGAACAATACTTTGCATCCTTCAATCCAATCAAGTTGACGCTTAATATTAACCATTACATGGGTCAATTGATAAAAGCTCACCTGGAGAGTGCATGGCAACACCTGTACCTGAAAATTGAGTTTGCCAATGAATTCTATGAGCAGATGGTGCTGCCTCTGAAAACGCAGCTGAGTATCCAGGTTGTGAGTGGAAGAGGAAGAGCAGAAGCTTGTAAGAGACAGACAGAAATAAAAAATGTGTCTCCAACACATTTCATAAAAGGGACTTTAAAAAATCAGTTACTTATTTTAATAAGAGCTTATGATTACTAGTCTGTGGCTCATGCTGCAAGAAAGAGTTAGTGCTGGGCAGAGGAAGCCGCAACCAACTGAGAAATTATTTAAGCCAGAAATTAATCCAATCAAGAGACAGCAATATTTCAGAGACCAGAGACTGAAAACCAATTTCAGAAAGATCTGATCATCAAATTGTTCCTTTGAGAGGTCTTCTAAGGCAAGACGCACATCATGTTCTTAAGTGTAGGGACACACAGCTCGTCACTGTGGACAGACACAACCATCCCAAGTCTTCTCACCTTCAGTCAAAAGCCAATGCTGGAGTGAATCTATTAACTGGCCTCTGCCTGGTTCGAGGTGGCTGTTAGCTAGACAGTCATCTGCCTCTGTTCAAGGTCCCAGTTCTGCCTCATTGAATAATAGTAACTAAAATGCTTCTTTTGATCCACCTGGTGTGAGTGATGAGGGCACTCCATCTTCCACTGACATACACGAATACATTGTCTCTTTCTTTAAATCCAAAAGATGCACCAATAAGTGGCCCCTGTAGAGACAGTTAAGATACTTGATCCAGCCCTGGGCCAGTTCTGTTACCTGTGAGTCATCAAGTCTTCTGTGTCTCTTTCAATGTAAAGTAATTTTGAGATTTTCTTTTTTGGTCTTCATTTACTTAGGTTTGGGGTTATGGGGAGCCTCCATGTCTCAACAACAGATAACTTTTGGACCTAGAAGACCATACCAATCTGTTCAGAGCCTTATCTCAGGAAGGACTTTACTCTGATATTTCTTGTTTCCTTCTCAGAAGGAGCAAATAATCCACCACTAAGGAATGAGGAAATCACTTAGGTGGATACTCTCTTTCACTCTGCTTCTAAGAACAGAGCCTGAACTTGCACTTGAGTAGGGGGATGGTGGCCCCTGATCCTAGTATGTCATATTTGACATCTTGTACAAACACTTGTCTCTTGTTGAGACTCTATGTACCCCCTACCACTGACAATGACTCTACAGGGAGAGTATCTCATTTAGATAAAGAATTCATGTGCCTCTGAATTTCTAGTGAGTTTTATATTGCTTACAGTTTCCTAGCTTTGTAAAACCAAATTCTACCCTTAAGCTGTGTTGACTGGTTTTCATTAGGATAATGCTGGGTAACAAACAACCTCTAAATCTCTAGAGCAGGGGTGTCCAATCTTCTGGCTTCCCTGGGCCACATTGTAAGAAGCAGAATTGTCTTGGGCCACACATGAAATACACTAACACTAATGATAGCTGACGAGCTAAAAAAAAAAAAAAGTCCATGCATAAATCTCATAATGTTTTAAGAAAGTTTACAAACTTGTGTTGGGCTGCATTCAAAGTTGTCCTGGGCCACATGCAACCTGCAGGTTGCAGGTTGGACAAGCTTGCTCTAGAGCTTATGAAACAAATATTTCTGTCTCCCTCACATGGCACGGCAGTGGCTACAGGTTGGGGTCTGTGGCTCTGCTCCAAGCAGGGTGGGTCTACGTATTCATCTATTCTCACGTTGCTAATAAAGACATACCTGAGACTGGGTAATTTATAAAGGAAAGAAGTTTAGTTGGCTCACAGTTTCACATGGCTGGGGAAGACTCACAATCATGGCAGAAGGCAAAGGAGGAGCAAAATCATGTCTTACGTGGCCGCAGGCAAGAGAGCTTGTGCAAGGGAACTCCCCTTTATAAAACTATCAGATCTTGTGAGACTGATCCACTACCATGAGAACACTATGGAGGAAACTGCCCTTACGATTCAGTTACCTCCACCTGGCTCCTCCCTTGACATGTGGGGATTATTACAATTCAAGCTAAGATTTGGGTGGGGACACAGCCAAACCATATCAGTCTAAGTTCAGGCTATGGGTCTTTTCACTGGAGCCCCAGGCTCCCGACCACACTAATCTGGGCACAGCTCTCAGGGTGGAAGGTGGGGACTGTGGAGCTGGCAGGAACTCACCGAGCTTCTTAGACCTGGCAGGCTTCCACTTTTGTTTTCACTCTTGTTCTGTTAGCCAAAGAAAGTCACATGGCCCAGCCCTACATCAATGGGACAGGAATTACACTCCTCTTATGGAATTCAGTGAGAATATTTGGAGTTCATTGTTTAGAAATGATAATACCATTTACCTTAAACTGTGTAACTTTGAGTCAAATGATTCATTTCCAAGTACAATAGTAATTTTTACCCATCACAAATGAATACCCTTAGGTGAAGTGTTATCTTCATATAGCTGTTGGTGTGTATAATTTAAAAATATTGTGTTTAAGTTCTAATTAGTGCAAGTCATGTATTTGATAAAAGATTTCAAATGTAATTAAAATATACTATATAAAATTTAAAAAGTACAAAGCAATACAAGAACAATTTTGAGTAGATGGAGATGTTTGATACCTTGATTTGGTGACGGTATCATGGATGTAGGTATATGTCCAAACTCATTGAAATGTAGACATTAAACATGTGCCATTATTTGTATATCAATTACACCTCAATGAAACATTTAAAAAGCACTTATAAAAGGAAAACCTATCCTTCATTTATTCTTTCTTTCATTTCAACCTGCAATTATTGTACACTACTGATTATAGAAGACTTGTGTTAATAAACATTATTCTTAAAATAAAACTTCCTTCTAAAAAGAAGGAAAAACTTTGAATTACAAAGATATTTATTAATGTGGATAGAAAAATCCCTTAGAAAACAAACAACACAAACAAAACAAAACAAAACTTAAAGCTTGATGCTGTTAGGTGAGGAGCCAGGATGTCTCTTGCGCATTTGAATGAGAAGGGGGTCCTGGCATTATGTTTTATCCCTGACAGAAGAACTAGAATGGGGGACACACACCCATTTTTCTCTGCAGGGTGGCTTTCTCTGGTGAATGGCTTTTTTTGTTTTTTTTTTTTGTTTTTTTTTTTCTTTTGAGATGGAGCCTCGCCCTCCTGCCCAGGCTGGAATGCAGTGGCAGGATCTCGGCTCACTGCAATCTCTGCCTCCTGGGTTCAAGTGATTCTCCTGCTTCTGCCTTCCAAGTAACTGGGATTATGGGTGTGTGCCACCACGCCTGGCTAATTTTTGTAGTTTTAGTGGAGACGGGGTTTTGTCCTGTTGGCCAGGCTGGCCTTGAACTCCTGACTTCAGGTTGTCTGCCAGCCTCTCAAAGTGCTGGGATTATAGACATGAGCCACCATGCCCAGCTGAAAGTTTTAATGAGAAAATATTTTTCCAAATCCTCAATTTCCACGTGTATTCTTTCCTAAAATTGATCTGCCCGAGAAGGTTCTTGGGGTGGAAGTTCTCCCATCCCAACCCTGTCATGGTTGCCTTCTTCCACTTAGAAAGGGTTCCTGCTGGCTCACTGGGACTTGCATTGGCCCAGGTGCTAAAACCTCCAGATGCCCAACAAAAGGACAATTGGACAATTCCAAGGCATCGTAAAGGTCCCAACACTTCCCTCCAATAAATCCCATGAAGAATCTCCATGGTAGAAGGTGCTCACTTCTCAGAGTTCAAACGTGTATCACTGGTTCTAGTCACCTGCAGAAACAAACTGGTTGATCTGAATGCCAGGTTAAATTCCTGGGACACAAAAGCAGTTATCATTTTGGGTACTTATTATTTGTGTGTCACTGTTCTAAGTGCCTTACATATGTGAATTCAACCTCTTCAGAAACCTATCCTATATCTATGGAAAAGAAACTGGAGGTGTGGAGAGGTGAGCTGTCCTGTGCAAGGTCCTGTGTACACTTGTCAGTGGAGCAGGCTGAGTGCAGAGCCCACACTCAGGTGCACTTCCTGACCTCACCATGGAGAGTCCGAGCAGGTACAGACGTGGCTCTGCAATTCTAAGAGGAGGAAGACCTCTGTGAGCTGGTAAACTCTCAAGGGGCAGCCAGCACACCAGGTAACAGAGGAAGAATGGCTTAGCCTAGCCTTACAAAACCCAGGACTGGATGCCAGGTGGGAAGTGGTGGCTGGAGGAAGAGGCAGGTGGTGGGGGTGAGGGTGACCGGTGGTGATGTCATGTGGCAGATGCAAAATGCTGTAGGTCTGAATGGAGAATGGAGGCACAAGAGCAGCATGTAGGCCCTGCAGAGCACCAGCTGCAAATGCGTTCACCTCCCAAACCTTCACATGCAGCTGCTGTCACTGTCCCTCCCTCCCTCCCTTTCACGAGCGTGTACTGAACACTCATTATGTGCTTGGATTGGCATTAGGTGTGTGGTGGTGAGGAACAGGGATGGGTGAAACCCCATTGCGTCGTCTTGGCACTTGCTCTCTAGTGGAGGTAACCCACACTCAACAGAAAAAAGTTTTTAAAAGGAGATACATTCAGATTATGATAAATGTTACCCCCAAAATAAGCAGTGTCTTGGGAAAAAGAACAACTTGGATGAGGAGCACTTGAATGAATGTTGTCAGGAAATGCTTTCCTGGGGAGTGGACCTTGAAGCCAAAACCTGAAGGTCAGAAAGAGCCAGAAACCTGAAGACCTGTGCAAGCATCTCCAGGGCATGAACTTCACACGGAAGGACTTCGAAAGGAGGAATCACTTGTCGTACTCAAGGAGTCAGAAGGCCAACATGGACAGAGCATGGAGAGTAAAAAGGGGGAGATGGAGGAGAAGTGAGGGGTGAGAAAAGTGGCCCTGCACACCCTCCAGGCCCGTCGAGCGTTTGCATTTCGCACTGCATGCACTGACACCATGTTCCAGAGGAGACGAAATTGGATTTGCCTTCCCCTCCCCTGCAAAACAGACTGTTTTTTTAAGAAGGTCTTGTAGGGGAGCAGTAGCAGGGGACAGAGCCAGGAGGCTACTGCGATCTTTTATGTGAGGTACGATGATGCTCTAGACCTAGGGCTGACGTACATTTCTGCTTGCCTTCCCCTTCAAATAATTTTTTAAACTTTATGCTTTCTTGGACATTTGTTAAATTGGCTGGTAAGATTTTGATAATAAGTTTTTATAGTTGTAAAGGTTGCAATTTCCGCACAGACCTAAGTACTAACATTTTAGAATAAAGAGGTTATAAAATGCCTTCAGGCCGGGCGTGGTGGTTCACACCTGTAATTCCAGCACTTTGGGAGGCCGAGGCAGGTGGATTGCCTGAGCTCAGGAGTTTGACACCAGCCTGAGCAACACAGAGAAACCCTGTCTCTACTAAAATACAGAAGAAATTAGCCGGGTGTGGCGGCATGGGCCTGTAGTCGCAGCTACTCGGGAGGCTGAGACAGGAGAATTGCTTGAAACCGTGAGGTGGAAGTTGCAGTGAGCTGAGATCATGCCACTGCACTGCAGCCTGGGTGACAGAGTGAGACTCTGTCTCAAAAAAAAAAAAAAAAGGCCTTCAAATGTACCCAGTGGAATCTTGATATCAAAAAAATTCATACTTAATATTCATTCGTTAGCATACATACAGCTAAAATAATTAGGGATTTTATTTTATTATTATTATTATTTTTTATTTCGATAGGTTATTGGGGAACAGGTGGTGTTTGGTTACACAAGTTCTTTAGCATTGATCTGTTAGATTTTGGTGTACCTGTCACCCAAGCAGTGTACACTGCACCCTATTTGTAGTCTTTTATCCCTCACTCCCCTCCTACAGCTTCCCTGGCATCCCCAGAGTCCATTGTGTCATTCTTATGCCTTTGCATCCTCATAGCTTTGTTCCCACTTATAAGTGAGAACATACGGTGTTTGGTTTTCCATTCCTGAGTTACTTCACTTAGAATGATAGTCTCCAATTCCATCCAGCTGTGAATGCCATTAACTCATTCCTCTTTATGGCTGAATAGTATTGAATCATATATATATAAACCACAGTTTCTTTATGCACTTGTTGCTTGATGGGCATTTGGGTTGGTTCCACGTTTTTGCAACTGTGAATTGTGCTGCTATAAATATGCCTGTGCAAGTATCTTTTTTGTATAATGACTTCTTTTCCTCTGGGTAGATACCCAGTAGTGGGAATTCTTTTATCAGTTCTAGGCACTTTCTGGAGGAGTCTTTAGGGTTTTCTAGGTAAACGATCATATCATCAGCAAACAGCCACAGTTTGACTTCCTCTTTACCGATTTGGATGCCCTTTATTTCTTTCTCTTGTCTGATTGCTCTGGCTAGGACTTCCAGTTCTATGTTGAAGAGGAGTGGGCATCCTTGTCTTGTTTCAGTTCTCAGAGGGAATGCTTTCAACTTTTCCCCATTCAGTATTATGTTGGCTGTGGGTTTGTCATAGATAGCCTTTATTATATTGAGGTATGTCCCTTGTATGCCGATTTTGCTGAGAGTTTTAATCATAAAGGGATGCTGAATTTTGTCAAATGCTTTTTCTGCATCTATTGAGATGATCATGTGATTTTTGTTTTTAATTCTGTTTATGTGATGTATCACATTTATTGATTTGCATATGTTAAACCATCCCTGCATCCCTGGTATAAAACCCACTTGATCATGGTGGATTATCTTTTTGATATGTTGTTGAATTCATCTAGCTAGTATTTTGTTAGTCAGGGATATTGATTTGTAGTTTTTTTTGGTTATGTTCTTTCCTGGTTTTAGTATTAGGGTGATACTGGCTTCATTGAATGATTTAGGGAGGGTTTCCTCTTTATCTTGTGGAATAGTATCAACAGGATTGGTACCAATTATTTGAATATCTGGTAGAATTCTTCTGTGAATCCATCTGGTCCTGGACTTTTTTTTTTTTCTTTTTTTTTCTTTGAGACAAGTTCTGTCACCCAGGCTGGAGTGCAGTGGTGGAATCACAGCTCACTGCAACCTTTGCCTTCCAGGTTCAAGTGATTCTTGTGCCTCAGCCTCCTGAGTAGCTGAGATTAGAGGCATGTGCCACCACGCCCAGCTAATTTTGTATTTTTAGTAGAGAAGTGGTGTCGCTATGTTGGCAAGGGTGGTCTCGAACTCCTAACCTCACGTGATCCACCCACCTCTGCCTCCCAAAGTGCTGAGATTACAGGCATGAGCCACTGCACCTGACCCCTGGACATTTCTTGGTTGGTAAGTTTTAAATTACCATTTCAATCTCGCTCCTTGTTTTTGGTCTGTTGAGGACATCTAATTCTTCCTGATTTAAACTAGGAGTGTTGTATCTTCCAGGAATTTACCCATCTCATCCAGGTTTTCTAGTTTATGCATGTAAAGGTGTTCATAGTAGCCTTGAATGATCTTTTGTATTTCTGTGGTGTCAGTTATAACATCTCCCATTTCATTTCTTATTGAGTTTATTTGGATTTTCTCTCTTCTTTTCTTGGTTAATCTTGCTAATGGTCTATCAATTTTATTTATCTTTTCAAAGAACCAGCTTTTTATTTCATTAATCTTTTGTATTTTTTTTGTTTCAATTTCATCTAGTTCTGCTCTGATCTTGGTTATTTCCTTTCTTCTGCTGGGTTTGGTTTGGTTTGTTCTTCTTTCTCAAGTTCCTTGAGGTGTGACCTTAGAGTGTCTGTTTGTGCTCTTTCAGACTTTTTGATGTAGGCATTTAGGGCTATGAACTTTCCTCTTAGCACTGCCTTTGCTGTGTCCCAGAAGTTTTGATAGGTTGTGTCACTATTATCATTCAGTTCAAATAATTTTTTAATTTCCATCTTAATTTCATTTTTGACCCAATGATGATTCAGGAGCAGGTTATTTAATTTCCATGTATTTGCAGGGTTTTGAAGGTTCCTTTTGGAGTTGATTTCCGGTTTTATTCCACTGTGGTCTGAGAGAGTGCTTGATAAAATTTCGATTTTCTTAAATTTATTGAGGTTCATTTTGTGGCCTTATTATATGGTCTATCTTGGAGAAAGTTCCATGTGCTGTTGTATAGAATGTATATTCTGTAGTTGATGGATGAAATGTTCTGTATATATCTGTTAAGTCCATTTGTTCCAGGGTATAGTTTAAGTCCATTGTTTCTTTGTTGACTTTCTGTCTTGATGACTTGTTTAGTGCTGTCGGTGGAGTATTGAAGTCCCCCACTATTATTGCGTTGCTGTCTATCTCATTTCTTAGGTCTATTAGTAATTGTTTTATAAATTTGGGAGCTCCAGTGTTTGGTGCATATATGTTTAGGATTTTGAAATTTTCCTGCTGGACAAGGCCTTTTATCATTAGATAATGTCCCTCTTTGTCTTTTTAAACTGCTGTTGCTTTAAATTAAAGTTTGTTATGTCTGATATAAGAATAGCTACTCCTGCTTGCTTTTGGTGTCCATTTGCTTAAAATGTCTTTTTCCACCCCCTTATCTTAAATTTGCGAGAGTCCTTACGTGTTAGGTGAGTCTCTTGAAGGCAGCAGATGGTTGGTGAATTCTCATCCATTCTGAAATTCTGTATCTTTTAAGTGGATCATTTAGGCCATTTACATTCAATGTTAGTATTGAGATGTGAGGTACCATTCCATTCATCCTGCTATTTGTTGCCTGTATACCTCAGTTTTTTGTTTTTGCTTTTTAAATTGTATTTTTATTTTATAGGTCCTGTGAGATTTATGTTTTAAGTAGATTCTGTTTTGATGATGTTTCCAATATTTATTTCAAGATTTAGTGTTCCTTTTAGCAGTTCTTGTAGTGGTGGCTCGGTAGTGGTGAATTCTCTCAGCATTTGTTTGTCTGAAAAAGACTCTATCTTTCCTTCATATACAAAGCTTAGTTTCACTGGATACAAAATTCTTGGCTGACAATTGTTTTGTTTGAGGAGGCTGAAGATAGGGCCTCAGTCTCTTCCAGCTTGTAGGGTTTCTGCTGAGAAATATGCTGTTAATGTGATAGGTTTTCCTTTACAGATTACCTGATGCTTTTGTCTTACAGCTCTTCAAATTCTTTCCTTTGTCTTAACTTTAGAGAAACTGATGACAATGTGCCTAGGTGATGATCTTTTTTTGCGATGAATATTCCAGGTGTTTTTTGTGCTTCTTGTGTTTGGATGTCTAGGTCTCTAGCAAGGCTGGGGAATTTTTCCTCGATTACTCCCCCAAATACGTTTTCCAAACTTTTATAAATCTTTCCTTCCTCAAGAACACTGATTATTCTTAGGTTTGGTCGTTTAACATAATCCCAGACTTCTTGGAGCTTTGTTCATATTTTCTTATTCTTTTTTCTTTGTCTTGATTGTATTGGGTTAATTCAAAGAGCTTGTCTTTGAGCTCTGATTTCTTTCTTCTACTTGTTCAATTCTTTTGCTGAGATTTTCCAGAGCATTTTGCATTTCTATAAGGGTGTCCATTGTTTCCTGAAGTTTCGATTGTTTTTTATTTATGCTATTTCCTTGACTATTTCTCCCTTCACTTCTTATAACATTTTTTTGGGTTTTCTTACACTGGGCTTCGCCTTTCTCTGGTGGCTCCCTGATTAGCTTAATAACTAACCTCCTGAATTCTTTTTCAGGTAAATCAGGCATTTCTTCTTGGTTTGGGTCCATTGCTGGTGAGCTAGTGTGATTTTTTTGGAGGTGTTAAAGAACCTTGTTTTGTCATACTACCAGAGTTGTTTTTCTGTTTCCTTCTTATTCGGGTAGACTCTGTCAGAGGGGAGGTCTAGGTCTGAAGGCTGTTGTTCAGATTCTTTTGTCCCATGGGGTGTTCCCTTGATGTAGTTCTCTCCCACTTTTCCTGTGGATGTGGCTTCCTGAGAACCGAGCTATAGTGATTGTTTTCTCTCTTCTGGATTTAGCCACCCAGCAAGTCTACCAGGCTCTGGGTTGGTACTGGGGGTTGTCTGCACAGAGTCCTGTGATGTGAACCACCTGTGGGTTTCTCAGCTGTGGATACCAGCACAGTATTTGGGGTGTCGCCTGGGTTCTACAGGAGCAATCTACTTCCTTCAGGGGGTCTGTGAGTCCTCTCAGCAGGGATTTTAAGTTTTTCTCTTTGAATTTGTATGTTCATTTCACTTGGCCTACAAAAGTATATCCTAATGTAATATGCAACGAATATTAAAACGTTTTTTTTTTCGAGATGGAGTTTCATTCTTATTGCCCAGGCTGGAGTGCAATGGTGTGATCTTGCCTCACCGCAACCTCCCCCTCCCGAGTTCAAGTGATTCTCCTGTCTCAGCCGCCCGAGTAGCTAGGATTACAGGCATGTGCCACCACGCCTGGCTAATTTTGTATTTTTAGTAGAGATGGGGTTTCTTCATGTTTGTAAGGCTGGTCTCGAACTCCCAACCTCAGATGATTCGCCCACCTCAGCCGCCCAAAGTGCTGGGATTACAGGTGTGAGCCACTGTGCCCAGCCTAAAACTTTTTTATTGATCTTTCTATCGTATTTCTAGACACACATACACACACACACACACACACACATCACACTGTATGTATCTATTTACCCATTCATCTGTACAATATATTCCATTTTTTTTCTGTTTACTTTCCTTTAAATATAAGACTCTTAATGTTAGACATTTTCTTCTGGACTGAGGTATCATGATATAATTAGTACACAATTTTTCAATATAGCATAAATATAATACAAAATTCAGTAAACAATTTTAACAATTTACAAGTAAAATTTTATTTGACATCTTATCCCTGCTAAGATTTACTAGTGGTGGTGATCAGTGGGAATATTGAGGTTTTTACTTTTTACTTAAGATAATTTTTAAATTGTCCTTTTCATACAATGCCCAAGGTTTTTAAACCTTAGGTCAATGTCTTGACGGGTGAACTGTTAGCCTTTCTCTTGCAAAACTGAAAAAAAGCAGTTTTGAAGTGGGATTGGAAGAGGAGAACATGTTCCTTAGCTTGGGGCTCAGCGCCTCTGAGGAGCTATTCTGTGTTTATTTCTTATGCTTCCTTTCCTAACTCACAAATAGTGTTCCTTTGTCTTCTGTTCTCAACCCATCTTTTCTCATAGTTCTCCTATTTCTGCTTTATGCTCTTGTTTTTTAGAGTTTATCTTTTAATTATCACTTTTTCTTCATTCAAAATAATTGGCCCCAATTTTGATATTTTCCTTGGTACATTATTTCTGTTGTCTTATTATTATTATTATTATTGAGATATAATTAACATCTAATAAAATGCACTGGCCTTTAGTGTTCTTAATGCATTTCAACATTGTATCCACCTCTGTAACAATCACTCAAAACAAGATAGAAAATATTTCCATCATCACAAAATTTCCTCACATCCCCTCCAATCAACTCTCCAACTCCCTCCACCAAGCAACCACTTTCTAACTTTTATCATTATAGACCAATTTAACACAACTGGAATCATAAATATGTACTCTTGAGTTTTTAATTTGTTTAACTGTTATATATCTCTTTATTTATTCTTATTTTGAAATAATTTCAGACTTATAAAAAGTTGCAAAAATAATAGATAAAAGAGCTGTAAGTTAACATTGCACTTAACCATAGTAAACTTACCAAAACCAGAAACAGTATACTACTAGTATCTAGTAAATTATCTACAAACTTTGTTCAAATTTTGCCAACCGTTCCACAAATGTCCTTTTCTAATTAGTTTGTTTCTTCTTTTTTTTTTTAATTACTAAATACATTCTATTGTCTATCTGATCTCTTTTTGGGCCACAGAATTGTTTTCAGTTTTTATCCATTAAAAATAAAGCTGTGATGCATATTCTCGTCACATCCTTTTATGAACATATTTTCATTTTTCCTGAGTATATACCTAGAGATAAAATTACTCAATCATAGGGTTAGTGAATATTCAACTTGAGAAGAAACTGTTGAACAGGTTCCCCAAGTAATTGTACCATTTTAAATGCCCGCCAGCAATGTGTTAGCATTCTAATTGTCCCACTTCCTTGCCAATACATGGTGTTGTCGTCATTTTTGATTCTAGTAATTTTAGTGCATGTGAAATGATATCTCATGGTGGTTTTAACTTGCATTTGCCTGATGTTGAGCACCTTTTAAATATTCTTTTTGCCCATTCATATATTTTATCTGTGGTGTCCAAGTTTTTTGCATATTTTTAAATTAGGTTATTTGTCTTTTCATTGTCTAATTGTTTCATCATTGCCAATTTGTCAGAAGTCTCTATACATGATGAATGAGTCCATTGCAAGATACGTGTGCTGTGAAGATTTTCCCTAATCAGTGATTTACCTATTTATTTTCTTAGTAGTAGACATTCTGAGTAGAAATTTTAAAGTCTAGTTTATCAATTTTGTTTCCTTTTATAGATAGTGTTTCTGATGTCCTAAGAGATCTTTTCTGAATTGAAAAATTGCGAAGCTATTCTCCTTTGCTTTTCTTTTCTTTTTTCTTTTCTTTATTTTGTTCTCTCTCTCTTTCTCCCCTCCCTTCCTCCCTCCCTCCCTCCTCCTTTCCTTCCTCCCTTCCTGCCCTTCCCTTCACTTCCCTTCTGTTCCCTTCCCTTCCTTCCCTCCCTCTCTCCTTCCCTCTTTCCCTCTCTCCCTCCCCCCTTCTCTCCCTCCCTCCCTCCCTCCTTCCTTCCTTCTCTCCTTTCCTTCCTCCCTTTCTTCTTTTCTTTCTTTCTGCAAGGATCTCACTCTGTTGCCTCAGCTGGTGTGCAGTAGTGCGATCTTGGCTCACTGCAGCCTCAACCTCCTGGCCTCAACTGATCCTCTCACCTCAACCTCCCGAGTAGCTGGGACTACAGACTTGCACCACCACACCTGGCCAATTTTTGTATTTTTGTAGAGACAGGGTCTCGCCATGTTGCCCAGGCTTCTTGTATATATTCCTGCAGAAGTTCTGCTGCCCTCAGTTTTTTGCTCAGGCCTGCAACCTGCCACGTGTTATTTTCTGGCTATGGAGGGAGATGGGGTCTGGTGTTATCTCTTTTTTCCTGGGGATATCTAGCTTTTCCAACTATAGTTTTATTCTTTTTTTAAAGTTCATGAGGTTAAACAACACCAACTATAGTTTAAAAAAGAGGTTCTTTTTCACACTGGTTGAAAGTTAATTGCCCATACATGTGTGCTCTACTCTTGACTCTTTATTCTGTTCCATTGATCTATTTTCCTATCCTTATGCCAATATTTTACTGTCTGAATTATTGTAAGTTTATAATCATTCTTAAATCCAAGGAGCACAAGTCCTCTAAACTTGTTTTTCTTTGTCAAAAATTATATGGCTGTTTTAGATTTGTTTTTGCGTTTCCACATACATTTTAGAATCAATTTGTCTGATTCTAAAAAAAAAAAAAAAAACACCAAAAACCCCTGCTATCCTACTGCAGTTTTGCTGGGGTTTGCATTAAATTTATAAACCATTTTAGGTTCATGCCATGATGACAATCTTGTGTCTTCCAGCCCATAAACATGTACCATTTTTTCAGTTTATTTAAATCTTATTTAGTTTCCCTCAGTGGGGTTTTATGGTTTCCAGCACAGAGGCCTTGCGTGTCCTTTTGAGATATATTTCTAGAAACTTGATTTTCTTTTGGGGTTATTATAAAAAATTTACTGTTGTAATTTCACTTTTCAATTGTTGTTAGTATGTAGAAATACAGTTATTTTTGTATATTGACCTTGTGTGCTGTGACTCTGAAGACCACTTATTCTAGTAGTTTTGGGGTTTTCTGTATAAACATATAGATCACTTGTGAATTCTGAGAGTTTTGCTTCTTTGCCAATCTGTTTGCCTTTTACATAATATTCTGGTCCTATGTCAGGTGTTAAGACCTCTGCTAAAGTCTTGAGTAGAAATGGTGACAGTAGACATCAGTCAGTGCCTTTTCTCAATCTTAGGAAAATAGAATGTAATATATCACCATTTCATATGATGTCTGTGGTTAGATCTTCTAGATTGAGGGCATTCCTTTGTATTCCTATTTTTTCTGAGAATTATTATTACAAAGGCATGTTGAATTTTATCAAATGCTGTTTCCACAACCACTAAGATGATCATATCGTCTTTTCTCTTTTATTCTGTTAATGTGGTGCATTATATGAATTGGTTCCAAATGTTAATCCAACCTTGCATTCCTTGGATAAACCCCACTTGGTCATTGTGTAGTAGACTTCTTATCTACTACTGGATTTTGTTTGCTAACATTTTCATGGGGATTTTGGTTACCAAATTCCTAAGGGATGTAGATATGGCTTTTTTTTTTCTTTGGTAACATCTTTGTCAATTTTTGTTATTAAGGTGTGCTGCTCTCACAAAATGCTTTATAAAATTTACCAGTAAAGCCATTTGGCCCTGGAGGTTTTTTATGTGGAAAAGTTTTTAATTAATATTTTAATTTTCTAAATAGATATGAAGCTATCTGGATTTTCTGTTTCTTCTGCAGTCACTTTTGGTAACTAATATCTTTTAAATAATTTGTCCATTAATCTAAGTTATTGAATTTAGAAACATTAGATTTTCCATAAAAATCTCTTATTCTTTTTAATGTCTATAGGGACTCTGGTGATGTTGCTTCTTGATTCCTATTCTTACAAATTTGAGTGTTCCCTCTCATTGTTTTATCCATCCAGTTAGAGGTTTATCAGTTTTAATTGATTTTTCAAGGAACCATAATTTGCTTTTATTAATTTTCTCCCTTTTATATTTTCTATTTCAATGATTCCACTTTTACTGGTATTGTTTCTTTTCTCTACTTTGGGTTTAATGTAGTATTCTTTCTCTAGGTTATTAAGAAGGAAATCCACGTCATTGACTTTAAAACTCTCTTTTTTCCTAACAGAAGCATTTAATATTATACATTTTTCCTCTAAAGTCAGTTTTAGCTGCATACAACAAATTTTGGTATGTGTTTTATCATTTGGTCCACAATATTTCACAATTTTTCTGTGATTTCTCCTTTTACACATGCACTATTTAGAAGACTGTCACTAGTTTCTAAATATTTGTGAATATTCTACATATTTATTTTGTTGATTCTTAAAAATCTGATAATGGACATTTATTTAAAAACCCACATCTAACATTATATTTAACTTTGAAACACTAAATGCTTTGCCCCTATGGTCAGTAAAAAGACAAGGATGTCTCTTCTCACCACTTTTATTCATCATTACACTGGAAATTCTAGCTAGAGCAGTCAAGCAAGGAGAAGAAATAAAATGCATCCAGAATGAAAGGGAAGGAGTAAAACTCTCTGTATTCACAGATAACATGATCTTGTATATAGAAAATCATAAGGAATTCACACACATAAAAAACTATTAGAACTAATATATTCAGCAAGTTGTGGGTTATGAGATCAAAATATAGAAATCTTTTTTTTCTATACACCAGCAATGAACAATTTGAAAATGAAATCAAGGAAACAATTCTATTTACAATAGCCTTAAAAACAATAAACATCAAGGAATACAGTTTTAAAAACAAGTGTAAAACTTGTCCTCTGAGGCTATAAAACATCCTTGAAGGAAATTAAAAAAGACCTAAATAAATGGAAAGACATTTAATGTTCATGGATTAGAAGACAATATTGTTAAGATGGCAGTACTTCCTAAGGTGATCTAAAGATCAATTCAATTCCCGTAAAAATCCCAGCGGGTTCTTTCAAAAAATGCATAAGCTGATTGTAAAATTCATATGAATATGCAAGGAAACCAGAATAACCAAAGTATTCTTGAAAAAGTACAAAGTTGAAGGACTCACACTTCCTGATTCCAAAACTTAGAACAAAGCTACAATAATCAAGACAGTATCTTATTGAAGTAAGGATATAACTATAGATCTGTGGAACACAATTGAAAGTCCAGAAGTGAAACACATACTTTTGTGGCCAATTGATGTATGAAAATGGTGCCAAAGCATATCATGGGAGAAAAATCATTTTTTCAACAAATGGTGCTCAGTATCCACATGCAAAATTATGGTGCTGGACCCCTTCCTTACGGCACACATACAAAAACAGAGAATATGCTCAGAATTATTTCAAATATTTGATACTTACTGAGACTTTTTATGACCCATCATATGATTGATCTTCATGAAAGTTTTATGTACACTTGAAAAGGACTTGTCTTCTACAGCTATTGGGAGGAGGGCTCTATATGTGCCAATTACTTCAAGTTGGTCCATAGTGTTGAAATCTTCCAAAGCAATACTGATTTTATGTATATTTGTTACATTAATTACAGGAAAAGAAGCATTAAAATTTATAACTGTAATAATTAATTTGTTTATTTCTCCTTTTAGTTCTGTTTATATTTTGTCCTATGACTTTTGAAGCTCTGTTTTTAGGTGTATATGTACTTTGCATATTTTTGTCTTTTTGATACATCGATCCTTTTAACATTATAAACTGTGTTGCTGAATCTCTAGTAGTATTCCTTGTCCTGAAGTTTACTTTTTTTCTGATAGTAAAATAACCACACAACTTTCTTATGCATAATTTGCATGATATATCTTTTTTTAAGACCTTTTACTTTCAACCAGTGTCTTAATAATTAAAATACATTTTTTATAGAGTTTGAAGTTGAGTCTTGCTACTTTACCTGCCTGAGAATCACTGTCATTTACCTGGAGTGTCTAGTCCATTTATAATTCAGGTTGTTATTGACATGGTACATTTTATGTCTTCTGTGCTGGGATATAATTTTATTTATCCCTCTTGTTCTTTCTCCCAGTTTCTTTCCTTTTCTGTCTTTTTTAAACAATTGAACAAGTCAAATACTTTCTAGTACGTAATTTTTTATCTGTTACATGTACTTTTTACTCATACCTCTTTGGTATGGTATTATTTATTGGCTGCCTGTTTCCTATTTTACATGGGTCACATTGCCTTGCTTTTTCATGTTTTATCACATTTGATTTTTGTTGGGTATTCTTGTAGAAAGGAATAGTTAAGAGTGAAGTAGATGATACTTTCCTGCAAAGAGGAGTGAGCTGGATTCTGCCAGGCTGCAGAAGGGCAGGTCCATCGCCCTAATTTGCAGGTGAATGGGGTCTGGGTTTGCTGCAGAGAGGGGTGAGCTGGATTCTGCCAGGCTGCAGAAAGGCAGGTCCATTGCCCTGATTTGCAGGTGAATAGGATCTGGGTTTGCTGCAGAGAGGGGTGAGCTGGATTCTGCCAGGCTGCAGAAGGGCAGGTCCATCGCCCTGATTTGCAGGTGAATAGGATCTGGGTTTGCTGCAGAGAGTGGTGAGATGGATTCTGCCAGGCTGCAGAAGGGCAGGTCCATTGCCCTGATCCACAGGTGAGTCAGGTCTGGGTTTGCTGCAGTTGTAGCTTGGCTCAGGTCACCATGTGCTGAAATATTTTGAGGGACGATCAGCAGAGCCAAGGGTGTTAACACAAGCATGGTTCCAGGCCCTGTCTGTGTTTCCGAACCGTTGCCTGGCATTGTCTGGAGGCCTGGGAGGGGCTCCACTCAGGCTTCCACTCTGTCTCCTGTTTTCTGAGACTGGTTCTCTGCAAGTGGGTGAGACTCAGCAGGGCCCCCGGGAATGCATCCTGTCTCTCAGGCCCTGCTCCCAGCTTTATCCCTCAGCGCTCAGTGAAGGGCTCCACAGAGGCCTTTGGGGAACGCTTGAAGGCCGGGTGCAGCATTGCCGGTGACTCCAGCCACAGGGATGCCAGCTGGTCACCCACTTACCTGCAGATGCAAACACGTGGCCAGTTTCTCCTGGCCTCCAGCCATTTCGTTTTTGTCATTCTGCTGTGGGTAAGAGCGTGCCTGTGGTCTTCACTCCTGTGAGTGGCTTGTCACTTTCTAGAGTTTGGTTTGTTTACGTATCTTTTATCCTCAGAAATCTGATGGGCTGCTAAAAACATTGTCATCTTATAGCTTATCTCTTTCTTTTTCTTGGTAGTTTAAAATCAGTAGTTTTGAGCAACTTGATTTTTTATTAAAACCAGAAGAAAAAATCCATTGCGTTACTCCTCTATCAAATTATATCCTGAGCTGGTTACTTTTTCACTACTCATTTTTTTTTTGTTTTTTTTTTCCTGACCAGTGATTGTAAGGAGCCAAGGCCATGCTTCACACCGGCAGGACGTCCCCTTGCTCTCCAGCTGTCTGTGCACGTGCATCTGCGCCTGTGCATCTCCTCTGCAGATGGAGAGATGGACAGTGGCTCGTGGTGCAGTGTCATCCCCACGCCTGTCTCTGTGCACACTTGTTCTTTCCAAGATGGTTCTCTTGTGTATGTCCTCATTTCTAATAGCACATCTGGATTTTTAAAGTTCTGATAATCACTGTTTTTCCTGAAACTCGGTAGCACTTCTTCCTGAAATGTATAATTTAGTATGTGACCTGCACACAGTGGCCCGCATGCCAGCCTGGCTTTCTTGTGCTTCGCTGACTGCGCAGCCTGACTTTCTGGGGTTCCTCAGAGCCATCACCCAGAGGCCACCGATGCTCATTCTCAGGGTTTATGTCGGATTCCAGCCTCACAGTTTCCCTATCATATTTTTGCAAGTTCTCTGGACAGTGTCCTTTCACCATGGACAGACGTCTCTGGGCCTGCCTTTACCCTGGAGGGAACCCTTGTCGTCGTAGAAGGAGGATGTGCTCTGGAAGGACGCATCAGGCAGGATGGGCGGTGAGGCGCGCGCTGGACTCCAGGCCTCACCCGTTCCCTCTGGGCACACGTAGGCAGGCACAGCCTGTGGTGATACACAGAACATGAACACCTGAAGACCCCTGGGATTTTTCAGTCACAAAAACCTGAGGGAGCTGCCATTTCTGCCGAGTGTGACATCCATAGTGTCTTCCGGCTGCATTGGAGCTGCTCACTGGAGCTGCCCCAGCCTGGGGCCACGACAGTGCTAAAGAGAAAGTGGCCGGCACATTCGGGGAAAGCTGCCTCTGTCACTGTGTCTCATACTCTGTAAGAGGAGCTCCAAAGCATTTCTGTTGGCCCCATTGGATTAATAGCATTTTTAGTGATATGGCTTTTTCTACATTAAAAAACTGTTATAACTGTTCTGTCCTTCAGGTGCAGACATTGGATGATGTGGGTATGGAGAGAGGCATCTGCTACAGCATATAAAAAATTACCCTTTCCTCTGACAATTAGCACCTTGTCCCTGGTCAAGTCCACCCTACCTGGCCCTTCAACCCTTGGAGAAGTCAGCTTGTATGGGATCATCAGTTATGTTTTAGTAGGTAGCTAGTCAGGCAGGAGCAGGGCAGAAGAGCCCCCCTGCCAACACCAGGAATGTTAGGAGAGCATCAGGGGATGGTCAGGTCATTGAGAACTGTCTCTCTAAAATAATAATTGGTCATAACCAATTAAGGCCGTCTCCCAGCAGAAAATACCTGAAGCCAGTGATCAGCAGCTTCCCGAAAAGATCTCAGGACTTGGGCCAGTGGGCTCAAGCATGTGCACTAAGAGGCAAAATGAAGAAGTTTAACAGGCATATGATCTTCCTCTAGGAACACTTGACTGGTAAGAGAAAAATGCCTCAAGCGAGCACGTGTACAACTCCAGGAAACACACTGTGCATGTGGCCCCTTCCCAAGAGCTGGCAGCCACTGCACGGCAGACAGCCCACCCCAAGGGAAGAATCGGGGAGAAGGGATGCAAGACCCCGGAAGCATGCCGGCCTATAAAATCCCCATGTCAAAGGTCAAACTGGGCACTTGATCTCTCAAGTTGCCCACCTGGTCCTCTTCCAAGTGTACTTTACTTTTGTTCCTGCTCTAAAATGTTGTAATAAATGTTCATTTCTGTTCTAAAACTTGCCTCAGTGGTCTCTCCCTCTGCCCTGTGCCCCTCGGTCAAATTCTTTCTTCCAAGGAGGCAAAAATCTAGGTTGCTGCAGACCCATACAGACTTACCACCACTAACAATGAAAGGCTCAATCCACCAAAAGATAGAGCAATCCTAAATGTGCATGTACCAAAAAAAAAAAAAAAAAAAAAAACAGCTTCAATGAACATGAAGCAAGGATGGAAAGAACTGAAAGGAAAAATAGACAAAAATGGTTTGAAAGATAATTACTTGAAGTGTAGAAATAGATTTATTTAATGACCCTGCTCTCAAAATAATTTCCTGCACCTCCTATAGGGCTTTTAGAGAAGGGGTCCGCAACCCCTGGGCCACAGACCGGTACTGGTCCATGGCCTGTTAGGAACCAGGCTGCACAGCAGAAGGTGAGTGGCGGGCGAGTGAATGAAGTTTCATCCGTGTTTACAGCCACTCTTCATTACTCACATTACTGCCTGAGCTCCGCCTCCTGTCAGATCAACGGTGGCATTAGATTCTCATATGAGCGCAAACCCTATTGTGAACTGCACATGCGAGGGATCTGGGTTGTGTGCTCCTTATGAGAATCTAACTAATGCCTGATGACCTGAGGTGGAGCTGAGGCAGTAATGCTAGTGCTGGAGTGGCTGCAAATACAGATTAACATTAGCAGAGAGGTTTCCCTGCACAGAGACCATAATACATCAATTGCAAGACTCATATCCCTATCTGTGAGTGGCAAGTGACAATTAAGCTGCCTCTGGTCGCAGGCTTTACAGTGGCAAGTGAGCTGATGCACTTCAATTGCACAGCTGCATCTGGTGGCAGCTTTAAGTCAGAATCCGACACTTATTTTATTCTGTGCATGGCTTGCCTATTACTTTGTTGAGCATTTCTGTTCCTGCCTCTTTCCCACACTGCACCCTTGTCTCAGTCACAGTTTTGGTAAGCCCACAAGCTAACCCCAGCCAAAATGAGTAAAAAATAAATGTCACTAGAGGGCTTCTTCGAAAAGGAAGAAAGACCCAATGATGAGAGAGCAGAAGACTCTAAGACTGCCAACAAAAAGAAAGCTGCATTTGAAAGAAAATACCAAGAGTCCTACTTAAATTACAGGTTCATTGTAACAGGTGATTCACATTCTCCAAGTCTACTTTTTATAATATATGGCGACTGGCTATCCAACAAAGCCATGAAACCTTCAAAACTGCTTCACCACATGGAGACCAAGCATCCTGCATTAAAAGACAAGTCTTTGGAGTTTTCAAAAGAAGAAAATGTGAACACAAAGAACAGAAGCAATTATTGAAGGCCACCACTTCATCAAATGTGTCTGCACTGAGAGCATCACTCTTAGTGGCTAACTGCATTGCTGAAGCTAAGAAGCCCTTTACTGCTAGTGAAGAGCTGATCCTGCCTGCTGCTAAGGACATTTGTTGTGAACTTTTAGGAAAGGCTGTAGTTCAAAAGGTGGCAGGTGTTCCTCTTTCGTCTAGCACTGTAACCAGAGGAATTGATGAAATAGCAGAAGATATCGAGGCACAATTGTTAGAGAGGATTAATGAGTCACCGTGGGACACAATCCAGGTTGATGAGTTCGGATGTTGACAGCAAGGCAACAATCCTTGTTTATGTGTGATATACTCTTCAAGAGGATGTTCAGGAGGATATGTTATGTGTTCTTTTGCTGCTAATCAACACCCCAGCTGCAGAACTACTGAAGTCTTTGAATGATTACATATCGGGAAAACTAAACTGGTCGTTTTGTGTCAGTATATTCATGGATGGAGTGGCTGCCATCACTGGACGGCTTTCTGGTTTCACCACTCGGGTCAAAGAGGTTGCTTCTGAATGTGAGTCTACATACTGTGTCATCCACAGAGAAATGCTAGCTAGCCAAAAAACGTCCCCGGAACCTAACAACATTTTGCATGATGTGATTACAATTATCAACCACATTAAAGTACACGCTCTTAACTGATGTCTGTTCATGCAGCTCTGCGAGTAGATCGATGCAGAGCACATACACCTTCTCATACACAGAAGTGAGATGCTTTCTAAAGGTAGATTGCTGGCCACAGTTTTTTAATTAGGAGATTCTTTTAGGATCCAGAGATTTCTTTTAGAAAAACAGTCACCACTGGCAGCACATTTCAGTGACACAGAATGGGTTGCAAAACTTGCTTACTTGTGTGAACTATTTAACCTGTTCAATGAAATCAATCTGTCACTTCAGGGGAGAATGACAGCTGTGTTCAAGTCGGCAGATAAAGCAGCTGCATTCAAAGCCAAAGTGGAATTATGAGGGTGATGAGTGAACACTGGGATTTCTGACATGTTTCAAACATTAGCAGAGATTGTGAAAGAGACGGAGCCAGGGCCTTCTTTCCCGCGGCTGACACGTGATCACCTACCCAATACTACCAACCACAAAAGAACCCCGAACTGGGAAGGAATGGATCCGCGACCCATTTGTGAATAAGCCCGGTAAACTGACTGTCTGTGCTAGAAGAGGATCAACTGCTTGAGATGGCAAATGACAATGGCTTTAAAAATATGTTTGAGACAACTTCAAATCTCCATATGTTCTGGATGAAAGTCCAGGTAGAATATCCTGAGGTTGCCACAAAAGCACTGAAAAGCCTGCTTCCATGTCCAACAACCTGTCTTTGTGAAGCAGGGTTTTCTGCAGTGACAGCGACTAAAATGAGATTACAGAGTAGCCTGGACATAAGTGACACACTTCAGGTGTCACTGTCTCCCATCACCCCACACGGGACTGTCTAGTTGCAGGAAAACAAGCTCAGGGCTCCCATTGATTCTACATCACTGATACACATCACCATTGTATAATTATTTTATTATATATTATAATGTAATAATAATAGAAATGAAGCACACACACCTGTACTCCCAGCACTTTGGGAGCCCAAGGCGGGCAGATCACTTTGAGGTCAGGAGTTTGAGACCAGCCTGGCCAATAAGATGAAATCCTGTCTCTATTGAAAATACAAAAATTAGCCAGGCTTGGTGGTGTGCACCTGTAATCTCAGCTACTCAGGAGGCTAAGGCAGGAGAATCGTGTGAACCCGGGAGGCGGAGGTTGCAGTGAGCGGAGATTGCATCACTGTGCTCCAGCCTGGGCAACAGAAGGAAATGCTGTCTTAAAAAAATAAAAATAAATAAATAAATAAAGTGCACAATAAATGTAATGCACTTGAATCATCCTGAAACCATCCCCTCCTCCCCAGTCTGTGGAAAAGTTGTCAGCCATGAAACTAGTCCCTGATGCCAAAAAAAGGTTGAGGACCACTGTTCTAGAGTATTCCTGACTATATGACATTCGATCAGGCAATTTCCCTTACAGCAAGCGCATAAGATTTCTCTGGAAATATTTGGTCATGCTGCTTTCCTGTTAAAGATCAGGATTTTGCTAACATTGTTTTTGCGGGTTTGTATGACAGAGACAAGAAAGCACTGCCCCAAACACAGAGGGAAGACCACCCTCTGGTACGAATCAAAGGAGTTGCCCTAGAGCGAGCACACACTGGGCCTCATTTGGCTCTGACTTCTTTGAGGGGTGCTTTTGCTTTGCTCCCTGACTGCAGGCGGAGTCCCCTTCCATGCTGGTTGCTGTGTGCTCTGTTCTTAGAGGCCAAGTGCTGGAAATACACGCCATTCCTCACCTATGTGGGAGAATGTGCTCACCAGGACAACACAGCGTTCAGACGGCACTGAGGAAAATTCCTTGGGTCTGAGTGATGGATGGAAGATGGAATGAGAAACAGGAGGTCGTGTGTATTCTAATTAAAAGGTACATGTTTTTAAAGAAAGTGGCACATCTTAATAGTCTCTTGAGGATTTATTTTTGACATGGATAATTAACTACAGTTTGAGCCAACTTGTGTGTGATTTATTTGTAGAATGTCTCCTATAGAAACTACAACTGCTGTTCATGCGACTAGGCCTAACTTTACTTTCACATTGGGGAAAACGGTTTGAGAACTTTGCATATCCTCAAAATCATATCCAAAGAACAATATTTTGTGAACTAAAATGCATAGGATATGATTGCATATTGTTATTCAATATGTTGAGATTAAATTAAAGAAAGAACACACAGATTATTTTAGTTAGAAATAACCTGGCTTTGTCTTTTTCAAAAGAGCACAACTATATTGAAAGTATTTAAAAGCAAGAAGTTGCATTAAAAAGTCTTGCATTAAGAACATTGTAAGCACTCATGAAAACTAAGTATTTATTATAATTTTTAATTTACTGTATGATCAGAAGTCAAATTGTATGCTTAATTGTATGCTTCAGTTTTTGGTTTGAAAACATGGCCACTGTGTGTATGTAAGTTTTGCAAGAAATTTATTAGCATGATGGCCTGAGTCTCAGTGAGTTGTTTCATATACCACGTTTCATTTTTGCATTAGCTCTATAATGGATAAGTACATTAAATGTGCTCATATAAGTTCTGCTTTTTTTTTTTTTTTTTTTTTTTTTTGAGACAGGTTCTCCCTCTGTCTACCAGGCTGGAGTGCCGTGGTGAGATCACGGCTCACTGCAGCTTTGATTCCTGGGTTCAGGCGATCCTCTCACCTCATGTTCCTGAGTAGCTGGGGCTACAGGCATGCATTACCATGCCCAGATAATTTTTAAATTTTCATTTTGTAGCAACAAGTTTTCACCATGTTGCCCAAGCTAGTCTCAAACTCCTGAGCTCAAGTGATCCTCCCTCCCTGGCCTCCCAAAGTGCTGAAAGTGTGAGCCACCGCCCCTGGCCAAGTTCCTCCCCTCCTATCTATGCCCTGCTTCTATTTACTTTAGTTTCTTTTCATCAAATGAATATTTTCCCCTTTGTTTCTCCCTTACTAACTTATCTCCTGTGTCTTTCCAAATTTTTCTGCCACAACTTCATATTCTATTTCTATTATACATATGGACTCTTCAAAAAATCTGCCAGGACCTTAACCAAGCATGATGACCATAGCTAGCATCTAAAGGCTCAGTCTATGCCAGAGACTGTCTCTAATAATGCATTCTTACTTTGTCTCTTCAGTAACTCATTGAGACAGGTGCTGTTACTATGTGTATTTTTATAGAGCAGAAACAGTGGGGCCTCTAGGAGACAGCATATTCCAAAATTCCAGATGTGAACTTCAGAAAACTAGGGAGGAAAGAGGAAAATCAACGGGACGATTTTATGCCATGAAATGTCTTCCCATAGCTATTTTCCACCACAACAACCTTGATGGGATAGGTGTTGGAAGCTCTACGTTCATAGTCAGCCTGGAGCTTGAAGGTTTCAGACGCTTGTCACGCTTACATAACCAGAGGAATATGGAAATTAAAACCCAGGCAAATCTGTTTCAAAAGTCTATGGTTGTTCCTGTACGTCGTGCCCAGGATACTCACAGCTAGTTACTGCCTACCGTGGTCTCTCACCACTAGTGTGACTAAATCAAAGTTACATGGTTGGGTTCATCTGGATTATTTTAGCATCATTTCTACACTATTCTTAAACAATACTACTCCTTACAATGTGACAATATATGTTTCAGACAGCATGACACCTGACTCAACTGCTCAAAACTTAACACACATCTAGGTTTAAAATGCTATTCTGAAAAGACATCATTTCTTCATCATCATAAATTAATGTCATGGATAACACATTTGAAAACAATTTCCAGTGGATGACATTGAACTTCACTGAAAAGATTTTAAGTATTCTGAAGATGTGATAGAATCATATTTCCTGGAGAACTTTCCAACTTCGTGTAAGTGTAGCCACAGGATTTTGACCACTGGTTTCTCTGTGAGTGTTCAGCCCAGGTGCCAGCACCATAGGGGTAGTTCTGCCTTCCAGCGCTGGAGGCTGGGCTGTGTTCTGTTTATGAGATGTGAGGCCAAAGTCCCCCAATGCTTACACAGTGCTTTCTGTCTGGCTAGTTGAAAGTTGGGTGGATATAAGATTCTCCCATCAGAACAAATCTGTGGCATTGGTGTGAATATTTTGCCCCATGTCATGGTGACATTTCATAAAGAGTTTGGATGGAACTTTCAGAAAGAAAATGCAGCTAGTTAGTGGTCATTAAGATGGGTTTTCCATGTTTCCAGAGCAGCTCTTAGGTCCCACTACTTTTAATTAGATGCAACTGGCAGTTTTAATCATTGTGCTGGGGCAGTGGGGTGGCCTTAGATCAAGAATGTCAAGGCGAGGGTGATATATGAATCTTCCTTATTGCAGTCCTGACTCTGAGCACATTCCCTCCTGATGAGGCAAACAGGCAGTGTGTGTGTTCTTGCAGGCTTGGCTATTCATGAAGTTCATGGGTCTGTCCTGAGGGCACCTAAGGCAAACAGATGGTTCCATGGCTTGCAAAGGTAACTATCCACAAGCAAATGGTGGTTCTCCTGTTCTGCCACCTTATTTGGATGCTATATCAGATTAAAGAAAAATCTTCCAAAAAATTGAATCGATGGAAAGTGAAAGTAAAGACATAGCGAGGGCGGATGAGGTGGGGCACAGCGCATGGAGAGAGGATGCCTGACCAGCACCTGGGCTGAAGCCTTTCCTCCAGCCTGAATTCTATGGCAACTATGAATGGTAAATATGAAGTCCTAAAAATACACACCACGATACAGATGTATTGCCCTCAATAGTTCCCATATCTTGATATATTTGGGAGAAGCCAAACAGCTTAATTGTTAGGAGTTAACAATTAAGCTGTGTTCTGTTTGCAGCCATTGGTACGGGTTGAATTTGGCTGCAATGGTTGCAGTCATTGGTTGGGGTCGAATTTGCACTCACCTGAATCCAAAGTTGATGATTTTCCATGACATGATGACTTCCTGTGACATGTTTTTCTAAGTATAAAATGCAGCGGCAGCTGCAGAGTTAATGGTAGGAAGCTCTCAGTGTAATAGGATGGACACACATTGAACTTCAATGACCAGGATGCAAGGCCCTGCTGCTCTTTCTGCCTCCCACTATCCTTGGCTGCCCACCTCTACCCATTCTTCACAGCCCTTTCTTGTCCTAGTTCCTCCAAAAACCTTCGCATGGCCTTGGGAATTCACAGCCCCCACTACTACAACTGCACTTGACTTCCTTTGCCTCCTATGTGAAAACTTTTTTCTTTTAAGTAGCAACATCAGGATTAGAAACTCTTGACCTGTGTTTCTGACCTGCAAAAATATTTGGTTTCATCACACAGTGTTTTAAAAATAATTTGAATTTAAACCCCTTTCCCAGATAGGCCCCACTAATGCCTGGGAGTACCTTCCTGGTCATGAAAACATAAAAATTAAGATCTTTTAATATATAGTATAATTTGTGGGGCAAAAAATTCTTGTCTCACTTCAAACTGTGATCCTATTCTTCAGCTGAAACTCCTGTTACCAGTTTCTCAGGTATGTTCTATCTTAAGCATTTCTTAAAAAATTGCATATATATGGTTTTGCCTTTTGATCCAGTTTGAGAGACTTTCTTTGAAATATGAGATTAGTTCAATTGCATTTATTGTTGTGAAAGATAGTATTCATTTTATCATGACTTTTACTTACATTTACTATTTTCATTGCTTATTTACAACTTGTTTTTCACTAGACTAATCTCTGTTTTTATTGTTTTATGTGTATAGGCTTAGTAAACTGGACATTTGTATTTTATTTAGACAGTTACTTTTATTACTATCTATTTATACCTTATATTTTATCCGTTTACACTTAAACAACAATTTAGCCGAACAGAAAAACTCACTGGCCGTATGCTGAATTTTCTTCTGTCTTTGAGAATCTGTAGACATTGCTCAGCTGACGTGTGGGAAGGAATGCTTCTAGGAATCATTCTGGGGCCACAGGTATTCTTCTCTTACAGGTGACTTAGCCTGTTTTGTCTGGATGTCAAAAGGTTTTTTTTCTTTGCTATTGCTTCTCAGTAACTTCTCAGTAACTTGTGGATTGTTCTCTGTCAATTTTTTAATGGTTACAGTGGACTTTTCTATCTAAAGAACAAGCTTTTATTTCTTTAGTTTATTTATAACTTGTAGCTTATTTCTTTACAGTTTATAGCTTGACGCTCTGTTCTGTGATCTTCATTCTCCCTTTGGGAATATCTGTTCTGCATCTGTTGGATCTTCTTGGCATGTCAGTTGAATGCATCCTTTTTTTCTTTATTTCTTTAAATGATTATTCTTTCCCACTTTGCTTGCTTAATTGAGTTCTAAACTTCTCCCACTGTGTTTTAAGCAGTTTTCCTCCCACCCACCACCCTCTTCTGAATTTCTGTCTGTATTGTGGATGAATTGATAATAGTTTGAGCAGTGTCTTTGATCATGAATGGAAGCCATGTAGTCAGGTTGACAGACAAGAAATACAGAAAGACCTGGGCCCCTGACACCATCATGGATCTTTCATACAAGCCTTGGACATTCTCCTTCAAGACTTCTACATCAGAGAAAATCAAAATTCAATCTGTTTAATCTGCTGTAATTTGGGTTTTCCATTTTACCTAGTAATATATGTCTCTCACCTGATATAACATCATGCATTATAATTTATATTACTTACTTGTGGGCATTTATCTTATTTGTAATATCTTGCTGCAAAGCATTCCTAAGAAAAGTAAAAGATTTAGACACATGAAGAGATGTATTATGTTTATTAATTAGAAGACAATATTATTAACATGTCATTTCCCTTCAAATTGATCTATAGATTCAAGTCTACTCCAATCAAATCCCAGCAGTCTTTTTTTGACAAATGTTAAGAAGCTAATTCTAAAACCTAAGTGGAAATGCAAACAACCTAATATAGCCAAAATGACTTTGAAAAAGAATAAAGTTGGAAAACCTGTCCTGTATGATTTCAAGACATGTTTTATTATTGTCATTATTATTTTGTTTAGAGATGGATTCTCCCTATGTTGCCCAGGCTGGAGTGCAGCATCCATTCATAGGTGCTGTCATAGCCCACTACAGTCTTGAACTCCTGGGCTCAAGTGATTTTCCTTCCTGTAGCTGAAACTACAGGCATGTACCACCATGCCCAGCTATATTTTAGAACTACATTAATCAAAGCTGTATGGTAAAAAGATAGAAGAAGAGATCAACTAACTAGAAACTGCAGAAATAGATCCACATGCCTATGCTCTACTGATTTTTGACAAAGTGGTCAAAGCAACTCAAGAATAATCTCATCAACAAATGGTTTTGGGACAATTGGGTAGCCAAATGAAAAACAAACAGACTGACCCAAAACATAGACCCTTACCTCTCACCATTTAAAACATCAACTGGAAATAGGTAATAGGCCAAAATGTAATAGAAAAACTATAAAACTTCCAGAAGAAAACAGAGGAGAAAATCTGAGTGAGATTGGATTTGGCAAATGTAGTTTTTAAAGGACCTCCAAGCCACAACTATAGAATACAAAAAACTCAATAAATTTGCCTTCCTTAAAATTAAAACTTTTGCTTTTTAAAACACACAGTTATGAACATAAAAAGGCAAGCAACAGACTAGGAGAAAATATTTATAAAATATATATACAACAAAGGGCTTGTACCTACACACAATATGTAGAGAATTCTCACTACTAAATTTTAAGAAAATCAAAATATGGTAAAAGATTTTAACACACTTCACAAGATAAGATATACTAGATAACAAGAAAATGAAAATATGTGCAACATAATTAATTAATATGAAAATGCAAACTGAAACTACAATGAGAAACCACTAAACACCTACCATAATAGCTAAAATTTAAAAGACTAATCATACTAAGTGTTGGCAAAGTGTGGAGCACCAGTCTCACATACTGGCAGTAGCAATGTAAAATTGTCCATCTACTTTGGAAAAGGTTTGGCATTTTTTGAAAAAAATTAGAGATATCTATCATATGGCCCAGGCTTTCCATGCCTAGATATTTACTCAAGAGAAATGAAAATTTTATTACACAGAAATATTGGCACACAAATGTTCAAAAAGGCTTTGTCATAGCCACAACTGAAAATAGCCCAAATGTTTCTCAGCAGGTAAATGGGTAAGTATCTTTTGGTATATCCACACAATGGAATACTGCTCAGTAATAAAAAGAAACAAACTATTGATACATGTCACCATATTGAATAATCTCACAATAATTATGCTAAGTATAAGAAGCCAGACAATAAGAAGTACAGTGTATTATTATAATTATATAAAAGTATGTAAAATACAAACTAATATTCAGTTAAGAACCCACGTCTGCAGTCACTTGCAGGATGAGAGGTTGGGAGGGAGAGATGCATTGAGGGGTAAGAGGAAATGCTAGGTGTGATGGGTGTGTTCATTTTCTGGATTTGTGATGACAACTTCACAGGAGTACGCATACATCAAACTAAAATTGTGCAATTTAAATATATTCACTTTGTTCTGTTACTTACACCACAATAAAGCTTTTATTAAAAATTTCTTAAAAAGTTTTATTAAAAATTTATTAAAAAGTATTTATTATATACATATATACATAAACTCATTTATATATGTATACATGCACAATATACATTGACATATTTATATATATATACCCACGATTCACATACATACTATACATATTCACGTACATATGTTCACACATATTTTTAACTCCTATTACAACCTTGTCAAGGGCTTCCTAAACCATTTTGCCAATGAGGAAAACACCTTTCTCAGAATTTGCTCACTAGAGAGGCATAATTAATATTAATTGGCAGATCATTAATATCTGCCATCCTGATCTCCCACTTCTATAAGTCTAGAGCTCCCCTTCAGAAGATATTGATGTAGCAGCGTGTCTGAGCGTTCTGGTAACACAAGGGCTTGGTTCCTGAGCCCCTAGGAGTGCAGCCTGGCACAGCCCCTCATGCTGGCAGACCCTGGAGACCCACGAAGGCCCCCTCCTGAAGGGCTCCTGAGGCTGAGAGTCCGGCCTGCTCCTTGGCTGCCCTGCCCTGTGGCCTCCTTTCTCTCCCTTCAGACTTGGCAGGTGTCACGTCCCACTGCTTCCTAGCCAGGACTCAGCTGCCTGACTTCCAGTTCTGTGCCCCCTGGTGTCCCTTGGAATTTTGGGGAAAACCTTGCCGGTTCATGCCATGTCCTCTTCCTGCAACATTCTTCCTCCCACAGACAGTCCAAGGAGCTGTTTCATGGAGACATCATGCAAATAAATCTTTATGTTTTATTTCTAAATGGTTTACCCTCCTTCATTCCTATTAGAAACATGAGGGATTAGACATGAAGTCATGAGAAGACTGACTTGACTCAGCTGTTTCAGGAAGGTGCCACTTTTCTCACAGCTGTGACTCTGGCAGGACTTCCTACCTAAGGGGAGGAGGTGGAAAGTGGATGGAAGTAATTAGAGAAGCAACTGCAGCATGGGCTCGGAGGCCTGCTGCCTTGAGCAAAGCACTGGATGTGCTGAGCTCAGGGACAACACAGGTCCACGGCTCCTGGAATCCCCACTTGCCCCAGGAATTGCCCCTGGCTCCCTCAGCAGCTCTCGGGCATGAAGCCCTCTGCACTTCCTACTGCAAATGTGCAAATGTCCCGCAGCCCAGGGGCAGTCATTTCTCTCCAGCCCCAGTCACTCCTGCTGCCACAGTGACCTGGAGGTATCGCTGCCATGGAGGCAGCTGCAGCTCTCTGTTCTCCTTGGTAAGGTGACATTGGCGGTCCCATCTCCAACTGAACTCTTTGTTCAGGATGCTCAGGAAGCGAAGCTCCTTCTGCCTGCCCTGGGGCCAGACACTCCAGCAGAGGGGTGTCGCTGCAAAAAAGGAACAAGATATGAGGGGGATGAGGAGAGGGACGATGTGGGGCGTGAAGAATGACACCATGTCTGTTGGGAGCAAGAAGGGACATGGAGGCACCAGTCGCCAAGAGAGAGAACACGAGAGGAGAACATATTTGGGGCTAGAACGAGACAATTTTAGATGTGTGAAGTTGGATGTAGCTGTGTGATTTTCAGATGGATTTGTCAAGTAATCACTTAAAGAGGCCTGAGTTGGATATACACATTCGGGAATCACTGAGGCATAAATGGGCCATAAAGTCAAAGAATGGGTGAATCTCTTAGGCGGAATCTGAGGCTGTGCAGAAAAGAGGGCTCACGTTTGCAGATCAGAGAGAGGAAAGGAGCCGCCAGCACAGGAGAGAAAGGGAAAGGCCATTGGAAGGGAAAAAGTAGTTGATAAACCGAGACAGGAGAAGAGAGAGGACGTCAACAGGAGAGAGGAATCCACGGCGAGCAATATGCTCATCTTGAGGCGAGGACTGACGTGTGTGTGGCAGCGAATCAGTGAGGATCATTGTTAAAGAACACTGGCTGGAAAAGGCTCCACTTTCTCCCATTTATTCTCATTCATCTGCTAATCGGCTGTTCCTAGCCATCGTGCTCCCTCACAGGGTTTTACTGCATGTTCAGTATCAGCATCGAGAACCAGGAGGCCACACTCACCCGAGGCTGCTTGGCCCACCACCGGTCCCCATCCTTTGGAGACCAAAAAGCAGTTCCTAGAAGCTGGCTGGACACTAAGGTTCTTCCTGGTACATTTTCCCTTAAGGTAAGTGGTCTGGCTATTTCCAGTACCTGGGTCCACCACCGTTTATTTGCTGTTATGCTGGTTCAGTCCATATACACCCATGGTGTGGAAGAGCTGTGAAAATTTCTGTCTTATGTCACAGAAAGAGTGAAGCAAGAAGAAAACAGTCTCCATAGGAGTGCAGAGAAATTGGAAATGTCTGGGGAAAAGACGATGTGTGGTTGCTAGGGACAGGCTACTGTTTTCCGTGTAAGCTATGAGTCACCCGTGCTGACAAAATGTTCACGGTGGTGTGCAGAGCCCAAGGAGAGAGTCTCACCGCACATTCCTGAATGGGCAGATGGCGTCTCCCTGTAAAAATGAGAACGGCTCTAGTCACGGAAGGCACAGTTGTTGAAGGATTTTCTTTCTTTCTCCACACTCTCGGACTCCCTTGCCTTCCGTCCAGTGACAGAACAGCATCCTCGCAGGAATATTTTCCCCTTTGGATCCATCCAGCAGTGAAGTAAAATGTGCCTTTGTGCAGCAAATGAAAGTACTAACACTGTCGAGGTTTTCAAAGCAGCAGCTTCAATCATGGGACCTTAGATGGATTCAGGTATTCACTATTCACAGACTCACGACATTGGTTGCAACAATTTTTATTGCCTTTTGTGTGTGTGTATTTTCCTTTTATATGAAAATTTCAAAGAATTATGTAATAAACACCTGACTATATATGATGAAGTTTGAAAAGTGAAATATTGCAAGTATAGTTGAAATCACTACTGTACACCTCTCTCATTCTATTCGCCCCACTCATGATGCGCAGGAAACCATTCTCTTGAATTGGATGTTCATTTCCATTCAAATAGCTATATTTTCACAACATACATATTTTTACCAAAGTTATTATGGTATTTTAGTTTTATATTGCATAATCTTACATTTACAAAAATAGCACAGAGTTCCCATATATCCTTCACCAGCTTACCTTCATGTTAACAACTCATACAATCATGCGATAGCAATCAAAATCTGGAAATTAACATTGGAAAAATATTATAGACCTTATTCAAAAATTAGAATAAGATATATTGTATAGACTTTATTCAAATTTTTATAGCCCAACAAAATATCTTAAAGATCATTTTATATTAACACACAAAGATCTACCAAATCTTTACTGTGTATATATATGAATTTTACTAGTAGAATATTTTCCTAGAATTGGAAATTCTGGGCCAAAGGGTATATGCATATTACATTTAATAAAAACTACAAAACTGACCCTGAAAGAGGTTGTACCAATTTGCACAACCCATTTCAGCATGCAGAATACCTTCTTACCTACACTCTCGTCAGCACTACCACTAGACATTACCATTCCGATAGGTGAAAAATAACTGCTTTATTGAGATAATATTCGCATACAATACATTAACCCTCTTTACATGTTCAATTCAATGGTTTTTAGTATATTCAAGGTTGTGCAACCAGCACTGCTATCTAATGCTACGATATTTTCATCACTTCATACACACTAGCAATCACTCCCCATTCCATCTTCCCTTATCCCCTGGAAACCACGAATCTGTCTTCTATGTTTATAGAGTTGTCTATTCTGGACATTTTAAATAAGTGGAATCTTACAGTATGTGGTACTTTGTCATTGGCTTTTCTCACTTAACGTAATGTTTTCAAAATTCATCCAAGTTGCAGTGCGTATCAGTATTTCATTCCTTTTTATTTTCCATTTCACTGTATGGATTCCACGTTTTCTTTTCCCATTCATCCTCCAATGGACATTTTGGTTGTTTCTACCTTTTGGCTTTTTGGAATAATGCTGCTATAAACATTTGCACACAACTTTTTATGTGGATATTTATTTTCATTTCTCTTGAATATATTCTTAAGAGAAGAATTACTGGGTCGTATAGTGACTGCATATTTAATGTTTTGAAGAACTGCCAAAATGCTTCCAAAGTTGCTGCATCATTTTACAATCCCTTCAGCAATGTATGAGGGTTTTAATTTATCCATATCCTCACCAACAATTGTTATTGTCTTAAAAATTTTTTTAGCCATCCTAGCAGATGTGAAGCAGTATATCATTATGGTTTTGTTTGTATATCCTTACTGATTAATTTTGCATATGCTCATTGGCTGTTTCTATATTTTATTTGGAGAAATGCCTGTTAAAATCTTTTGGCCACTTAAAAAAATGGGCTACCTTTTATTGTTGAGTTGTTAGAGTTCTTCATATATTCTAGATACAAATCTCTTATGCAGTACATGATTTGCAAATGTTTCTCCCATTTTATAGTTATCTTTCCGTGTTTTTGGTGATGTCTTTGGATGCCTAATGTTTTAAATTTTAATGAAGTACAATTTATTTATTTATTTTTTGCTGTTGTTACTTGTGCTTTTGGTGCCATATCTAAGAAAATATTTCCCAACTCAAGGTCATGAAGAGTTATTGCTATAGTTTCTTCTAAGAGTTTTATATGTTTGCCTCTTACATGTTGATTTTAGATACATTTTGAGTTGATTTTTGTGTGTGGTGTGAGGAAGTTTCCAACTTCATTCTTTTAGATGCTGATATCTTATTTTCTCAGCATCATTTGTGGAAAAGACACATTTTTCCCCATTTTATTGCCTTGGCATTCTTGTTAAAATTAATCAGAAAATGTACTCAATTTCATGTAGTTTCCTCAACTTTTTACTCCCCTTCACAATTCACCTGATTTTGAGACTTTTCAGAGTCCTTAAGTAGTTACCTTTTGTGTTTTGTCCAGAGGCTTAATTTTTAAACTTGACAGGAAAATAGTTACACAGTCATATGTAGGAACCTTGCCCCTCTCTGCTCCACAAAACATCCACACAACAACCTGCCCCCAAATGCTTAGAGCCCCATTTTTAAAATAATTGCCAAAGTTTGGAAGCAACCAAGAGAGTTGTCAACGTCTGGCCCATCAGGCAGCTCCGTGGAAAAGACCCATTATCTTTAATTGCTCTGATGCAGAGCTTGCTCAGTGGTGATAGCCCTATCCTCAGAGCATTTGTCAAAGCAATAAATACAGTTGTTTAATATCATAGTTGTACGAGATGGCAATACCAGTTTGGACAAAAAAGCCAAAGAAGGGGATTTCTAACTTTGCTTTTGAACTTAGACAATCTTGTTGTTAGGTCTTAGCTGTGAATGGGCAGAACAGATCCAAAGAAGCATAACAAAATATTTGAGAATGAAACTGAGATTAGAAACTCTGCCCATAAGTAAACAAGACTAAAGACTAAGTTTGTGGTCAGAATCTAACTGGGCTAATTGCCTATTAAAACAAAAGCATCAATATTCTTCAGAGGATTGTAACGGGACTCAGAATCAATGTATCATTCAAATATCTATTAAACAATCCAAAATTTTATACAAAGAATTAGAAAAAAATGTGACTAATTTTCAAGTAAAAAAACAATAAACAGATGTCAACCCCAAGATGTACAGATGTTAACATTATTAGACCAGGACTTTATAGCAACTATTGTTACTATGCTTTATAAAGTAATGGTAAATAAATTGGAATAATCAGAATGATAGTGGTGACCACAGGAAAAAACAGAAATTATTAAAAAGAGCCAAAATAAAAACTTAGACCTGAAAAACAAATAAACCAAAGTTAAAAATACACTGGATGAGTTCAATAGCAGAATGGAGAAAACAGAATAAAGTGTCAGATAATCTAAAGGTAAATCAATAAAAATAATCCAATCTGAAGGACAAAGAGAAACATTATTGAAAAAAATGACAAAATGCAGGAAACAATAAGCAGATATCAAAAGGTCTAAAATATGTGTCACTGAAGTTCCCGAGGATCAGAAAAAGAGATTGGTGCAGAAAAAACATTTGAAGAAATAATGGCTAAAAGTGTTCCCAATTTGGTGAAAGATATACTCAAAGAAACCAATTATAATCAAATTGTTGAAATCCAAATATAAAGAAAAATTCTTTAAAGCAGCTAGAGAAAAATGGCACGTCCAGGGAGATAATAATTTGAATGATTAGATGTCACATTAGGAACTGTGAAGACCAGAAGATGTTAAAACAACATATTTACTGAAAAAAAAGAACTGTCAATCCAGAATTCTATATTGAGCAAAAATATCCTTCAGGGACAAGCATGGTGGCTTATGCTTTGGGCAATGTTTTCTTAGATATGGCACCAAAAGCACAAGTAACAACAGCAAAATAAATAAATAAATTGTACTTCATTAAAATTTAAAACATTAGGCATCCAAAGACATCATCAAAAACACGGAAAGATAACCTATAAAACGGGAGAAACATTTGCAAATCATTTACTGCATAAGAGATTTGCAACTAGAATATATGAAGAACTCTAACAACTCAACAATAAAAGGTAGCCCATTTTTTTAAGTGGCCAAAGGATTTTAACAGCACTTTGGGAGGCTGAGGCAGGTGGATCACTTGAGGCTAGGAGTTCGAGACCAGCCTGGCCACCATGGCAAAACCCCGTCTCTACTAAAAATACAAAAATGAGCCAGGTGTGTTGGTGCACACTTCTAATCCCAGCTACTTGGGAGGCTGAGGCATGAGAATCACTTGAACCTGGGAGGCAGAGGTTGCAGTGAGCCGAGATTGTGCCACTGCACTCCAGCCTGGGCAACAGAGTGAGACTCTTTCTCATTCTCTCTCTCTCTTTAAGGAATTCAGGAATAAAGCAATGTCAAGATATTCTCAGATGAAAGAAAATAAGAAAACATCACCTGCAGACCCACTCTACGAGAAATGCAAAATGAAGTTCTTCATGCTGCAGAAAAATGACACTTGAGAGAAACTTGGCTTTTCAGTAATAAAGGGAAGTCAACGATAAATAGCTAGGATAATATTTTTTTCCTCTGAACTTCTCTCAAATACTTATGACTATTAAAATCAAAAATTATAATACTGCCTGGTGGGGTTTTCAATGTGTGTAGACATAATCTATGACATCTATAGCATACAGGTCAATGCGGGTGGTAGTGGTAGAGGGTCCAATATGTCTGCAAGTTTTCTTTGTTTTACTTAAAGTGAGACAAGTTAACTCTAAGTCAAATGTGAAAAATTAGTTATGCATATTTTAACCTATAGAGCAAACCCTAAACCATGTATAGGATGTAGCTGAAAAGTCCATAGATGAATTAAAATGAAATACTAAAAAAATTAAATTATCCAAAAGGAAGGAGGAAACGGGGATCCAGTAAACCAAAGTGGAGGGAACAAATGGAAAATAAGTAATAAAATGGAAGTCCTAAACCAACCATATTCGTACTTACAGTAAATGTTAATAGTCTAAACATGCTAATCAAAAGCCAGCGATTGTTGGCATGGATAAAAAATAATAGCATACTATATGCTGACTACAAGAGACATGCTTTAGGCCGGGCACAGTGGCTCACACCTGTAATCCCAGCACTTCGGGAGGCCGAGGCTGGTGGATCAACTGAGGTCAGGAGTTCAAGACCAGCCTGACCAAAATGGTAAAACCCCATCTCTACTAAAAATACAAAAATTAGCTCCGCGTGGTGGCAGGTGCCTGTAATTCCAGCTACTTGGGAGGCTGAAACAGGAGAATGAGAATCACTTGAACCCCGGAGGCAGAGGTTGCAGTGAGCGCTGGGCAACAGGTAAGACTCTGTCTCAAAAAAAAAAAAAAAAAAAAAAAAGGAAAAGAAAAGAAAGTAAAAGACATGCTTTAAATATGAAGACAAAGGTAGGTTGAAAGAAATGGACCAGAAAAGACATACCATGAGCAAATGACATGGATAAAAGGCTGGAGTGGCAAATGTAGTATCAGAGCGTTACTAGAGACATTTCATTATCATAATCATAAAGTGACAATTCGTCAAGAAGATTTAGCAATTAACTATGTGCATGTGCTTAATACACAGCCTTAGATACATAAAGCAAAATGAAAAGAACCAGGAAATACTGACAACTTCACAATTATAACTAAGAATTTTTTAATATATCTCTTTCTGCAATTGATAGAACAAATTGACAAAAAATCAGTAAAGACAGGGACGACCTGAACAACACAACCAACCACTTTTATCTCATTGCTATTTATAGAACACTACATTCAGCAACTGCAGAATACACATTTTTTTTCCAATGCACGTAATACATTTGCTAACACAGACAAGCTGGTGGACATAAAACAAGCCTCATTAAAAGCACTGAAGTCCTGCAAAGTATATTTTCTGAACACAATGGAATTTATTTAGAAATTAGTAACAAGATATCTAGAAAAACACTTTAAATATCTGACAATTAAAGAACACACTTCTAAATAGTTCATAGGCCAAAAATGAAATCAAGGGGAAACTAGCAAATATTTTGATATGCATGACAACAAAAATCCAACATATTAAAATCTGTGGGATGCAGCTGAAGCAATGTTTAGAGAGCTTTGTCACTTTAAATGCTGATATAAGGAATGTGAACTTGGGGATTGAGATTTGGAATTAGTAGTCATTTGCAGCCAGGTGTAATGGATCAACAAATACTTCACAATGAGAAAAAGCAGAAGCCAAACGTGCACCTCGAGAAACATCAGCTCTAACGAGAGCACAAGGATAGCAAGATAGGTACAGGAGAAGCAGGTGAGTGCAGTAAGTCCTATCAGCCTCTGACTTCATCCCACCAGCAATCGAGGCAAACAGGTTATTATCCTCATGGTATAAATACAGCCATGAGCCTGTAGCTGCAATAGTCAAAAAGGCCACACGATGGCGCGACAACACCAGCAAAGCTGCTTATGCCTTTGCATTTTTAATTTCGCCGTGTGAGTGCACCCTCCTCTGTGTGTGCACAGAATGTATCAATTTATTAAACCGCTTACACGTCCAACCAATACTCACTGAGCTGCTACTACATGCCAGGTACTGGGCTACTACTGTGAACAAGACAATTGCCTTCCCAGGAGTGGGGTTGGGGTATAGAAAAAAAAAGGAAGTCAAAAGGGATAATTTCAGAGTGTGGTAAAGGGTTTGAGAAAAACAGATGGAGAAGCAGAGAACTGGACCAAGGTATGGCACAACCACGTGGTCAGGACGACAAGAAGTGACTGCCCCTCACATCTTACTCATAACTGCAGTGGGACAAACTCCACGCCCACGTGGAGCACCTAGGTTCAAACTCACATTTACTGTTTCTGGTCAGCTTTCTGCACACTTCAGTAAACAACTTATTTTGCCTATCTGTGATTCTGACATTGTTTCTTATGTATGAATCCAATCTATCTATATATCTATCTACCTATCTATATATCCATCCCCCCATCGACCCATCCATCCATCCATCCATCCATATCCATCCACCCATCCATGTATCCATATCCATCCATCCATGCATCTATCCATCCATCCATCCATCCATATCTATCCATCCAGCCAGCCAGCCTTCCAGTCAGCCACCTAAGCAGTCAGTCAGCCAGCCAGCGGCCATCAGTTTGTCATCATCGATCTATTCTATGTCAGGTAGAACACTACTTTTCCGCATTAGCTACCCAATAACTTAGCTCCTGGGACCTCATTCTAGCTGAGGACCTACCTCCACCTGTGTCTGCTCCAGAACTGGAGTGGTGAGCACTCTGCTCTATTGTGTGCAGATTCTTCGAGGCAAGCAAAATTCAGAGTTTACCGATGGGTAAATTGGAATGGGTGCAGTGACAGGAGAATGGAGAAAAAGAAAGCATATTTAATGAATTGCAGGTGAAGAAACTGGGCTGTTATCTGGAGAGAGGAAACCTCAGGGTTGTAGGGGGAGATCAGGGAGAGGTGAGAGCCTTCAGAGTCTGGGGTGATGGTGCAGGGGCCAGGGAGGATCTCACAGGGCAGAGCAAAAGGAGCCATGGGAAGGCAGTGTGGATGGAATGAATAGGCGCTCCCCGACATCGGGCCACATAAAGGTGCGCTGAAGGGCACATGGGGCAGGGAGAGCCCACCGCCAGCACTGCAGGGCCTAGGGTGGCACCAGCCAGAGACACTGGCGGCAGTGGAGGAGACAGTGGATCGCTATTGAACCAGATAACTTTTTAGATTTCTTATGATTCTGAAATTCTCTGATTTCTTAAAAGAAATTGAGCCAGTCTGGAGAGAGTAGGAAGAAGAGTCAAGAAAAGACACCAAACAAGTTGGCAAAGTTGGAGTGAGGCAAGAAAGTACAAAATGGAGTCACGAAGCCCAGGGCAGCAGGCTTGTGGGGTGCTTAGAGGTTCTTGGTGATGTCAAGGTTGACAAACAGAAGACAGAGCAATGCCTCAGCTATAGCAATGGTCACCGGACCTCTGGGTTTCCACACAAAGGAGGGTTAGAGCCAGACTGCGAGGGCTGAAGAGAGAGAGGATGGTGCAGGGGGTAGACAGGGGCCTGCTCTTCGTTAACTTGTGCATGCGGCAAAGGAACAAGATAGACCTGGATGATGAGCTGGCAGGAAGGTGCAAAGGTGTGTTTATCTGCATATTTGTTTGTTTGTTGTTTAAGTATTTTGCAAGCAATGTACTTAGCAGAGTAGATTGTCAGGGAGATGTGTTTATCTGCATATTTGTTTGTTGTTTAAGTATTTTGCAAGCAATGTACTTAGCAGAGTAGATCGTCAGGGAGATGTAAGTGACCACTGGAGATGCAAGCAACGTGGAAACATTCAATCTCTCAAGAAGAAGCCTGGGGATAGCATGGGGTATTATGTCAACATCAGATCTTGGCAAAGCAAAGGTCTGTCTGGGATGTTACCATGGCAAGATCGAGGGAAAAGGCAGCTGAGAAGCGAGTGAAGAAGGGACTTGGAATGTAAAACAGAGCTGAGCCTGCATTTCAGCCCTGGCTCAACTTCTTCCAATTGTGGGATCTTGGACAAGTCACATAAGGAAAGGAATCTATGTTTCTTGTTTGTCAGATAATCAAATGATTGCTGCTATTTATTGTTTATTAAGTCTCAGCCCTACACGAAGTAAGTGCTTTTTATGTATCAGCTCAAGAATTCTTCTATTAACAACTCTATGGAGCTGGTGAAAGGATTTCCCAAGGTCACAAAGCTGATGGATGCCTGTTCCTCTAACAACTAGGATTCAGGGCCTCCTTAGTTATTTGCCTTTCACAGTTGTTGCAAAAATTAAGAAATAACAAATATTCAAAGTTGTCATTCTTATAGTGGGATCATGGCCTTCCATAATCTGACAAATATGCCTCTATTAATGTAGCCCAACATTTTCAGTAATTATGCTTTCTAGTAAACAACTGTTACACTTCAAGGGCATTTGGTTGATTTTAAAAAATCTATGCAACAAGTTTCTTGTAAATCACTTAAAAAAAAAGGAAATGGAATTATTCATTATTAATGTGTGTGATGCCCTCTCATATTTTAAGCAGACTCTGAATAAAGTGCCCTTAGTGGAAAAGAGAATTTTACTACTGCTAACCTGAAATCTTACCTCAGCCTCCACCATTTTTTAAAAAATTTGTTTTGTTTTCTTTCAGTCTTCTGACAATGCAATATCTTTCTTCTAAGGTTATTCCCTGAGCCTTCATCTCTGTGTTTGAGAACTGACAACATTTAAACTCTGCCTCCTTTTCTTCCTCTTGGTACTCAAAGCTGGGATCAATATATCTCTCTCATTGACCCATGTTTTTAGAAGCCTTGTGATCCTGAGCAGTGCACACATTATCTCAAATACTGCAAGACCTTGAAGTTGGACCATTTCTGGGTGATATAGTTTGGATGTCCCCTCCAAATCTCATGTTGAGATGTAATCCTCAGTATTGGAGGTAGGTCCTGGTGGCAGATGTTTGGGTCATGGGAGTGGATTCCTCATGAATGGCTTGGTACTATCCTCCCAAGTGTGAGTGAGTTCCTGTGAGATCTGATTGTTTAGAAGCATATGGTACCTCCCCCTCACCCTCTCTTTTGCTCCTACTCTTGCCATGTGAGACTTGTGCTCACACTTTACCTTCCACATGATTAGAAGCTTCTTGAGGCTTCTCCAGAAGCCAAGCAGATGCAATCACCATGCCTCCTGTATAGACTACAGAACCATGAGCCAATTAAACTTTTCTCTATAAATTACCCAGCTTCAGGTACTTCTTTATAGCAATGTGAGAATGGGCGAACACAGAAAATTGGTACCAAGGAGTGAGGTGTTGCTATAAAGATACCTGAAAATGTGGAAGCAACTTTGGAATTGGTTAATAGGCAGAGGATGGAAAAGTTTGGAGGGCTCAGAAGAAGAAAGGAAGATGAGGTAAAGTTTGGAACTTCTTAGAGACTGGTTAAATGGTTGTGACCAAAATGCTGATAGTGATAATAACTTGGCTGTATCGTGTTCATGCCCCAGGGATTTATGGAAGTTTGAACTTAAAAGTGATGACTTAGGGTATCTGGAGGAAGAAATTTCTAAAGCAATAAAGTGTTAAACATGTGACTTGGCTGCCTCTAACCTGGCTGCTTCTAACAGCCTATGCTCAGATATGGGAGCAAAGAAATGACTTAAAGTTGAACGTTATATTGAAAGTGGAAGCAGTGTGTAAAAGTTTGGAAAATTTGTAGCCTGGCCACATGACAGAGAAAGAAAAAGCATTATCAGGAGAGGAATCAAAGTGGGCTATGGAGCAACCACTTGCTAGAAAGATTTGCATGACTGAAAGGGAGCAAGGTGCTGACAGCCAAGACAATGGAGAAAAGGCCTCAAAGACATTTCAGAGTTGTTCTAGACAGCCCCACCTATCACAGGTCCAGAGGTCTAGGAGGGAAGAATGGTTCTGTGGGCTAGGCCCAGGACCCCAGTACCCTACACAGCCTTGGGACACTGGTCCCCACATCCTGGCTGCTCTGGCTGCTGTTATAAAGGGCAGGAGCCATAAGCCTTTGTGTTTCTGTGTGGTGTTAAGCCTGAAGGCACACAGAATGTAAGACTGAAGAATGCTTGGCAGCCTCCCCTTAGATTTCAATGGAGGTATGGAAAAGTCTGGGTTCCTGGCAGAAGTCTGCTGCAGGGGTGGAGCCCTCACAGAGAGCTTTTACTAGGGTAGTGTCAAGGGGAAATGTGTGGTTGGAGACCCCACAAAGAGTCCCCACTGGAGCACTGCCTGGTGGAGCTGTGGGAAAGAGGCTCTGTACTCCAGACCCCAGTATGGTATATCCATCAGCAGCTTGCACCCTGCACCAGGAAAAGCTGCAGGCACTCAACTCCAGCCTGTGAGAGAAGCTGTAGGGGCTATGCCCTGTAAAGATACAGGGATGGAGCTACTCAAAGCGTTGGGAGACCATCCCTTGCACCTGTGTGCCCTGGATGTGGGACATGGAGTCGAATGAGATTATTTTGGAGCTTTAAGATTTAATGACTCTCCTGCTGGCTTTTAGGCTTGTGTGAGGTCTATAGCCCTTTTCTTTCAGCCAATTTCTACCTTTTGGAACAGGAATATATACCCAATTCTAGTACTCCCATTGTATCTCAGAAGTAAATAACTTCTTGTGATTTTACAGACTCACAGGTGGAAGGAACTCATCTGGACATGGGACTTTTCAGTTAAAGCTGGAATGAGTTAAGACTTTGGAGGACTATTGAAAAGAGATTATTTTGCAATGTGAGAAGGCCACGATATTATTTTGCAATGTGAGAAGGACCTGAGATTTGGGAGGCCAGGGGCAGAATGATATAGTTTGGATGGTCTCCCTAAATCTTATGTTGAGATGTAATCCTCAGTCTTGGATCTGGTGGAAGGTGTTTGGGTCTTAGGGGTGGATTTCTCATGAATGGTTTGGTGCTGTCCTCATGAGAATGAGTGAGTTATTGTGAGATGTAGTTGTTTAAAAGTGTGTGGCACCTGCCCCCACCCCACTTTCTCTCTTGCTCCTGCTCTCATTATATGTGAGATGTCTACTTCCCCTTTGCCTTCTGTCATGATTGTTAGCTTCCTGAGTCCCTCACCAGAAGCACATCAGATGCTGGCCCCACACTTTCTGTACAGCCTGCAGAACCATGAGCCAATTAAACCTCTGTTCTTTATAAATTACCCAGCCTCAGGTATTTCATTACAGCAATGCAAGAATACCTGAACACACTGGGTTTCTAATCCCCTTTTGTGGATTTGCTTGTGTATCTTTCTGAATGATCTTGATTATATTCTATGGCTTATTAATGGTTTACCAATTAGAACCACACTAATCTGTTTGATCATGCATGCAATGTGCCTGCTGAAAAACAAGGTTTCAGGGTTTCAAATAGAGAGACTTACTTGTCTTACCTTTTCTCACAATCAACCATCCCTGTATAGGCTCTGGTGTTTCCTCCAACGTCTACAGTATGTTTGAGGAATAAAGAAAATGAAATAACAGTCAAGGAAAAATTATGAGGCATTTCTTTTTTCAAAATATGCAATTAAAGCAAAAAGTACAAAATGCAATTTTCAGATCAGTAAGGTAATTTGTGTTTCCACAGTGCAAGTGTTACAATTATTTTTTAAGCTCACACTGTAGTGCTTTTATTCATTTACTCAAACTTGTTTTGAGCCCCTAATATGTGTCAGCCACCAAGGATTACATTATTAGCAAAAACTAAATAAAAATAAAAATAGCTGGGCATGGTGGCTCATGCCTGTAATCTTAGCACTATGGGAGGCCAAGACAGGTGGATCATTTGATGAAACACTGTCTCTACAGAAAATACAAAAATCAGCCAGGCATGGTGACCCTCACCTGTAGTCCCAGCTCCTCAGGAGGCTGAGGTGGATGGATCACCTGAACCCGGGAGGTGGAGGTTGCAGTGAGCCAAGATTGTGCCACTGCACTGCAGCCTGGCTGATAGAGTGAGACTCTGTCTCAAAAAAAAAAAAAAAAAAAAAAAAAAAAAAAAAAAAAAAAAGGAAATGTTGCATGTGTTCACGAAGCTCACAATCAAATGGGTGAGGCCAATTGTTAGTCAAATAATCTCTTAAAGAAATCTCACCTTGTAACTGTGATGAGAACAGAGCAGTGGCCCAGGTCAGTGGTGACTTATCACAGTAGAAGTGGTGGCCACTCAAGGAACTGATGAAGGAACTGAAATCTGATGGATGAGCATAGCTGAGCCTTTGTTTTCCCCCAAAGTCTCAGTATAATTTTGGAACTCACATCAACTTTGGATTCAGCTGATACATGCCACGACATCATTGACCACTGATCCTTTTAGAACCTTTGCACCTCACTTTGGGCTCAGTTTTCCTGGTTTATTTCCCATGCATCTTTTCTGCAGATTACTAGTAGCTGTTTTGAAGGAAGATAAATAAAAACCAGAATCCATCTAGTTCCCCGTATTTCCCTAAAACGACTAACCATCCCTAGAGTTTTCAGCAGAACTTTTCCCTATGATTGCACTTAGAGAATACTTTATAACGATGGTACTGTCTTTATTTTAAAGTAATGCGAACAACTTTACTTCCAATTACAAAAATCAGGGATCCCCAACCCCCAGGTGACAGACTGGTATACTGGTCTGTGGCCTGTTAGGAACTGGGCTGCACAGCAGGAGGTGAGTGGTGGGGCAAGTGAGCGAAGCTGAGCTCCACCTCCTGTCAGACCAGTGGCAACATCAGATTCTCATAGGAGCACGAACCCTATTGTGAACTGGGCATGCAAGGGATCTAGCTTGCATGCTCCTTGTGAGAATCTAATGATAAACGTAATGTGCTTGAATCATCCTGAAACCGTCCCTCCCACTCCTGGTCCGTGGAAAAATTGTCTTTCACGAAACCTGTCCTGGTGCCCAAAAGGTTGGGGATTGCTGACATAGATGATGCATATCTATGGGGAAAATCCCAGCCTAACAGAAACTTAAAAAAAAAGAAATTAAAATCACTTCAAAACTTGTAACCCATTGTTAACACTTCAGTAAACTTCCTTTCCCAAATCTCTCTTTGCACAAGTACAGACACATCAACGTCAATCGCATCTCATTTTGCGGGGCAGCTTTCTTCATGATGCAACATGCCATGGAGTTCTTGCCACGCCAATGCAATCAGTGAACATCGTTCTCTCCATGGTTGGGTCATTTCCCTCCAGGGAAATGGACATGAATTGGCAGGTGGCCAGCCCCACGCTGATGGACATGAATTGACTTCCAATTTTCTGTTATTTCAAATAAAGCTAAGATTCAAATCTTTGCACATACACCTTTGTTTTCTTGTTTGATTATCTCTTATGGGCAAATTACTAGATTCTTCTAATACTTAAACACATGCAAAGGAGGCAACGGGTAGGCCTCACTTCAATTCAGCCTAGTGAGACATTTCCACCCTCACTGCCTTCCCCGGCTGCCATCTATGATCCTGGGAGTACGTCCAGTGAAACTGACCCATTAGCGAAGGCTGCGTTTCAGATGCTGAGAAGTACGAGACACATTCTCATCCCTTGAGAAGATTAAACATCGAGAGGCTCCAGGGCCTTCTTATTAGTGGATCACCAGTTTTTCTTGTTCCGCCTCTCTTTCTGTGTTGTAGCAGATATGGAATTTCATTTAAGAGAATGTTAGGAGAAAAAGAGGGGTTCCAGGAAGATGAGGATATTCGGAGTGGAGATACCTGGATATTCCAACAGGATGAGGACGTCTCTGGCCCAGGAGTTCTGCAGGCCGCCAGGTCACGGATACCCACACAGGGGTGTGTTCGCGTGGCTTCTCGCTGGGCTGTGGAGATTCTTGATCCAGCCTCTCTGACCACCAGGCCTATGGGAGAAGTTGTGTTGTCTCATTCCCTGCAAGGGGTCAATTCGTAGGTGAAATGTTAGGATCAGTTACTTTATGCCACCATTTTTCTTGCAACTCTCTCTGTCCACGGTGCTTAGCTAGATCACTTACCACATCTAAGGCAGGTTCCTGCTGGCTTCTGTTGGTTGGAGACGGTGTAGCTCGGAGGTCCGCACAATCCCGGAGCAGCCACCCGGCGCAGCCGCCAGGGGGAGCCCCCACTTGCCTCGGAAGTCTTGGTGTACGCTGCGAACAGCCTTAAGGGTCTACAGAATTTATTCACCAGAGCAAGCCACTTCCCTGGCTTTTTCCAAAGTTTAACATGAAGGCACCACATTATTATTATTTTTTAGTTGCAAAATTGAATTGGAAACTTCTATTTTTCAATTGTCGTAAAAGTGTTTGTTTTGGCCGGGCGCGGTGGCTCACGCCTGTAATCCCAGCACCTTGGGAGCCCGAGGTGGGTGGATCACGAGGTCAGGAGTTAAAGAGCAGCCTGGGCAAGATGGTGAAACCCCGTCTCTGCTAAAAATACAAAAATTAGCCGGGCATGGTGGCGCGTCACTGTAATCCCAGCTGGTCGGGAGGCGGAGGCAGAGAATTGCTTGAACCCGGGAGGCGGCGGTTGCAGTGAGCTGAGATGGCGCCACTGCACTCCAGCCTGGGCGGCAGAGGCAGACTCTGTCTCAAAAAAAAAAAAAAAGAAAAGAAAAAAGAAAGAGTGTTTGTTTTACAGAAAGGAGTTGCATACATAATTCGGTTTTAAAATGTGTGATGAAGATAGGCTGAGTTTGTTGAACTGTACTCTGTTGAAGTATGTGATGTGACTCTGTTTCTCAAATTCCCTAACATTTTAGGAGAAAAACTTATCCAGTATTTTCTAGTGGGATTGCGTCAGAATTCTAGGGCTGACTCTGTGCAGACCTTGGTCAGAATAACTGGAGATATTTTTGTTATGTTGTTGGTTAAGAGGAGCGCTACAGCTGCTGTTATTTAATAGTTTGGTTTCAGATTTATAAACAACCACCCTTCTGGGAATGACAATGCGTGTTCTGCCTATCTTCTTAATCTCTGCCTCCGTGGGGCAGTTGTGATCTCCACTGCATGGTGCGATCCCTTGGATGCAGACGTGAGAGTAACACACAGTCTTCTGCACGACGGGAGGTTAGTGGATCATAACGGTCAGATAAAGCCTCCAGATTTGGCCTCATTTCTGTTGCTTCCAGTTTTGAATAATTATGAATAATGTTGACATGAACACTCATGTCCAGGTTTTTCAGTTAAAGATAAGCTTTTCATTTCTCTGGGACAGATATGTAGAAATGGGGTCCTTAGAAGGCTGGGCCTTACATAAGCAAATATTCACCTCCATAAGAAATCATCTGCCTTCAAGACAAGAAATAACCAAAATCAGAGGTGAACTGAAGGAAATTGGGACAAGAAAAACCACTCAAAAGATCAATAAATCCAGGAGCTGTTTTTTTTTTAAATTAATAAAGTAGATAGATCACTAGCTAGGTTAATAAAGAAGAAAAGAGAGAAGATTTAAATAAACATAATCAAAAACAAGAGGGATATTACCACTGACCTCACAGAAATACAAATAACAGAGAATATTATGAACAACTCTATGCACATAAGCCAAAAAATCTAGAAGAAATAGATAAGTTCCTGGACACATACACCCTCCCAAGACTGAACCAGGAAGAAACTGAATCCCCGAACAGAGCAATAACAAGGTCTGAAACTGATAGACTGCCAACCAAGAAAAGCCCAGGACCAGATGGATTCACAACTGAATTCTACCAGATGTACAAAGAAGAGCTGGTGCCATTCCTGCAGAAACTATTCTAAAAGAACTGAGCAGAAGGGATTCATCCCTAAATCATTCTATGGGCCAGCATTATCCTGATACCAAAACCTGGAAGAGATACAACAAAAAAAGAGAAAACTTCAGGCTAATATCCTTGATGAACATTGATGCAAAAATCTTCAACAAAATACTGGTAAACCAAACCCAGTAGCACATCAAAAAGTTTATCCACCATGATCAACTAAGCTTTATCCCTGGGATGCAAGATTGCAATGTTCGACACAGGCAAATCAAGAAATGTGATTCATCACATAAACACAACCAAAGACAAAAAACACATGATTACCTCAATACATGCAGAAAAGGCTTTCAAAAAAATTCAACACCCCTTCATATTAAAAACTCTCAATAAACTATGTATTGAAGGAACATACCTCAAAATAATAAGAGCCATCTATGACAAACCCACAACCAACATCATACTGAATGGACAAAAGCTGGAAGCATTCCCCTTGAAAACTGGCACAAGGCAAACATGCCTTCTTTTACCACTCCTATTCAACATAGTGTTAGAAGTGTTAGCCAGGGCAATCAGGCAAGAGAAAGAAGTAAATTACACCCAAAAAAGAAGAGAGAAAGCCAAACTATCCCTGTTTGCAGACGACATGATCTTTATCTATAAAACCCCCATAGTCTTGGCCCAAAAGCTCCTACAGCTGATAAACAACTTCAGCAAAGTCTCAGGATACAAAATTCATGTGCAAAAATCACTAACATTTCTATACAACAACAACAGTCAAGCTGAGAGCCAAATCAGGAGCAAACTCCCATTCACAATTGCCACACACACAAAAAATAAAATACCTAGGAATACAACTAACCAGGAAGGTGAAAGATCTCTACAAGGATAACTACAAAACACTGCTCAAAGAAATCAGAGATGACACAAGTGGAAAAACAGTCCATGCTCATGGATAGGAAGAATCAATATCATTAAAATGGCCATACCACCCAAAGCAATTTACAGATTCAATGCTATTCGTGCTAAACTACCATCAACATTTTTCATGGAACTAGAAAAACACTATTTTAAAATTCATTTTGAATCAAAAAAGACTCCGAATATCCAAGGCAATCCTAAGCAAAAAGAACAAAGCTAGAAGCATCATGTTACTTGACTTCAAACTATACTACAGGGCTACAGTAACCCAAACAGCATGGTAATGGTACAAAAACAGACAGATAGACCAATGAAACAGAAAAGAGAACCGAGAAATAAGCCTGCACACCTACAACCCTCTGATCTTCAACAAATGTGACAAAAACAAGCAATGGGGAAAGTATTCCCTATTCAATAAATAGCGCTGGGATAACTGGCTAGCCATATGCAGAAGATTGAAACTGAATCCCTTCCTTACACCATATACAAAAATTAAATAAATGGTGCTGGGATAAATGGCTAGCCATATGCAGAAGATTAAAACTGGATCCCTTCCTTAGACCATATGCAAAAATTAACTCAAGATGGATTAAAGACTTAAACATAAAACCCAAAACTATAAAAACTTTGGAAGACAGCCTAGGCATTACCATTCTGGACATAAGAATGGGCAAAGATTTCATGGCAAAGACACCAAAGCAATTGCAAAAAAGCAAAAATTGGCATATGGAATCTAATTAAACTAAAGAGTTTCTGCACAACAAACTATCAACAGAGTGCACAGACAATCTATAGAATGGAAGAAAATTTTTGCAAACTATGCATCTTACAAAGGTCTAATATCCAGCATCTATAAAGATCTTAAACAAATTTACAAGAAAAAAGTAAACAATACCATTAAAAAGTAGGCAAAGGACATGAACAGCCATTTTTCAAAAGAAGACATATATGCAGCTAAGAAGCATATGAGAAAAAGCTCAAATCACAGATCATTAGAGGAATGCAAATCAAAACCACAATGAGATACTATCTCACACTAGTCAGAATGGCTATTGAAAAGTCAAAAAATAACAGATGTTGGCGAGGTTACAGAGAAAAAGGAATGCTTATACACTGTTGGTGGCAGTGTAAATTCGTTCAACCATTGTGAAAGACACAATAGTGTGGCAGTTCCTCGAAGACCTAAAAACAGAAATACCATTCTACCCAATGATCCCATTACTGGATATCATTACTGGGTATATATCTGAGAGCCAAATCAGGAGCAAACTCCCATTCACAACTGCCACACACACAAAATAAAATACCTAGGAATACAACTAACCAGGAAGGTGAAAGATCTCTACAAGGACAACTACAAAACACTGCTCAAAGAAATCAGAGATGACACAAATGGAAAAACATTCCATGCTCATGAATAGGAAGAATCAATATCGTTAAAATGGCCATACTGCCCAAAGCAATATAAATCATTCTATTGTAAAGACACCTGCACATGTATATTCACTGCAGCACTACTCACAATAGCAAAAGCATGGAATCAACGTAACTGTGCATCATTAGTAGACTGGATACAGAGAATATGCTGTATATACACCATAGACGGCGACGCAGCCATACGAAAGAATGAGATCATGTCCTTTTCAGGAACATGGATGGAGCTGCAGGGCATCATCCTTAGCAAACTAATGCAGGAACAGAAAACCAAATACTGCATGCTCTTACTTGTAAGAGGGAGCTAAATGATGAGAACACATGGACAAATGGTGGGGAACACCACACACTGGGGCCTATTGTAGGATGGAGGGTGGAAGGAGGGAAATGATCAGGAAAAATAGCTATTGGATACTAGGCTTAGTACCTGGGTGAGGAAATAATCTGTACAACAAATCCCCTATGACACAAATTTTCCTATATAACACATGTACCCCTGAACTTAAAATAAAAGTTAAATTAAAAACAGAAAGAAATCATTTGCCTTCTTTAACCACACTCCATTCTTTATCAGTACTCTTTCCTTAGGTGACTTCATTAATTCCCAGGGCTATAAATGTCATTTGCAAATTGAGAAGACTCCAATTATATCCCTAACTCAGATATTTCTTTTGAAATGAAGTCTGACTATTACATCATCTTAGGAATACCTCTTACTGGACGCTTCACAGGCAACTCAAATGTAACCTGTTTAAAATGGAATTCCTGATTCCTCCTCCCAAACTGCTTCCTCGCCATCTCAGTAAGTGGCATCACCAACCACACACCCAGTTTCTCAAACTAGATGGTCACCCCTGATTACCTTTTCCCATCATCCTATTCTTTAGTCAGTTTTGTGGTTTCAAGCTTTAAAAGATATCTTAAAACTCCCAATTTCCCCTATATCCATTGCCACCACCTTCATCTATACCATCAGCCGAGAGCGGGCTCAGAGGAGCCTGAGTCAAGGAGTGTCTTTGTCTAAGGATAGCAGAGTGCAGAGATGTGTCCATCGGAGACCCTGAGCCTCAGATGAGCTCTCTGAGGGACCGTGTTTACCAACCCTGTACTACACCTACCTCTGGCATTCTTGCTATGTGAGATTATAAAGCTCCTTATTATTTTATACTTTAAGTCAGCTTGAGTCAAGTTGTTATTGTTGTTGCTTTGATTGTAGTTTTTTTGTTACTTACAGACAAAAGCATTCCAACTGGTAAAACACAGCTTGCCAGAAAGTAAATAGATATAATTTTAGATAAATAAAAACATGCTCCCATATTAATGGTATTAGCACGTAAAGTTAACTTGCTGAAGAGGATTTTTTAAAATTATACATATGTGTTCCTTTAAAAAATATCAATGGCCTTTATGGATGAGATATCACATATATTGAAATGTACCAATATATATGCATAGTAGGTAAAATGTTAATATATTTTACTTTAATTGTATTACAATTGCAAAGTATTTTCCAATAACATGTTCTGTTCGATTTTCCTTACCCTATGAAGTAGGCAGTGCAAGTTTTATTATTAAATATAATAATTTTTATCTACTCTTCAAATATTTATTAAGGACCTACTATGTGTCAAGCATTGTGCTAGGTGCTGGGCACAATGTTAAACAAGACAGTCTGGCCGGGCGCGGTGGCTCACGCCTGTAATCCCAGCACTTTGGGAGGCCGAGACGGGCGGATCACGAGGTCAGGAGATCGAGACCATCCTGGCTAACACGGTGAAACCCCGTCTCTACTAAAAATACAAAAATTAGCCGGGCATGGTGGCGCGCGCCTGTAGTCCCAGCTACACGGGAGGCTGAGGCAGGAGAATGGCGTGAACCCGGGAGGCGGAGCTTGCAGTGAGTCGAGATCGCGCCACTGCACTCCAGCCTGGGCGACAGAGCGAAACTCCGCCTCAAAAAAAAAAAAAAAAAAAAAAGACAGTCTGAGCCCAACTCTAAGAGAACTTGCTCTAGAGCAAACAAACAAGGCTGTCATTATAGAATGTGGGAGATGGAACTAACTTCTTAGAGTGTGATGTTTTCTTAGACACAAAGCATGAAAAAGGCTAGTCATACAAATTGTTTGGATAAGAGAAATCCAGACAGAGGAAACAGCTTGTATGAAGAACCCTTCAGTTAAAAAAAAAATGTAGCATATGTGGCATATTCTAGGAACCAACTAAATGTCATGTGAGTGAGTTGAGGGAAAGAGTAGATTATGATGAGGTTAGAGAGATAAGATAGGTAAAAACCTGTAAGACATGCAGGGTTGTAAAAGTCATGATAAGAAATTTGGGAAATCATTGAGTAGTTTTCAGGAAAGAAAAAGAGGATAACTGAAGGGGCTAAGACACAGTAATAAGTACGGAAAGACCTGTTGGGTGTTGGCATTCATCTCCATGAAAGATGAGAGGACATGTTGGACACATGGAGACAGAACCAAGAGGAGGATTGGGATCATTCAGGAAGTTGATTGACCAGGTTTGCTTGGAATTGGATGTGAACCTGAAAACAAAGGGGGAATTTGTGTGCAATGGCTAGGTTTAACTGAATGAATGGTGCCCTGTGTACTGAGGAAGGGTCTGGGTGCTGGCTGTACATTTCAAAGAGTTTTTTTTCAGAAATGCTGAGTTTGAGATGGCAGTGATATCACATCAGTTGGATATAAAAGTTTGAAGCTTGGAAGAAAGTCTGGGCTAGAGATTAACATTAGAGTTCATGGCATAAAGATGATAATTAAATTCCTAGGAAAAATGAGAAAGCTTAGGATCACAAAATATTTAGGGTTCAAAAGGGGAGGAGAATCTCACCAAGAAGACAGACGAGGAGTAACTATCCAGGTGAAAGGAAACCCAGAATAGAGCAAAATGGCAGAAGCCAGAAAGGATGGTGTTTTTAGGATGGAGTCTCAGCTATGAAGACTGCTACCTGAGGTAAGATCAGGACAGAAATTTGATAAAATGGAGGTTATGCATGACAAGTGGCATATTGGGGGTGGAAGCTAAACTAAAGGATGAAGAGAAATAAATCAGTGGTAAAAATGAAGGCAGCATTTGTAGATAAATCTTTGAAAAGCTGTGCTATGGTTTGAATGTATTCCCCAAATTTCATGTGTTGAAAATGTAATCTCCAAATTCATGTGTTGATTGCAGGTGGGGCCTTTGGGAGGTAATTAGGATTAGATGAGGTCATCAGGGTGGAGCCCCTAAGATGGGACTGATGGCTTTTTAAGGAAGGGAGGCCTGAGCTAACAGTCACCCTCTTCCCCTTTCGCCATGTGATGCCCTCTACCGTGTTACGATGTAGCAAGAGGCTCTCACAAGATGCCAGTGCCATGCTCTTAGACTTCCCAGCCTCCAGAACTGTAAGAAGTACAATTCTTTTGCTTTTAAACTATTGGGGTAGTCTGTGGTATTCTGTTATAGCAATGCAAAATGGACTAAGATAGTTTGTCTATGAAGAAAACAGAAATGGGGTGTAAAATCAAGGTACAGAGTTTTAAACAGAGATATACTGGAGATTGACTTTGTCTTGATGGGAATCATCCATTAGAAATAGAGAAATTTCTGGCCAGATACAGTGGTTCATGCCTGTAATCCCAGCACTTTGGGAGGCCAAGGCAGACGGATTGCCTGAGGTCAGGAGTTCAAGACCGGTCTGACCAACATGGTGAAACCCGATCTCTACTAAAAATACAAAAGAATTAGCTGGGCGTGGTGGCCTGTGCCTGTAATCCCAGCTACTTGGGAGGTGAGGCAGGGGAATTGCTTGAACCAGGGAGGTGGAGGTTGCATTGAGCCAAGATCGCACCCCTGCACTCCAGCCTGGGCAATAGAGCAAGACTCTGTCTAAAAAAACAACAAAAAAAGAAATATAGAAATTTCTAATGCAGTAGAGAGCCAGGGTGATCAGAGAGCTGCTGTCCTTGAGAATGTGTCCATGATGGGACATAATAAATGGATGCAATTGATTATCTGCTGTTGACAACCAGCTCACTAAATCTCAATGCAATGCTGAATGAACTGTGATAATGCCCCTTTTACCAATTAAGAAACTGAGTTTTAAAGAGGTTAAATAATTTGCCCAAAGTTGTAACTTGGAAAGCAGGATTCAGAGCCAGTTTGTTCAACTCCAGTATTTTTTCCTCATTTTCCACGCAGGGGCCTGCCCTATAAATGTGAGAGCATTTCATGAACATTTGGGATGGGCACATCCGTACAAGTTTTCTCAGCAATGGTGGTGGCAGGGAAGAAGGAGAAACACCGTATTCTCGCTTATGCTTCATCCCCTGCTTCCCCAGCAGAGTGCACTGGGGCTGGGTGCTGCTGCTACCGCGTGCGCCCAGAGTGAGAAAGATCAGAGTAAAGGAGAGACAGGCACACTTGGGTCCATACTGTTTTCCAGGCCACTGACTGAAGGAGCTTCTGCAGACTTCAGTGGAAGATTGTGGTGGAAACTAGAGGACCTGAAATAGAACCTTCAGCAGATTGAAAGTCCTTTGGTTATTTGAGATGGGAATGTATGGCAAGTTTTAAAGTGGAATAGCTTCAAATATACTAACAAAAGTTTGAGGTAATGCATTTTAAATTTCCCCTTGAATACTTTTCCAAGCCTACAGTGACTCTGACTTAATTCTAAGGTACTTTATACATAAACCCATGATTAGGGTTGTGTGTGTGTCATTTTTGGGTGCCCTTTAGAAGACATATCTGTACTCATGATTCCTCTCACCCTCCGTGCTTCCCTTTCCTCCTTCTTTCTCTGGCAAACAAAAGGTACACTGGAAACTGGGTACTTTTTATCTTTTTAATCTATACCACTCTCTTGACCCATCAATTTTTTTCTAGGCCTGTCTTTGTTATGAAGAGACATTCAAATTAAAAAAGGATAATTCCAAATATTTGTCAAACAAAAATATGCAAATCTGAGAGCTATATCTCAGGGTAGTCTGTGCTTCCCCTCAGCTTTTAGAGAGTGGGGAAGGCCCCCTAGGCAGGTGGCTCTGTGGTGACAGAGGAACAAAGCCAGGTACCTCAGATGGAGGCTGCCAGGTCTTTTGACTGCTCCTAGGTTTCCATGTGGTGTCTGTTCGTGGTCAAACCATTTGCTAAATTTTGGATGCTACCTGAGATTTTCCAAAAAGAGGCTGACTTTCCTTGGGATATAAATTTAATTTCTACAATGAGGACTTTCCCTCCGCCCACTGGCTGAATTCCTTCAAACTCAGAGACAAAATCATCATTAGCCCGCCCATGTGCTTTTTTTTTTTTTTTTTTTTTTTTGAGACGGAGTCTTGCTCTGTCGCCCAGGCTGGAGGGCAGTGGCACGATCTCGGCTCACTGCAAGCTCCGCCTCCTGGGTTCACGCCATTCTCCTGCCTCAGCCCCATGTGCTTTCTTAGAGCAAGCCTTTAGTTTCACACACAAAACCACACAGACTGAAAACATCATTAGAATCAGTTTCACCTTAAAACCTAAGCAGACGGTGGGAACCCTGTGTGACGCACAGACCGGTCATTGTCACCTGCATTTGACCCGAAAGTCATGTCATGTAAGTTGGTGCTAAAGGAACATATTTGTGACAAAGATTCTCTTTGGAGAATCTTTAGCTCTCTCGGGCCAAATCCATTCCAACGCTAGCCACGTGGCCTTCCAGGAGCTAGAGCAGTCCCTGGCTGAGGCTCAGGAGGGGGTTTGAACAATACTCGGCCAGATAGAGATGATCTACCAAACTACAAAACAACAACAACAACAACAACAACAACAAACCATTTTGTTGTCATCAACCAATTTTTCCATATGGCTACATTGTCTGCATTTAGAGTTTGAAAAATAATTGAGCTTTGGTGGTAAGAGTCTTCTCTGAGTGTAACATATACATTAACTGTGACGGCCCTCTCCTGCCATTCCCGGACACACACACAACCACGCACACCCACACACACAACCACGCACACCCACACACACAACCACACACACCCACACACAACCACACACACACCTCACACACAACCACACACACATCCCATACACCACCACACACCATCACACACAACACCCACACCATCACATACAACACACACACACAAACCACACACAACACAAACACTCCACACACAACCCCACACACAACCACACACCCCGCACACAACCACACTCCCCCACACAACACACACACAACCACACTCACCCCCCACCCCCTACACACACCCCTGGGGGCAGTCCAGTTGGGCCCCGGGTAATGATTCCTTCCTCATCAAGAAGCGGAGTGTTTTTGTCAGGCATGGATGGGGTGGAATGGGCCTTGGGGGAATATTCAGATTCCTAAGGTCTGAGCTGCACCTGAGACCCCCTGTATCTGCAGACTGTCCTGTACTCCTCTTCCCGGGCCTCACTCGTGGACTGCTCTAGTTCCTGGGAGGCCTTTCGGCTGTGGTGGGAATGCATTTGGTCTGAGGGAGCTAACAGTTCTCCAAAGACCCCCTTTCCCTGGGCAAGAGATGGGTCCCAAGGCCCAGCTTAGAGCCTGTCCTGAGCTCACGTTCCGCTGCCATCCCTTCCCTTCCCTGTTGGCACTCACTCTTCAAGTCCAGTGTGTTCTTCATTGTTTAGAGAGTTAATAATCCACCTAGTGCTAAATGGGCAGCCGGGCAGAGAGAATGCTGTGTTTCCTTCCCTCCTGGCCCTGTGTCTGGCTCTGCGTGCCCTGCAGTCAGGGGAGTCATGGGGCTGGGCTCCCACCAGGAGACGAGGCGATGTCTGCCACTTTCAGGCCTGGTCTCTAAAACATCACCCAAATGCAGAGGACCCAAGGAACTTGAGACTCTAGGGAACAGCAGAGCCACTAGGAAGAAGAGAGCTGGGCCCCGAAGGACAGTGTGCAGCCCCAACTCGACGCCAGCCAGCATAAGGCGAAACCGTAGCTGTTAGAGCAGTGAGACAGCCTAAACTAACATAGTGGCCATGTTGTCTGAACCAGAACTAAGGATTTATGATCCAATAGAATGTGCTAAAAGGAGCGATGAAGCAGAACTTTAAAATGAGGGCTGTGCTCGACAATCCAGGACACAGCATCTAAATAGGTGTGAATAACACACCTCTGCTTAGTCCTCACTAGCTGAACTGAGCCAGGAGAAATGAGTTGGATGTTGGTCATCAGGAAACACATTGAAAGTAGACTGGAAACAATTACTCAAGTCTTCCCATTGTTCTATCTTGTTTCTAATAAAATATTTTAATGCACTTTGCCTTTTGATAGCCCTTATGGCATTTGGATTATATTTCACTGTAAAGTTCCTTTTCTTCAATTTATCTGACTAGGCAACCCTAGGAAGCATAAAACACTATGCTGCCTAGGAATAGCGTTCTCCTCTATCTCCCTGCTACTCACCGTGTGGTCCCCAGAATACAGCCTCAGCATCACCAGGGAGCTGGTTAGAGGGGCAGAATATCTGATCTCCCCCCAGACCTGCTGAATCAGAACCTACTTTTCAACAAGAGACTCAGGTGATTTGAATGCCAGTTAAATTTGAATTTTTATTTTTTTTTCTGTCTTACAACACCTTATAACATCATGGTATCTGGTCACCCATTTCATGGACTGAGAAATTGAGGCACTGAGAAAATATATTTTCTCCCAAGACCATGAGCTTATCCCTAAAGTACTTTAATTTTATTATTTTTTAATAAAACACAGCTCCTGCTTTATTGGATTATATGGTTGACATAGATTTACATCAACCCTCATCATACGTTCACATAGAAAAGCAATGGCCATAAACAATACCCAGGCAGTATGTAAGCTGGTAAGTGAGCACACGCCCAGCTGTGGCACTGCTGGAAGTCCCGCCATCACCTCATTGCCTTTCTCTGGCTCTTGGAAGCATATCTTCGACTGGCTCGAATCCACAGTAAGTTGGTTTGTGTTTCTTTTTGTGAGAGTACAGAACAGTCTGGAAACCGCCAGCGAGCCCCTGATTCCCTGAAATGTGGCTGTTGGATGACCTGTTTTGCGTGCTCCCTGTTGGCAGCTGTTGCAGGCATGGAGTCCTCCTAAAGAGCCCACTCTGAGCGTGGTATCCCACCTGAGCTTGGGACAGAGCAGATTTCTCTGCCTTAATTCTCCTTAAAAGAAAAAGCGATCAAATGGTTTGAACAATCACAGGTTTCCACCTCTAAATTGTCCCTGAATGTGTATTTGGAGTCTTGTAAAAATGGCCAGTTATATGAAATGATTGGTTTGGGGGGATGCTGGAGGTATTTACTTTTCAAAGTGGAGATTCCACCTGCATTTATGAAAAAATCTAATGGCTGTGTCTCTTAAAACATACGGCCTTCTTTCTTCCACAAAAAAAGGTGTGAGTCAGCACTTTATCAACCATAATAGCTGTGGGCCAGCTTACAGAGTTTTGGAAAGGTACTGCGTTTTAAAATATTGATTCTAAAACTCAGATTTTTTCAAATCTGTCTCAACAGTCAATAAAATTGGTCAGAGGAGCCTGCTAAGCAGCCCAGCAGAATTCTTAAAGAGATGTAAGTGTTACATCATCTGTTAGAAACAGATGCAGACGAGAAAGAAAAAGAAAAATAGAAGGTTCGGGAAGACATGTCACTGGAGGCTCTTCGATTTAGGATAGGACATGGAAAGGACTTTGAGGTAATAGAAGTCCCATAACAAACATGACATCAATTTTCCAGGACTAGCATTTATAATAAAATGCTTGTGTTTCTAAATAACCTTAAAATTTAGAAATTGCTCGCATATTCATTATTGTTTCTAACCCTTATTCTGGAAGTCAGCACTTGCTATTCTAAATTTACAGATGCATAAACAAATTTATGTAGGATAAGTGGCTTGCCTGTCTAATTCATAAGCAGCAGGTCTGTAGAATCACTTGTTATTTTTAAAGTGTATGTTTTGAATGATCTGTCACTTTCCTGTCAGCCATAGAATCTGCCCATTTATGAATATGAGGTATGGCTGAAAAATGTAAGGGCAGAATATATTGCATGTTTAATAGCAGTTAGATTTTTTTAAAAAAAATGCTTGATACAGGTAAAAACGCCATCTTAAAAAAATCAGATGGGTATGTTACTCCATTGCTACCAAGCAGTATTAAATCTAATTCCCCCTTTCAATACAGAGAGTGTGGCACGACTGAAAACAAAACTCTATTTATTGACTTTGGAAGTCTGAGAATAAATGTGTCTGTATCTGCATATGTATACTTACATAGCATACGTACAATTACACTGGATACGTATATGTACATGCAAACACATGTGTATGTTGAATATGTACAGTCATCCCTCAGGATCTGCAGGGGATTGGCTTCAGGACTCCTTGCGGTTACCAAAATCCACAGGTGCTCACCGTCCTGATATAAAGTCCTGTAGGATTTGCATGTAATCTATGTACATCCTCTTGTATATTTTAAATAATCTCTAGATTGCTTGTAATAGCTAACACAATGTGAGTGCTATGTAAATAGTTTTTATGTTTATTGTTTTTTACATTTGTATTATTTCTTATTGTTGCATTGTTATTATTGATTGATTAATTTTTTTGATCTGCAGTTTGTCAAATTCATGGATGTGGAAACTTTGAATACAGAGGGCTGACTGTATGTGCACATTGTGTACATATATGCACATGTATATCTATGTCATATGTTTATATGTACATGTGTATTATACATGCATAGGAAACAGCAACTCATGAACTTTTTAAACTTTGTCTATTTTATTTTCTTAATCGGCAAATAGTAATTGTACATAATCTTGGGTACATAGTAATGCTTTGATGTATAATGTACAGGGATCGGATCAGGGTAATTGGCATGTCCATCATCTCAAACATTTATCATTTCTTCATGTTGGGAACATTCGATGTCTTCTTCCAGCTATTTGAAGCTATGACTGTTAACTCTGGTCATCCTGCAGTGGCATAGAACACTCAGACTTATTCCTCCTGTCTAGCTATGATTTTGTGTCCTTTAACAGATCTCCCCCATCCTTCCTCCCTCCATCCTTCCCAGCCTCTAGCATCCTCTGTTCTACTTTTTGCTTCTGTGAGATGCACTTTTTTTTTTTGGCTTCCACATATGAGTGAGAACATGTGGTGTTTAATCTTCCATTCCTCGCTTATTTCATTTAACATAATGCCCTTCAGGCTCATCCATGTTGCTCCAAATCACAGGATTTTATTGTTTGTTATGGCTCAGTAGTATCCCATTGTGTATATATGCCACATTTTCTTTATCCATTCATCTGTTGATGGACACCTAGGTTGGTTCCATATCTTGGCTGTTGTGAATAGTGCTGTAATAAACATGAGGGTGCAGATATCTCTTCAATATACTGATTTTCTTTCCTTTGGGTAAATGCCCAGTAGTGGGATTGCTAGATCATAAGGTTGTTTTATTTGTAGTTTGTTGAGAAACCTCCATACTGTTCTCCATAGGGGTTGCACTGGTTTACATTTTCATCAACAGTGTATGAGAGTTTTCTTTTCTTCGCATTCTTGCCAGCATTTTTTGTTTTTTGTCTTTTTGATAACAGCCATTCTAACTGGGGTGAGATGATATCTCATTGTGGTTTTGATTTGCATTTCCCTGATGATTACTGATGTTGAACATTTTAAAATACATTTGTTGGCTATCTGTATGTCTTCTTTTGAGAAATGTTTGTTCAGCTCATTTGCCCACTTTTAAATTGAATTAATTGTTTTATTAATGTTGAGATGCTTGAGCTCCTTGTATATTCTGGATATTATCCCCCTGTTGGATGTGTAATTTCCAGATATTTTCTCCCATACTGTAGGCTGTGTTTTCAGTCTGTTGATTGCAGGATACAAAATGAATATACAAAAATCAGAAGCATTGCTATACATGAACAATAAGCTAGCTGAAAAAGAAATCAAGCATGGGTGTGGTGGCTCATGCCTGTAATCCCAGCACTTTGGGAGGCCAAGGTGGGTGGATCATGAGGTCAGGAGATCGAGACCATCCTGACCAACATGGTGAAAGCCTGTTTCTACTAAAAATACAAAAAAATTAGCCAGGCGTGGTGGTGGCCACCTGTAGTCCCAGTTACTCAGGAGGCTGAGGTAGGAGAATTGCTTGAACACAGGAGGTGGAGGTTGCAGTGAGCCGAGATCATACCACTGCACTCCAGCGAGACTCTGTCTCAAAACAAACAAACAAACAAAAAATCAATAAGGCAATCGTAATTTAAAATAGCTATAAAAAATAAAATCCCTAGGAACAAATTAACCAAGGAGGTGAAAATGACCTCTACAAGGAAAACTACAAAACACTGATGAAAGAAATTCAAAAGGATACAAATGGAAAGACATCCCATGCTCTTGAATTGGAGGCATTAATATTATTAAAAAGACAATACTACCCAAAGCAATCTACAGAGTTAGTGCAATCCTTATCAGAATAACAATGGCATACTTCACAGAAATAGAAAAAAAAAATCTAAAATTTGAATGGAACCACAAAAAAAAGCCTGAAGAGCCAAAGCAATCCTAACCAAAATGAGCAAAGCTGGAAGCATCACACTACCTGACTTCAAAATATACTACAAAGCTGTAGAAACCAAAATAGCATGGTACTGGCCTAAAAACAGACACACAGACCAATGGAACAGAATAAAGAACCCAGAAGTTAATCCATGTATCTATAGCCAACTGATTTTTGACAAAGGTGCCAAGAATACTCATTGAGGAAAGGACAGTCTTTTCATTAAATGCCAGGTAAACCTGCATACCCACACGCAGGAGAATGAAACTAGACCCCCACCTCTCACCCTGTACAAAAACTAACTCAAAACGGATCAAAGGCCTAAAGGTAAGACCTGAAACTAAAACCACTGGAAGAATACCCAGGTAAAGTGCTTCAGAAAATTGGACTGGGAAAATATTTTATGAATAAGATGTCAAAAGCACTGTCAACAAAAGCAAAAATAAGCAAATGGGATGATATGAAACTATAAAGCTTCTGCACAGCAAAGGAAACTCATGTGCTTTTTGTGTGTGTGTGTGTGTCTGTGTGTGTGTGTGTGTGACAGAGTCTCCCTCTATCCCCCAGGCTGGAGTGCAGTGGCGTGATCTCGGCTCACTGCAACCTCCACCTCCTGGGTTCAAGTGATTCTCATGCCTCAGCCTCCAGAGTAGCTGGGATTACAGGCAACTACCACTATGCCTAGCAAATTTTTGTATTTTTAGTAGAGATGAGGTTTTGCCATGTTGGCTAGGCTGGTCTTGAACTCCTGACCTCAGGTGATCCACCTGCCTCGGCCTCCCAAAGTGCTGGGATTACAAGCATGAGCCACGGCACCCGGCGGAAATTCATGCACTTTTGTAAGGATACAAGCAGCAGGACTCTTTGCCATGGTAGCGCTCTGAAAATTTGAAATCCTTATATTAATCTTTACTATTTTAGAGATTAACTTATACAGAATTTAAAAATATAATTCAAGTGGGTAATGTAACTACTTGGTGAAGAATTCTAAGCCTAAGGAGCTTGTTTGGTATATTTGCCATGGCTTCGTTTTTAGTTGGTGCCTTAAAATCTGCACTGTCCATTACTCTAAACAAGTGTGTAAGTTTCAGCAATCCATTACTCTAAACAAGTGTATAAGTTTCAGCGCAGTATGGGCATTGACTTATTGGGCTGTTTAAAAACTAACAATCCACACTGCAAACTCCACTTATGACAATGTGGCATGAAGGAAACTTTTGATGTCTTCCAAGATAATTGAAGCGTGGAGTTCACGTAGTATGTGTGTTTCAGGACTCCAGACTATCTCCAGGTAGAAGAGCTAGCCAAAAGTTAATTTTTCTTCCTTTCATGTCTTCAGATTTTTTTTCTATATTTTCCTCTTGTTTTGCTATTTAAATGTCTTGATCCTTTTAGGTCAGAGATATTAGTCGTGTGACACTTTCCTCCCCAAATTTAGAGGGCTGCATTTTAAATGCATTGTCAGGATTCCAAACTGTAAAATAGTATTAAAGAAAAGGTCTGTCCTTCTAAAATATTCATGTTTCTTAAAATTGATAAGACCATATGGTTGAGTAATATTAATTTGTTTATGAATTCAAAATATATTGACTCCTACCACATGCTGGGAGCTGTTCTGGGGGATGTTGGCATAGGATGAATATGCAGTCTGCTTATAACGACTAATACTCTAGTGGGAGACTGATTTGCAAATGAGGCGTTGGCTGTGGACAGTGTTGCACTGGGGTGTGCAAGAAGCATCTTGGACACTACTGAGCCGTGGTCACTTCTACTGGCAGCTGACTCGCTGCTCAGGGAGAGAAAGGATGTGGTAGCTCCACGCATGCGTGCCACATGTGATGTGTTTTACTCCATGTGAGGCACTTGAAACTTCAAGACCTAATTTGAGTCTCCACAGTCTTGACAATTAGATGATATTTTCATCTGTTTTTATAGATATGGGCCAAGATGATAGTGATGTCATACAAGTCACTTAGCCAGTCAATGTGAAGTCAGTATTCAAGTCCTGGCCTAAAATGCCAAGGTCAAAATTCTTCTTCCTAATTTTTATTTTTGATGTTTATTTTTTCTGTTATAGAAGTAAAAGTGTTCATTTAAAAATTCAGAAAAATATGAGGAAGGAAAAAAGATACAAATTTCTACCAAATAGTCTTTTCTTACAGAATTTTAATGTGTCTATATTTTATGTTCATAACTTTTTAATTCTGGTGCCCATGTGGGCCACTTGCATTTATAGAAGTACAATCTAGTAACCAAAAATAATTTGAAAGGAAAGGAAATCCAGCATCTAATAGCTTTTCTTGAAATACTCTAAAAGAGATCAAATTCGTAGCCTGTGGCCACACTGATCCCTCCCACAACGCTTTGGAGTCTGATTTGTTAAATGCGGTTATGGTGCACATGCTGGGTCCCCTAAAGGTGCGTTAAACATTCAAACCGTGTATTTGTGCATGGCCTAGGGCAGCCTCAAAGCTTCTGTATTCATCCATTTTCTCCTCTTTGAGAGGAGCCTAATGATGCCTAATGAGATAATGTATGAATCATGCTCGACAGTGGGGACTCAATACATGTTGTTCTATTCCTGGTTTCCTTTCACTCCTCTCAAAATGTTTCATGTCAAAAAATACTTACTGTATAATACATTGACAAAAAAAAATGTAGGTCACAGCCCCTCAGGAACATTCTAGTTAGGGAGAAAATTACACACATTACACACAAGAGAGTCGAACAGCAAACTTTAAATGTCTCTGATCATGAAAGGAGGGTCAGGGTCATCCCTCGATTCATATAAGGTCCAGACATCATCCTCTCCATTGAAGCAATTCACTGAACTCTCAGGCTCCAATGGGGTGGTTGTATGGTGAAAAAGTCCAAGCACCTGCACTTGCAATTGAAGGTTGTACTGGTTTCAAAAGTATCCCTCAAAAATTCATGTTCACCATGACCCTTAGAATGAGACCTTATTTGAAATAGGGTTTTTGAGGTATAATCGGTCAAGATATGGTGAGGTCATACTGGATTAAGGTGGGTCCTGATCCAGTGACTGGTGTCCTTGTAAGAAGAGGGAGATGAGACACAGACACACAGAGGGGCACCCCAGGCAAAGACACAGAAACATACCGGGAGAGCACATTTGGCAGTGGGGGCAGAGGTTGGAGAGATGCAGTCACACACCAAGAATCACCAAGGATTTCCAGCAACACCAGAAGCTGGAAGAGGCAGGAAGTATCCTCCCCTGGAGCCTTCAGAGAGCATGACCCTGCGGACACCTTGATTTTGAACTTCCGGCCTCTATTCAGGTTGTGGTACTTTGTTACAGTGGCTCTAGAAACAGCTACAGAGGTGTTGTTCTCTGCCACAGCTCCAACCATGCCTCCAGCACTGCTACCCTGTCCTTCACAAGGCTACATTGTCCTGGAGCATGGACACTTCCAGGTACCTCCAGGCCTTGTTCATGGTGCTTTTTATACCTAGACGGAACTTCTCTTCCCATACTGTCTTCCGCCCACACTTCTAGATTTTGATTTATTTAGGGGCTCTACACAAAACCCAGGAGAAGGAATTAAGAGCAATTTTTTCAAAAGCGAGACTCTCATTTTTGGTGGATGTATGTCTTTTGTTCGGGATGTTTTGTACAGTTGTTGGAAGCACTTTTTGATCCTGTTAGCCATAAATAGCCATGATGTTCTTTAGCGTTTAACCAATTGAGAGGTAATAGCCTATATAATCCTTTGATTTATTTAGTCAGTCAGGAAGAATGGTGCTCCATGTGAGATGTTTTATTGCTTTGTATGGACTTTGGGGGAGGGGGAGTCTTAGAAGGTGTTTGAATGCATGGGTTTTAAATGTTTCCCAAGTGTGCAGCTATTGTAGTAACGTAATGCTATTTGGCAAACTAGCCCGTAACTCAGTGCTGAAAGCAATAACCATTGGTCACCTACTGTTCTGTGGTATGGATGGGGCTCAGCTGGACAGTTCTGTTCACTTCACTTGGTGTTACTCATGTGGCTGCAAGATGACTTCACTCACATATTTGGTGCTTCTGTTGGAATGGCTGTCATTGCTGACAGCTGGCCAAATATTTTTTCTCCACGTGGTCTCTCCAGCAGCCTAGACACTCCTCTTTACATGGTGTCAGACTTCAGTTGCTTCTTAGTGAGCAACTAAAGAGGGTTTAGGAATGCACTCATCCACACTGTTGTTTTCTTGGCTGGTCATGAATTCTCTGCACTGCTCATTTGTTGGTCTGGTAGGAAGGCCCAGTGCAAGCAACCTTGTACCAAATCTCCATTTTAGCTGGTCTTGGAACCCAAAATGGGCTTTGTGAGTTTGTCTAGTTTACTAAGCTAAAATCACCTTGGCCGCTCTCTGTGTTGTAATCAATCCAGAATTACTTTCTGAGGAAAACTTTGAATCTGTCTTTGGATACTGCCTCTGAACTCCTTCCTGGGAAAGAGAAATGCCTTGGGTTGAATTAATTTGACCCCAAATAGAATTTAATTTACTAAAATGTGTTTTGGTTATTGTACCTGAAATTGACAGTAAAGGGCACCATTTTCCATACAAGCTTTTCTTACAGTGCTAATGTTGTTATGTACCTTGTTTACTATGCGACAGGGAATCATCTCTATGTTCTGGAGAAATATATGTCAGGGCTTAGTTAAATTAATCTGTGCTTCTCTGGAACAACTAGTGTTTTTTAAAAAAAAAACTTTTTTTTTTTTTGCATTGCCAATTGGGTAATAGATTGTTTTTCCTCTTTTCTTCGGCTGGTTGCAAGTACAGTGCCCAGTTTCCAAGTGTTCAGAAATATATGATATATATCTTGAGTACCGGCTGCACTCTAACTTTTATCTTACGTTTTCTCTCCTATTGTCTGATGTCCTTACATTCCTATTAGTCATTTCCAATGATATGTGTATCTTTTCTTTGTCCTTTTGTTCTTATAACTTCTTGTATAATTTCTTAGACATGGTAAATGCTTTATTATACATGTTCATTGCCTATTAACTGCTTAATGTCTTCAACTGTCCTAGGGTATGCTTTAAAAGTCACTTTTGTGCCAGAGATGTTCTCCTCTTGCTTGGCTACCTAGAAATGGTTAATTGCTTTTCAAATAACAGTTCAAAGATGGTGGATAACCTTTGTGAAGTTTTTGTAACTCTAAGAAAGAGACAGGTACTTCTTCTCCTGTGCTCCCTGTTTTCATTCCTCACCTCTCAGCCTAAATGCTTGACTCATAATTATTGCATAACAAATATTGTAGTGATGGCAGTGGCGGCCTGTCTCGAGCAGCGGTAGCTGGTCTCGAGCAGCTGCTGCCATCACACTGGCGGCAGCAGAGAGGCATGGCCAGGGCTGCACACTCTGTAGAGCTGGCAGGAGCCACAGACAAGTGGGAGCCCCACCCCCTCCAAGTTGGTGGGGCAGGAGCTCCCTGGGTGCAGCGGCAGCCACCCAAATCCTGGCTGCAGACTCCGGCCTCTGGCTCCACAGAGCCAGCTCCATGCCTCCTCAGCCCCCTTGGCATTTAGGGTGCCAATGAGCATAGGAGAGAAGCTGAGGGTATGCGGAGGGCAGCTTGGCACTGGCCTAGAGGCGCCCCTTGGCACCTACAGCCTGGGTGCCATGAAAGGCAGCAAGAGGCAGACAAGTTCTTGGGTAGAAAGGGGCAGGTCCCTGGTGAAGCGCCACCTTCAGGCCAGGGAGAGACTGAAGACTGGGGGCTGGGCTGCTGGTCCTGCAGACTGGAGTGTGAACTTGCACTGCTTTTTCCGCACTGCCCATGGCTATCCATGGACCAATCAGCAAGCACTTCCACCCCTCTGAGGTCCATAAAAGCTCTGGGCTCAGGCCACAACTGAGCAGACATGGGAATGACCAGCTGCAGAGAGGAGCTACCCTCTCCAGGGTTTCCTCTGAGCTATTCTGTCACTCAATAAAGCTCTTCTTCACCTTGCTCACCTTCCACTTGTCTGCATACGTAGTTCTTCCTGGATGCAGGGCAAGAACTTGGGACCAGCTGAATGGCAGGGCTGAAAGAGCTATAACACAAACAGGGCTGAAACACACCCCTTGCTCGCCATGTTGTGGGTGAAGAAAAAGAGAGAAGAGCTGTGGCCCTTCAGGGACCCCAGACTTGGGAGCTCCTTAAACCAGGGCTGTGACTCCCTCTTTGGGGCCCGGTTGTTCCTGGAGTCTCCAGGCTTCTGGGCACCACTGCATTCCCTAGTGGCACCTGTGGAAGCTGCTTGTGGTGCACCTAGTCCAGCTGCAGCCTTGCAAAGAGCTGGCACCTATGCCAGCACCTGGAGCTGCCCACTCTGCTGCAGCAGACAGAGTGCCTGACTGTGCGCCGTGGACAGACCCCATGCTTTCTTGCTCACACACCCCTCACTGCTCCATGCCTGGCTTGCCCTTGGCAGGTGTGGGACCCAGGCTGGTAGTGTGAGCTGAGCACAGCCTGCCAGGCCGAGTGGGTGGGATGAGCCCAGTGGGCCTCAGCAAAACTCAGGCAAAGGTGCCACCAGCCACAGAGGTTTCCGGTGAAAAAAGCAACACCCCAAGCATCCCAAAACAGTAGGATGACCGACTGAGTGATCATAGTTTTTGGTGAATGTAGTTTATACATGATCTATTTCTCGCATAACTAAGAAGTGTGAGTGTTCTTTTTCCACTACTAATGGCAGCTGTTGGCTTCTTGTCTATCACTCTGCCACATCTTGTAGCAGCTCCACCTAGACTATCCCAGGGAAATTCCATACTACGTCCATATCTATGTTGACACAGAAAAAGTCGGGTCTTCTGCCTAACCAAAAATGCAACTGTGGTGGTATGTTATTTGCTTTGCACACCACTGAAACTGTGAGCCAAATGACCAAAAAAGCCTTTAAAATGTGTCTATTATCATTGGGATTTATAAGAAAGTTTTATAAACAGCCTCTGGGTTTCTGGTTCAGTAAATTGTTCTTGGCTGTGTGGATGCTTTCCGTGCAATAAATTACTCAACAGCCAAGAGTTTCCCAAGAGCTTCAATAGTTAATTCCGATCCCTTCACATGTGCAAATGCTGAAATTGTAGAATGTGTAATATTTGTTAAGCTACTTATTTCCATATGGTACTGAAATATATAATACCCAGGTTAAATTCTGTAAGCTGAGACCATTTGTATGCCTGCCACATTCAGCATTTTCTTGTGTTCTCATAAAGAGTTGGTTCTCAAATATTAGAGGAGAAGAAATCCAGGAAATTGGAGATGTTTACAAAATTTGGAAATACATGTGATTCTGGTTATTTCAGCTACAGATGTTTTGCTTAGAAAAATTTGTGAGAAAAAGTGCTTGGTGACTGAAATTTTTAGCTTTCACAAACTTATGTATTTATGATTTTAATAAATATCCTCAGTTTGACAGTACTTCATAGTACCATATAGATGCATTTAGAAATTGCTTAAGAATGCATATCTGAGATCGCTTTCTAGGTAAAGAAGAAAAAACAAAGAAATGGCTTATTTTTAAAATAATGGTATTGTTGAGATTTTTAGTTTGTGTCAAAATCCTAAAAAATTTGTAGATATGAAGCACTTCTAGAAAACTACATAAAGTAGGCATGTAGATAGCCACTATTTTATAGCGAAAAAATGTGGAAAAATTACAGAAGAGTTTTATTTTTACGTCTTGGTAGAAAGAGAACCAGGCAAGCATTTGGGGACATGAGGTTAGCCTGAGCTGTGCCCTCCCAGACCCCTTCCTTCCAGAGGCAGCCATGCTCTCTGAGTTCATTTTTAATTCAGGAAATTGATTGGACATTTGTTCAGCTTTGGCACTGATACCAATGGTTCTTGCTTAACAAAGAAAGGTGCAAGAAGAGACTGAAGTCCTCTACCAGTCCTCAGGCATCTTTACCACAGTGAACCCCAGCACTCAAGCCCATAAATTCTGGATCACTTAGCCCATGTCCAGAGCAGTTTCAGGACCCAAGGGGAATGACGCCTCTTAGCCCCAGATAGTGGCTTTTGCTCATGTTACATGTCAGTTTGATAAACAAGTTAGCTCCTGAATGAAAGGAAGCTGCACTTGTTCTGGGGTTTAAAAATGTCACCAGGCTTAACAGATATTTCTCAATTTCTAGAAAAAGATACAGAAGAAGATGAAAACCTAAAGTAACAATTTGGGAAACTCTTGGTCAGATTCCTTTCTGGAGACTTGTTTATGAACCCCTTAATTGATAGCTTTGTTTTCCTCTCTTCGGAAATAAAATGAAATTAAAAAACTATATCCATACGTCTCACTATGCTTTCTGTGATAACTCACCCACGACCCAGTGTTTCTGCTGGAGAACACCAGGGCCTCCTGGCACCTCAGACGCCGTGGGACTCGTGAGTGGAAATCGCCCCAGCCACCGCTTCTGCCTCAGGAGAGGCCATTTCCTGCCTCGGAAGCCCGATGGTCTCCCGGGTGTCAGCTGAGCACCTGGAAGAACGGCTCCTCCACCTGTCCCTGGTTAGCCAAAGGCATCATAGCCTGCATGGAAGGTGGAAAACAGAGCAGGAAAGAGGCGAGTATTGAATGAATATGGCCTCACATCCCTCCGTGGGGGTCCCAGAAAGGCATGCAAGGGACTCTCACAAGCCCAGCCCCCCCTCTGTGACAAGTGTGAGGGCACCGGCCCAGATGACAGCTGGCAGGTGACCTATACTTAGTGTCGGTGAGAAATCTTTAATAACTGCCAAGTAGATGGAAGCCAATTAAGAAGAAGCCTTACTTCGGCCGGGCGCGGTGCCTCAAGCCTGTAATCCCAGCTCTTTGGGAGGCCGAGGCGGGTGGTTCACGACGTCAGGAGATCGAGACCATCCTGGCTAACATGATGAAACCCTGTCTCTACTAAAAATACCAAAAAATTAGCCGGGCGTGGTGGCGGGCGCCTGTAGTCCCAGCTACACGGGAGGCTGAGGCAGGAGAATGGCGTGAACCCGGGAGGCGGAGCTTGCAGTGAGTCGAGATCGCGCCACTGTACTCCAGCCTGGGCGGCAGAGCGAGACTCCGCCTCAAAAAAAAAAAAAAAAAAAAAAAAAAAAAAGAAACAAAGAAAGAAAGAAAGATGCCACTTGAAAAGGAATGAAGATGCTGGGTTCTGTCACCACTTCTGCTCCTGATGACCCATCCCTCCAGTCGGCGGTGAAGACAGCACGCGGAGCGTGTGTTCTCAGGGTGCCCCTGGTGCAGCCTTCCAGGACTGCGTGAGTGGGAGCAGCAGGGCTGACCAGGTGAGGTGGGAAGAAGCCAGGCGTTGGCTCTGCACAGTCACCTGCCTGCTGGGTATGCACAGGGAAGGTGATTTCGCTGGCAACAGGATTCAGGAGTGTGTGCGTGCATGTGTGTGTGTGTGTGTGTGTGTGTGGCTGAAGGGTAAAGTGTAGACATATCTAAAAATGATGTACTCCAAGATTCAACAGAAATATTTTAAAAGTTTTGTATTGTATATAGGAGAAGACAAATCCCATTTGAGTCAAGAGCAAGAAAGTTTTTGGAAAGAACAAATTCAGTTAAAAAGAAAGACAATGAGGTAAAAATAAAATATCAGATTTTACAATCTGCAATGAACTCCCAAGAAAGGGTTACAGCAGTTGAAAGCACAATCACATTCTTGCAATGCGTGATAGAAGCAGTGAGGAGACTGACACGGTGGGGCAGCTAGTAGGGACTGCGGAGGACGCCCTTGGAAAGCTCGTGGAAATCCGGGGGAAGTGGAAAGAAAGACGAGAGGTTAGTTAATAAACATGGGCATAGAGAGAGAAGAACCAATTTAATGAAGAAAACAAGATCAAATGAATTTGAAGTAATCTTAAGAAGAGTTTCCTGAATGGAAAAGAAGTTGAATATGCATTGAGAGGGCTCACTCACGAAGACAGAACAAGAGGAAACAAACTGGAGTGTGGTGATGCCTTTGGCACTCCTCTCAAACTCTGGGAGACAGAGATAAACTAACTGATTGAGGGTCTAAATACTGTGACAAATAAGGATGATGATGTAGATACGCACATATACAGTGGAGATTTGTACCCTCAAAGTGACTACATCCATGGAAATATTTCAGCATTCAAGAAACAGATGTTTTTAGCATCTGATACACTAGAAAGAAAAGTGCAATAAATATACAAACGCATTGGAAAGCACACAAGAACCACCGCCCTGTTTTCTGCATCCCCTGCTGCAGACCGTGTGCACTACTGCAAGTCGAGGGAGTCTGGCAGTGAAGGAGCTCCTGGGGAGAGTCCCGTGATGAGTGGGGTGGAAACTAAGCCAAAGGAGGGAGGTAGGATGGAAAACCATGATCCTGTTTACTTAAAGGCGGTGGGCAAGATGGTTTTATGGTGTGATTGACTATAAAGAGAATGTGCCACAAAAGAAATCAATGAGCCTGAAGAAGAATCAATTACGTTAGATCAAATTCCAGTAGGATCAAAGCAGCAAATCCAAGAAACAGCACATGTGGAAACAGAGAATGCAGATAAGATTACTATATTCCATGCTAGTCAAAGGTGTCTAGTAAAAACCCAAAGCACCACAACACAAGCAAATGAACAACTTGCTATTTTTTTCAGAGCTGGGTGTGCATGGAGAGTAGTATATCCACTGCTGGGACAGCATGAGTTGGTTGCACCATCTTCTGACTATTTTTTCCCTAGTCTTTGATTATCCCCCAACACCTATCCCATTCCTCTATTAAACATAAAGTAACAGGTGTGCATGTGTTCAGGTATAACATTTTCTTTCATCTTCTAAGTTGTCAACTGTATGTTTTGATCAACATCAAATAAAAAGGAGCTGAGAAGAAAAATTGTTTCTTAGAAAATACAATTTTTTCTTCATAGTGACATGCTTACTCAGATTTTTATGTTGATATTTCAGGAAGTTATTTTGATCTGAATGTTTAACAGTAAACAAAGCAAACAAAAATAAAAACCTTGCATTTTTTATTGTATAATTTTAATATTTTGCTTTTATCATTTTTATTTGTGCCTGTCATTTGTAGGGCCTTCTCTGTCTTTCAATAGGAGTGAATGGTTCTAACAAAACTGATCCTAGGTAAATTCTCCTTCAACTCCAGCACATTGTTTAAGAAGTGTCTTTTGAAAAACTGTATAGGCCATACACTCTTTAAAAAATCAAGGTTGTGAAAGATAAAGAAAGACCAAGGAGATGTTTCCAATTAATGGAGGCTGAAGAAACAAGACAGCCAAGCACAGCATGAGATCCTGGTCTGCAGCCTGGACTGGAAGCCTGCCTGTTGTTAGTTTCCCTATAGAGAGAGTTAGTGGAACACCTGGCAACATTTGGAAAAGGTCTGTTGATTAGATACCAGTACTCTATCAAGGTTAGTTCTTGATTTTAATAATTGGACTGTGGTTACATAAGATAATATACTTGCTTTTAGAAAATGCACACTGAAGTATTTATGGGTAAAATGGCATTACATCTGTGTCATTATGTATGCAACTGTGGCAGGCAGAATTCTAAAGGCAAAGACAATCAAGGAAATAAGAAAGACTCAAATACATTATGTTAGGATTAGGGATGGCTATATAAGCAAAGGTAGAGAAGAGATTGGAAAAATTATAAGCATATATTCTGCACAACTCCCTAATAAGAAAATTAGAAAATTATGTCAAATTGTCAAATCAGACTTATAAAAAAATCATAAATTGTACCCTTATGAAGCTTTGCTAGTGATTCAAAAGGCACAGATAATCACAAGACTCTGTTGACGCAAGAATACTAAGACCACCAGTGTGATCACAAGTTCTTAATTGCCAAGATTTATCATGTAAAGCTCTAGTCACATGCTGGACATTGCTTTCACAAAGAAAGGATTTCAATCATGAATACATCTCCATTTTACACTATGATAATTACACATTCGACATTAACATTTTCCAGGGGCCCCATTGCAATACAAATCTATAAATCCTGTGCTCACTTACCATATGTAACCTAGGTAGACCAGGGATAGCCTGCTAAAAGCATTCTATAGTTGAGGATGCTCCATTATCTTTCCACAAGTAAATATGAAGAAATCTGATTCATATCTTTACAAGGAGATTTGACCAGGCGGTTTCTTCAATGTTTCTTTATCTTCCGTGGGTCTCTGAGAGAAAGAACAGGTTGCAGGGCAGCGGCTAACCCTTTTCTTGCCAAAACCCACAATATCCCCTGGTTTGTCTAGGAGTATATTGTTTTATATCTGTTTTCTTCGCATCCACCTGGTTAGCATTCATTTTTACCCTCAAAAGTGCTCCACTTCAGAAAACACCTTGCCTGGTCTTTGTACTTGTAATCAATCATAGAAGAAATTTTTAAAATGCACCAATACTAGGTAGTTTTATGCAAATAATTTCAAAAATGTAAAGAAAATGATTGTGCCCTATATATTATTTCAGAGAGTAGTAGATATGATGAAAAGCTTTCCAATAGTTTGCTTTATAACAGAAATAGTCCTAAGACTATTACAGTACAAGGACTGCACAAATACAAATTAGTACAGATCGATCTATGTTTATTGGCTTTTGTAACATGACTGGACGTAAGAAGCAATTGCTCAAATAAAAAAATCCATCTCTGGTTCTGTTATTTGTGTCTGATTTTCCTCTGTGTTGGCTTCTTCCCAGGGCAGGCACTGTATTAGTCTGTTCTCACGCTGCTATAAAGAACTGCCCAAGACTGGAGAATTTATAAGGAAAAAGGTTTAGTTGACTCACAGTCCTGCATGGCTGGGGAGATCTCAGGAAACTTATAATCACAGTGTAAGGGGAAGCAAACATGTCCTTCTTCACATGGTGGCAGGAGAGAGAAGTGCCAACCAAAGGTGGGGAAAGCCCCTTATGAAATCATCAGATCTCATGAGAACTCACTCACTATCATGAGAAAAGCATGGGGGAACCACCCCCATGATCTATCTAATCACCTCCTGCAGATCCCTCCCCCAACAAGTGGGGATTACAATTCAGATTACCATTCAAGATGAGATTTGGGTGGCAACACAGAGCCAGACCCTATTAGGCACTCCTCATGTGTATATCAGTTACCTAGTACATACTAGTAAGATAAGTATTTATGCTGAAAACCATCCATATCAATGTTGTCTCTCACGTTAATAATAAAACTTTAGTTTGAACCTTCTTTAGTCTGCTCATTGATCACAACAAATAGCTAATGGGTGGTAAAGACAAAGGAAAAGCCAACAGCCCCTCTGAAATCTTGGTCGATCAAAAGTTTCAATAGCAGCAATTCTCATTAAAACAAGACAGAAAGGTGAATTATAAGGAGCTTAGGAAAGGACTTTTTTTTTAAATAAAGGCAGATTTATATAAAAATATTCACATGACTAGCCACATTTAAATATTTTGTTCATGCCTCTATTATATTCCACACTACTTTTCATCATGGAAATTTTGTAGAAGGTTGTCAGCTCTACTGCATTTTTAGCTGTTTGAGAAAAGAGACCATGGTGCACTGCTTTTATCACCCAGAATGCCCTTCATATAGGGGCAGCCAATACGTGTTTGCGCAACAATTGATTTAATGCATCATCATGTTCTCCAATCTCTCCTGTTTTCAAAACCTTGATATTTAAAGCTTTCTCCCATTTGACTCTTATTTCATGCAGCATCCATATGAAGATCCTGATAAGAGCTCTAATTAGGCCTTGTTGGGTTCTGCTTAAATACAGAAACAGCTTCCGGGAAAGAATGCTTCCTTATTTAATAAGTGAGGGAGGTCTGCTAAAATTATGTCATTAGCTAACAAACCAGTTGGTATCATTCTTGTTTTCACAATGCAGGTCAGTGTTTGCAGGTTTTAAAAATGTCTTCACCAGCATATCTTAATGTTTTTGACCTATGGACCAGAAGTCAGGCAGTGGGGCAGCCACCAGGACCACACTGTCTGGACCCCAGACATTCTGTTCTGCTGGCTGCTCACCCCACAAGTCCTGAGACGCCCCTTTGGATCCAGCGGGAGCTCTGATTGTCTGGTCGCAGCCTTATTTCCCAGCGGCTCTAGAGACCCAGGTTGCTTCCTCCACTGACTTTGCCACAATTGTGCCTTGACATATGTCTGCTCCTGTGCCGCCCACTCCACACTAACGCTTTCTCTGTGCTCTGCCTCATGAGCCCCACCACTTGCCCTCTCCCTGCATTATGTCTGCTCCTGCCCACCGCCTTTGTACCTCTGCTATTTATATTCCCAGGGGAAGATTTCAGTGGGGGCCACTTTGGGTAATTTGGCCCCAATCCCCTGTGTAGTCGTCTGCCTTTGGTTCAGGCACCAATCCTTGGTCTGGTCAGTTGTGGGAGGGTGGTAGGAAGCATGGGTTAGCGAACAGCTTTCAGGTTCTGTTAGTAACGTTGTTAATCAGCAGTAGCTAGAGATGAATTACCTCTATAACCTGACACCAAGTGCACTGTTATAACTTAAAAAAGCTGAGACTCAATTCTGCCTCACATGTATTTATTAGTTGTCAGGCTCCAAAGCAGGTAGACATTGCATTTTGTGGTCCAGTGGAGTCCTGCTACGTGTCCATAGGTACAAGTGGCAAGCCCAGCAGTACTGATGCAAGGCAGGTGAACACCAAAACTGGGGCTTAGCCTGGGTGGGTGCTTGGCTTCACTTAGAAAAGAATTTAAGAGCAAGCTGGCAGTAAAAGAAAGTTTGTCAGAGCAACAGTGTACGGCAAAATGGCTGTTCCACAGAGCAGGGCTATCCCATAGACTGAGCAGGGCTATCACATAGACAGAGCAGGGCTATCCCATAGACTGAGCAGGGCTATCACATAGACAGAGCATTTGGTTGTCCATTGACTTAGCAGGAGGGTAACCCCTGAGTATGTGGGTACATGTGAATGTGGATGTGTGGCAGGCCTATATCTCTCAAGTATTAGCCTCTCTGTTTTCTGTTTTCTTCTTCCTTTTTTCTCATTTGTTGGTACCTAATAAGCCCCTCTAGCCAACATCAAACTGAAAACAAAGTCCCAAAGACTCTTTAACCCCAGTGTGAGTTGTCAAGACTCAGAAACTTGGTTGCTGAGCAGGTTTTTGGCCTCAAAGATTAAGTCATCCTGATATGAGGGGAAGAAAAAACAAAAACAACAGATATAAGGTTGAGAAATGAGCCACAAAGAGAAAGAGGGAGCTGTGTTCTTGATTTACAGGATTTCTGTTCCCAATGACCAGCGAGTGGTTCAGTGGCCTGAGTGTGGGTGGCCCAACCCCACATCACCTGGGGACTCCTTGCCCTCCATAGATGGGATACCTGTAGGTAAGACCCTTGGGCAGAGGCTGGCACTTAGGCAGCTTGTGAAGACATGGGGGCCCAAAGGCAAAGTTCCATCCCCTGGCCAAGGTGGGATAGACAGAACTGGCTAAAAAATTTCCCATGGGCCGTGGCCGTGGTGGACTCACTAACATTGTTACAATAGCCTATTTCTAATACTTGAAGTTTAAGGTGCTAAAGGACAATTTGTATTGCGTAGAATAATTGGCATCTATTTAGAATGAGAAGAAGCAGGTAGGTCTCCCTTAGGCTTCCGGGCCAGGAAGGAGGTGAATGATAATGGGTACCCAAATTTAATCGGTTCAACCAGAAAACATCTACTATGTACCAGGCAGTGTGACTCATTCCGGGAATATGAAGAAGAGGGTGGGAAGTGAGTAGTAGAAGAGAAATAGAACCCTAAAAACAAGTTATGCCCAAATTAAGTGCTTTATTGACTCCCTTAACCAGGGTCTTTGAAATTGTTTCAACCATACTTTTAATTGGCACCCAGTACATCCATATAAATATAATACTAAAAATATCTTTCTCCTCACTAAGGCTCTAAGGCTCAGAAGGTTTTATTAATAAGTTCTACTAAACTTTTAAGAAATAATTAATTCCTGCTTTATATAAGTTATTAAAAAAAGACCAAAACCTGCACTTTTTCTTTTGAGACAGGGTTTTATTCTGTCACCTAGGCTGGAGTGCAGTGATATGATCAGAGGTCACGGCAACCTCGACCTTCCAAGTTCAAGTGATCCTTCTATCTCTCATCCTCCTGAGTAGCTGGAACAACAGGCACACTATGCCTGGCTAATTTTTGTATTTTTTTGTAGAGATAGGGTCTCACTATGTTGCCCAGGTTGGTCTCAAACTCCTGGACTCAAGCAATTCGCCCGCCTCTGCCTCCCAAAGTACTAGGATTACAGGTGTGAGCCACTGTGCCTGTTCCCACTTTTCATTCTATAAATAGATAAGGTCAATCCACCCCAACAATTATAGGCATAGTTCATTTTGAACACAGATGTAAATATCTTAAACAAGATATAGTTAAGAAAATCCAACTGTATGATAAAAAGACACAATAATTAAATAAGACTCATGAATGCAAGATGATACACCATCATAAATATATCAACAGAATTTATTATATCAGCTAAGTAGAGTGTAAAATGCAGGATTATCTGAATTGATGCAGAAAAACTTCTTGATCAATTCAACACATATGTATAATAAAACTTGTTAACTGGAAATAGAAAGGAACTTCTTCAACTTGTTAAAGTTGTCTACTCTAAAAGTGATGTTAAACGTTACACAGATTAGGGGCATTTTTAATATTTTCTCTGAAATTGTAAATGATGTAAAGATGCCCATCATCACTCCTATTAATTAACATTTGTCTGTAAGCTTGTGACCAATTCTATAAGGAAAAAAGAATAAGTAGGAGAGGTAAGACTTGAAAGGAGATAAAACTGTTATTATTTGCAGATAATATAATCATCTGTCCAAAAAAGCTTCCAACTATTAGAACTAGTAAGAGAATTGAACAAAATTTTTAGATAAGAACAACTTAAGAAATCTTGATATCTTCTACACTGACAATACAAACTAGGAATAATAATAAAATATTATTCCAAATTCCAGTCAAAACTAGAATATTTAAGAATTGATCATTAATCCATAGAAACTTTATAGAAAAAAATTTTATGTATTTATTTTTTTGGCTGAGCACAGGGGACTTTGTTGATGGTACAAGACAAGGTGGGGCTCCCTAGGCCACTCCCTCTTCAGGGGGTCTGCATGGAAACTGTGAGGAGGGGAGATTCTCATTGTGGCAGGGGACTGAGTGTGGCAGGGACTCCCCAGCAGTGAGGGCCTCTCTTTTCCTCTTGTGCTGTCACTGGGGCTGGTGGTTCAGGGGTCTTACTCCTTGGAGGACTTGTGGGCCATGACGTCCACCACCCTGTTGCTGTAGCCAAATTCATTCTCATACCAGGAAATGAGCTTGACACAGTGGTTGTTGAGGGCAATGCCAGCCCCAACATCAAAGGTGGAAGAATGGATGTCGCTGTTGAAGTCGAAGGAGACAACCTGGTGCTCGGTGTTGTAGCCCAGGATGCCCTAGAGGGAGCCCTCTGATGCCTCCTTCACCACCTTCTTGATGCCATGATATTTGGTAGGTTTTTCCAGATGGTAGATCAGGTCCACGACTGACACATTGGCAGTGGGGACACAGAAGGCCATGCCAGTGAGCTTCCCGTTCAGCTCAGGGATGACCTTGCCCACAGCCTTGGCAGTGCCAGTAGAGGCAGGGATGATGTTCTGGAGAGTCCCACCACCGTCATGCCACAGTTTCCTGGAGGGGCCATCCACAGTCTTCTGGGTGGCGGTGATGGCATGGACTGTGGTCATGAGTCCTTTCACGATACCAAAGTTGTCATGGAGGACCTTGGCCCGGGGCGCTAAGCAGTTGGTGGTACAGGAGGCATTGCTGATGATCTTGAGGCTGTTGTCATACTTCTCATTGTTCACACCCATTATGAACACGGAGGCATCAGCAGAGGGGGCAGAGATGATGACCCTTTTGGCTCCTCCCTGCAAGTGAGCCCCAGTCTTCTCCATGGTGGTAAAGGTGCCGGTGGGCTCCACGATGTACTCAGCACCAGCAGTGCCCCATTTGATTTTGGAGGGATCTCGCTCCTGGAAGATGGTGATGGGATTTCCATTGATGACAAGTTTCCCGTTCTCAGCCTTGATGGTGCCATGGAATTTGCCATGGGTGGAATCATACAGGAACATGTAGACCATGTACTTGAGATCAATGAAGGGGTCACTGATGGTGATAATATCCACTTTACCAGAGTTAAAATAGCCCTGCTGACCAGGCGCCCAATACGACCAAATCCACTGACCCTGACCTTCACCTTCACCATGGTGTCTCAGGGATGTGGCTGGCGATGTGAGAGAAGATGCGGCTGTCTGCTGAATCGGAGGAGGAAAGAGCCGAAAAAAAAATTAATGAGTGACACAGAAAGTTCAATGGAGAGACAACCCATGCTCTCAGGTGGGACATATTTGTATTATGAAGATGCTGGTTTTCCCCAAATCAAAGTACGAATTCAAGGCAATTTCAATAAAAATTCCAGTTGAATTTTTTTGAGGAAGGAAAATATGTTACCATAATATTTATATGAAAGCTTACAGGTCCACATAAAAGTAAGTACAATTTGAAATAGAAGCACAAATAGATGTGACCTGCCCTACCAGTCTATGAAGACATATTATAGTGTTAAGATTTTAAAGAATTTGTATTTTACCAAGAGCAGATAAATAATCCATTGGAACAATATATTATGTTAAGAGACAGATTCATGTATTTATATAGGCATTTTGTATATAATAAACCTGGCAACCCAAGTCAACAAAAGTAGATTATTCAGTAGATGGTGTTTGGAAAATTGGCTTACTACATGGAGAAAAATATGAGAGAATTTCTACTTAACACCATACTCAAAGGTGGACTTCAACTGGATTAAATACATAAATGTGCAAGATTAAACTCTAAAGTTCATAAAAGATAATGTAGGGGATTATGTTAGGCTGTTCTTGCATTGCTATCAAGAAACTTGAGACTGGGAAATTTATAAAGAAAAGAGGTTTAATTGGCTCACCGTTCTGTAGGCTGTACAGGAAGCTTGGTGCTGGCATCTGCTCATCTTCTAGGGAGGCCTCAGGAAGCTTACAATCATGGGAGAAGGTAAAGAGGGAGCAGGCGCATCACATGGCAAAAGCAGAAGCAAGTGAGAGAGACAGTGGGGGGAGGTGCCACATGTTTTTACATGACCAGATCTCACTAGAACTCACCATCACGAAGACAGCACCAAGCCACAAGGGCCTGCCCCCCATGACCTGACCACCTCCTGCCAGGCCCCACCCCCAGCATTGGAGGTTATAATTCAGCATGAGATTTGGGTGGGGACAAATATCCAAACTATATCAAGGATTATCTTTGTGACATAGAGCTGGGGACAAATTTCTTAAATCAAATCTCAAAAACACAATCTTTAGGCAAAAACATTGATGAATTTATTACATTATAATGGTGTTACAGTCAAAGTTGACAGATCAGAAGGAAGATGTTTGTAATATCCAAAACCCTCAGTATCTAGCATAGATAGGATTTCCTTCAACTGACCAAGGAGGCAATGATAGAAGTTGCTGTCGTGTAAATGTTTGTTCCTTTCAAAACTCTTGTTAAAATTTAGTTGCCTTTGTAACAGTGTTAAGATGTGGAAACTTTAAGACAAGACTATTTGTAACACTATTAAAATGTGAAACCTTTAAGACATTACTAGGCCATGAAGGCTCCCCACTAATTGGTGGAATTGTTGTTTTTATAAAAGAATGAGAAGTTCAGCCCCCTTTTGATCTCCCTTGCCATCTTGCATTCCCCCAGGTGATGAAACAGCAAGAAGGCCCTTGCTAGCATCTTGATATTGGACTTACCAGTCTCCAAATCTGTGAGCCAATAAATTTCTGTTCATTATAAATTACCCAGTCCCAGGTATTCTGTTACAGCAGCACAGAGTGGACTAAGACAGAAATTGGTATAGAGAGTGGAACTGTTTTTATAACAAACACTTGAAAATGTAGAAGCAGCTTTGGAACTGGATAATGGGCAGAGGCTGGAGGAATTTGGAGCAGCAGATTAGAAAAAGACTATATTGCTGAAAATGAGCATTAAGAATGATTCTGGTGAGGGCTTAAAAGATGAGAGCTGTAGGGAAAGTCTGAAACTTCCTAGAGATTACTTAGATAATCTCTAAGTAGATGTGATCAGAATGTTGGTAGAAATATGAATGGTAAAGGCAATTCTGATGAAGTCTCAGATGGAAATAAAGAACAAGGTATTGAAAATTAGAGAAAAGGCCATCCTTGTTATAAAGTGGCAAAGAACTTGGTTGAATTGTGGTCATGTCCTAGGACTTCATGAAAGGCGGAAGTAGAGGGTGATGAATTTGGATGTCTGGCAGAAGAAATATCTAATCAGTAAAATACTCAGAATATTGCATGGCTTCCTTTAAGTGTATAAAGGAAAATATGAGAAGAAAGAAATGATTTAAAGATGGAATTTATAATTAAAAGGGAAACAGAATTTAGAGATCTGAAGGATTCTCAGCTTGATCCTAATAGAGAATGAAAGAGCATTTTCAGGTGAGGAAATCAAGGCTGTGGCCAAGTGGCCATTTGATAAGATTAGTATGAACAGAATGAAGCCAAGGCTATTAATCAGGACAATGGAAAAATGACCCCAAAGGTACTTCAGAGACCACCAGTACTGACCCTCTTATCCCAGGTCCAGAGTGCCAAAACCTGGGGCAAGTAAAATGGCAAAAGAGAGGCCTAGAGTGCCTTCAGGAACTTGAAGTTCCCAACCGAAGGTCACCTTAAGTCTCTACTTTTGGCATTCAGGAACAGTGTTCTTTAGCAATTCAAGCTGTTGGTAAAGCAGGCCCAGATGTGGCTTGGGCCACAGCTGCAGAGCGTGAACCAGTAAACCCTGGCCATGGCCACATGGTGCTAGTTCTGCAGATTCATGGAATGCATGAGCTGTGGCAACATGGCTTCCACCAGCTAGATTCAAAGAATGTCACAAACAGCCTTGGGGACCAGACAGAGATGTCACAGGGATGGAACAACCACAGAGAGCCCCCACTAGAGCAATGACCAGAGGAACTGTGGGGCCTAAGCTGCCACAGAGAGTCCTCACTAGGACAATGCCTAGTAGAGCTGTGGGGTCAGGGCCACCCCTGAGACTCTAGACTTGTAGAGCTACCATTGTGAAACACCAGCATAGGAGAGTGAAAGACACAAGACTCCAACCTGTGAGAGCTGCAGGGTGGACTGAGCCCAACAAAGTTGTTAGAATAAGGCTATCTAAAGTGCTGGGGCCCAATTCCAAACCTCCCAACCATCACTGTGTCCAGACAGCAGGACATAGTATCAAAAAAAGATTATTCTCAAGCCTTGAGATATAGTATTGTTTGCCCTAATGGATTTTGAACATGCTTACGACCTGTTACTCTTTTCTTCTTTCCTATTTCTCATGTTTGAAATGTGAATGTCCCCCTTGAAAACCAGCACAAGACAAGGATGCCCTGTCTCACCACTCCTGTTCAACATAGTATTGGAAGTTCTGGCCAGCGCAATCAGGCAAGAAAAAGAAATAAAGAGTATTTGAATAGGAAGAGAAGAGGTTAAACTGTCTCTGTTTGCAGATGACATGATCCTATATCTAGAAAAACCCTATCATGTCAGCAAAAAAGCTTCTTAAGCTGATCAGCAACTTCAGCAAAGTCTCAGGATACAGAATCAATGTGCAAAAATTGCAAGCATTCCTGTATACCAACAACAGACAAGCAGAGAGCCAAATCATGAATGAACTCCCATTCACAATTGCTATAAAGAGACTAAAATAACTAGGAATACAGCTAACAAGGGAAGCGAAGGACCTCTTCAAAGAGAACTACAAACCACTGCTCAAGGAAATTAGAGAGCACACAAACAAATGGAAAAACATTCTATGCTCATGGACAGGAAGAATCAATATCATGAAAATGGCCACACTGCCCAAAGAAATTTATAGATTCAATGCTAGTCCCATTAAATTACCATTGACATTCTTCATATAATTAGAAAAAACTACTTTGCAATTCATATGGAACCAAAAAAGCCCATATAGCCAAGACACTGTAAGCAAAAAGAACAAATCTGGAGGCATCACACTACCTGACTTCAAACTATACCACAAGGCTACAGTAACCAAACCAGCATTGTACTGGTACAAAAACAGACGCATAGACCAATGAAACAGAATAAAGAACTCAGAAATAAGACCACACATCTACAACCATCTGATCTTTGACAAATCTGACAAAAGCAAGCAATGGGGAAAGGATTCTCTATTTAATAAATAGTACTGGGAGAACTGGCTAGCCATATGCAGAAAATTGAAACAGAACCCCTTTCTCATACCTTATACAAAAATTAACTCAAGATGGATTAAAGACTTAAGTGTAAAACCCAAACCTATACAAACCCTAGAAGAAAATCTAGGCGATACCACCACGGACAAAGATATCATGGTGAAAATATCAAAAGCAACTGCAACAAAAGCAAAAATTGACAACTGGGATCTAATTAAACTATAGAGCTTCTGCGCAACAAAAGAAACTATCATCAGAGTGAAGAGACAACCTACAGAATGGGAGAAAATGTTTGCATGTTTGCAATCTATCCATCTGACAAGGGTCTAATATCCAGAATCTACAAGAAGCTTAAACAAATTTACAAGAATAAAACAAACAACACCATTAAAAACTGGGCAAAGGACATGAACACACACTTCCCAAAAGAAGATGTTTATGAGGCCAACAAACATATAAAAAAAAGTTCAACAACACTGATCATTAGAGAAATGGAAATCCAAACCACAATGCGATACAGTCTCACACCAATCAGAATGGTGATTATTAAAAAGTCAAGAAACAACAGATGCTGTTTGAGGCTGTGGAGAAATAGGAACAATTTTACACTGTTGGCAGGAATATAAATTATTTCAACCATTGTGGAAGATGGTGTGGCGATTCCAGCATCAGGTTGTACTGACACTGGAGATAAAAGTCTATTCCTTTTACTATATTAAAATCCTTAATTATTTGAAGACAGCATTAAGCTGAACATCACCAGTTTCTTTAACCTTTCCCTCATCCTGTTTGCTCACACCTGGACCTATGTGAGTTGGCCAGTGCCCTCCCACAGTAAGCCAACAGACCCTGCCACAGTTCTGGGTGAGTACATTGGGATTGACATCTCCCTTGCTTCTTGAACTTCTTTTAATGTGGTCCAAGAGCAGACTCACTTGGGTTGTTGCTCAGTGGATTACACTAGAAATTCCCGGGAAATTTCAAAGTCTCTAAATTACAAAACCCTTCAGTTATAAAGCACTGTTAAGTAGTGGTATTGGACTTAGACCATCATTTCAGACTGCTGAAGCTTGGGTTTTTGTTGTTGTTTGTTTGTTTTTAGTTCAACCTACATTTTTACTGTCTACCAGAATTTTCTGTCTTGAATGAATGTGACCAGCATACCATTATCTTTCAACACTCATTTCTAAGACTATATTGGAAACTCCGTGGCATTCCACTAGAGACCACCTTCCACGCAGTATTGTTCCATCAATTAGTATTCTGACCTCATGGATACACCCAGTCATACAAACATCCACCCTATATAGACATGGTTTCCATTCATAGACAAGAATTGTAAATTTTAAAATATCAAATGTACTAAGAGGTAAATTTTATGATTGTTACTAAATTTAGAGTGATTTTTACTATACCTTCATGTAATTTTTCTTTCCATAGGAGTGCATGTTTGAAATGAAAATGGAAATTAGCCCAGGCACGGTGGCTCACGCCTGCAATCCCAGCACTCTGGGAGGCTGAGGCAGGTGGATCATTTGAGGTAAGGAATTTGAGACCAGCCTTCCCAACATGGTGAAACCTCGTCTCTACTAAAAACACAAAAATTTACCGGGTGTGGTGGCAGGTGCCTGTAATCCCAGTTACTTGAGAGGCTGAAAAGAGAATCACTTGAGCCCAGGAGGTGGCGGCTACAGTGAGGCGAGATCATGTCACTGCACTCCAGCCTGGCCGATAGAGCAACTGCTCTCAAAAAGAAAAAAAAAAAAAAGAAAGGAAGAAAGAAAGAAAAAAAAGAAAATGAAAATTAATGGGAAAATGTGGCTGTGTATAAACTTTCACTGACAGACACATTTTCTGACAGAGCCACGTGGTGATGTGCAGAGAGGATTTGGATGAAGAGGAGCTGCTGGAAGCTGTGGAGTTGTTTCTGTGAAAAACGTTTCAGTGAGTCAGAATTTCTAGAGCTCAAGAGTGAGCGGGGGGGGGGCGGAATTAGAAACAGAAGGTGCATTCATCAGGTTTGAGATAACAGAGGGGCCTGGCTGACTACTCTGCACGCTGTGAGCCTAATAAATACCATTCAAATTAATGCTCCAAGAATTGTATGTGCTCCAGTTCCTTTTTCAACCAGATATAACTTGGGAGTGAATAAATGTGAGAGAATTGAGGTCAGTATTTTTTTTAAAGGAATGCAGAAGGGAGGAACGAGAGAGAGGCTGATTTAAGTCAGAGACTTCAAAGAAATGAAGGTTTGATGCGACTGTCCTTGCAGGCTGAGAACAAAACGGGCCTGAATAAGCACAGAGGGGAGGCGAGGTTCAGGGTGAGCTCCTAATCACCTGCTGTATTTACAGGAGAGAAGACAACAGGAGAAGTTAGGGAAGATATTAATTGTATATCCAAGTTAAAAATTAGTAAATATCTGTCAAATTCCAAGAATAGAGTGAGCATGAGGGAATATGAGGAAGTGGAAGGAGAAATTGAAAGGTGTCAAATTGTCATTTAGAATATGGGCAAAATAATTCCTACAGGTGGAATATTCCATACTTTAGCAGCACAGAAAGGCTGAGAACATAAGGAATCAGAACTTGGCCTGGTCAGCAATGTGGTTTTTCCCTCTTCCTTTTTCTGCTTCTATTTTTGGAGACGTAGAATGGCTCTCATATCCTATCATTACATTAGATGGCCAACAAAACAGGAGAAATTTCAGATTACAGTAAATGCTAGCATAAATGAGATTTTTTATTTTCAGAAAACATTTTCTATTTATATCATGAATTGTACTCGTTTTGTTTTTTCCACCCAATTGTATACAAAAATACCACTAGTTTTGTTATGGAATTTTTCTATTTGATTTACTTGCACACTGTAGCGGCAAAGAGGTGTCCTGTTTAATGAGCCTAACTAAGGTAATGATTTGTCTTCACACACAAACTGCAAAACAAAAGATTAATTCACAGACCTTGGCATGCAAGTAAAGAGAACTGGTAAATCAATTGTCACCATGTCTGTAATCAATTGCTTTGTACTGCTTGGGCAGCTCTTCTGTGCAAACATCTTCATCTTCCTTTTGGATAAAGAAATGTAAAACCATAACAGAGTCCATTCAGACATTTACAGAAATTAACATTAATATATTGAGAAATAAAAATATAACTAAAAGTATCAATTAGAATAATTCACGCTTAATTCCTATATTTTCTGCTGGTATGGTTATAGATTGAGAATAACATGACCAAAGACTCTGTAAAGGCCACAGATTTCTTTATGGAGAAAACTGCAGAAGATGAATACTGAGAAGGAAAAGTGAGTTGATAACACTGGATGGAAGAGAGAGGAGCGTGTGGGAGTAGGCTGACTGGGAGCTCCTTCCAGACTGGGCTCTGCCAATTGACGTCAGCCTGCCATGAGCCTCCCCCAGATTCTGCAGACCAGCTGGGCCGGCCAACTGTGCAGGCTGTGGAATTGGTGTTAAAATATTTGGATATGGTCATGGGGAGTGAATTGACTCTTAGAATCACAGACTGTTTTCAGTGCTAGCAGAAGCCTTGGAGATTAAACTCCTATGAGAAAGGATAGTTTCGTGAATTCATTTTTGTCATTTATATAAGCCAGAAGAATTTATAATTTTAAATCAGATTTGAATTTAGTAATCAGATAAATGAGTTAACAGCTTTTGAAAATAAACTATTTTGTAAGTTCATATTGTAGGGCTCAAGAATATGACACCCAGTACATGGAGCAGAACCAGGAGATTTTTTAAAACTGGGAATAACATTTGGAGAAAGGGGAACTTAAAGCTCAGCCACCTAGACTCGAAGTCAGTCATCGATGGATCCAGCCAATAATTATTGGGCACTTTCTGTGGGCCAGGCCATGTTCTAGGCACTGGAGCAAACTCAGTGCCACAAAAGAAAACAAATAGAACTCTTTGCACTCATGAGACTGATAGCCTAGTAGAAGAGACAGAAAATAAGAAAATAGACATAAATAAGTAAATTGTTTAGTCTAAGATGGGAACAGTGTTTTAAAAAAAGCAGTGTGAGAGTATTTGGAAGAGGTGATGGGGGGCTGGGAGACAGGTGGCAATTTTAACAGAATGGTATACAGTATTGGTCTTCTTGGGAGATAGTTATTTGGGCAATGACTTGAAGAAGGTGAAGGACTGAGCTGAGCAGACATTCGAAGGAAGTGCTCTCCAGCAGGGGAGCAGCTGCTGCAAATGCCCCAGGGCTGAACCACACTCGGGGGATTCAACAATGAAGGGCAGTGTTGCTGTAGCAGGGAGCTAGGGCAGAAAAGCAGAAGACGGGATAAGGGAGAGCGCTGAGAAAACCCATCAGAACCTGAGGCCATTGTAAAGCCTTATCCTTTACTCGGAATAAAATGGAGAATGATTAGAGAGTTTTAAGCAAAGAAGCCAGAGTGGGATGATCCGATTTACAGGGCAGCAGCAGAGAAGGGAAAGAAGGTCCAGACTCTGAATATATTGCATCTTGAAGGTGGCATCAACTGGACAAGGTGAAGGAAAGAATGTGAGATGTGACAGAAAAAGATGTGTTGAGCATGACCTGATGTTTTTGGCCGGAGCTACGAGAGAGATGTTTCCATCAGCAGAAGTAGGGATTAAAGCATTATTCTGTCACCTACTGTGTGCTAAGCCCAAGACCAGGTGCTAAATCCCTAAGCGTGAGCCAGGTCAGTATTTTTTCATCTCCAGCTCATGACCAATTTGGTTTTTACAAGTTAGTGATTCTTAACTAGAATTTTAAAAAATCAAATGGAATAATGTTGTGGATACTTTGGTGCCATACCAAGACAACTGAAGTGCTGCTGGGAATATCTGTTGCTGCTGGCTCATGGCTGCACTTTTCATTGGCTATCACCTGTGACCACAGTGAACCACTTGCCTTAAAGAGAAGCACAGTCAGTGCCTGACTGATGTGGGTACAAGGTCGAACCTCTTGAGTTCAGTTTGGTAAGAATCAGGAGAATCAACCCAGTTCCAGGGCTCCCCAGAGGATGGGCTGAGGCCTCAGCATCTTCTGCTTCTGGAAATGAGGCAAATATCAAGGGCCAAATCCTATTGAAGTCCTGATGACATGCTGAGCTTGCCAAGACAATAGAGGCAATGTGTGCACAAAGAGGAGCAACAAGATCAAGAAAATACCTTTTGGTGGGTCCTGTGGCCTGTGCAAACCAGGGAAGGGTCCTGCTAGGTCAAATGAGTCTCCTCAGGTCACATTTCCATATGGTGCTGGCCAGGGTAGTAGGTGAGGCCTCCGAGTGAGGTGAGGGTTATGTCACACAACAGGAGGCATTGGATGTTAGGAAATATCTCCATTTTATACCCAGATAGATAGTTGCATGGCTTATGTGACATTTTTTAAGGAGCTATGCACCATAAATCCATAGCTTCTAGGTTTGTTTATGTTAAGCCACAATCCTTCAATAGATGAGGACTCTTCTGGAAAATGTAATTATCAGGAGGTCCGGTTATAAATATGTTCAAAAAGAGATCAGACACAGTCGCCTACCTATTTTCTTTCCTGGGAGTGTCTCCCTGCTGATCTTATACTTTCCCAGGAACTCTTTCCCCCTAGACAAAATTTAATATCCTAGCAAGAACTCTGGAAGATAATGCAAACATAAAGCCAGGCTGACTTGGGACTTTGGAAGTGATTGCTTTTTCTATTAAGTGAAATAGGAATCCCAGAACTTCCATGATAGATGGTGAAGGGAGAGATCTTAGAAAAGTGGTCACAAGTGAATATACAACCTAAGTCCAGAAAACCCACAAACTGACTATGTTTTGAGGAATGCCCATAGGACACCCTGTTTACTCTATTAATATAGAATGCTCAAAGAACTTCCACTTCCAGCCCAGATAAAGTAACAAGGGACTGCATTTACACTTCCACTTTAATAACTATAAGAACAGACAAAATACATAAAACCATGGTTTACAGACACTGGACCACAGGCAGGTAAGAATGAGATCCCAGAAAGAAGGGAGACAAATGAAGTGAGCTCTATGATTGCCTCAGCACATGGTCTGGAGGCAGTTCCCAGACTGCAGGGCAGGGAGGAAAAACCAACGAGAGCCTGGCAGTCCTAAAAACTTTAGGAGACATATATTGAACTTCAGGAAGGTCAAGGAGGCTAGAATGTGCACGTGCAAAATATAAGAAATGATGGAATTACAGAGACAAAGTAAGAGTTTCAGAGATTTGCAGAGGGGTTCCCCTGAGTCATTGAGTGAATACTGATCTGTACATACATGAAAGGCAATTATCTATGGCCAAAATCAGAACAATGGCCAATAAAAAGAGTAGATACCACAATTTTTGTAGCTCACACAGGACTTGGACTAGTTAATATACCCACTAATGAGACTGAAAGACCTCTTAATACATGAAGCATCAGACAGATCTTCATAAGGGCCCCACTTTAATACTGGGGCTATATTTCAGCCCTAGATTAATGACTGTTATGGACTTACTCTAATACAGCTTTAAAGATAGCTTCAAAAGGATACAACTAATTGTAATTTCATAAATGAAAAAATTCAACAGTTTTTAGAAAAATAGAATCAAATCCAGAAACCAACAATTTAAAATGGATGATATCCAGGAGATAATATAAAGCTAACTGGCAGGCAAAAAACAAAGAGAGACTTAAAAGATATTACAAATATACTGCATATATCCATGAAGGTAGAGGTAAATATGAACATGATGTAGAAATAGAAGATATTAAAAAAATCAAAACTGAACTCTAGAGATAAAAATTCAATATATGAAATTCATTATATATTGGATGGGATTAATGCTACATCCTGCTGGTATTAAAAAACAGTAAAGTTGAGAACACAGCAATAGAAACTATCTAAACTGAAACACACAGAGAATTAAAAAGCTGAAAAATGATGAGCAGAGCATCACCGGCCAGTGAAAAATATCAAGCAGTTTAGGCAGGGAGGGAGAATAAAAAGTATTTAAAAAAAATAATGGCAAAGCAATTTACAAATTTAAGAAAAATTTTAAACCTACAAATTCCAGAAACCCAGTGAGCTCTAAGTAACCAAGAAAGAAAACAAAAAGTAAGAAGAAAATAAAACCAAACAAAGCCATGTCAAGATATGTTATTAAATTGCTAAAAAAACAGAGATAAGGAGAAAATCTTACCAGTAGCCAGAAAAATAAAACATTGCACACAGAGGAATTATGTTAAGGATGACATCAGACTTCTTATCAGAAACTATGCAAGCCAGAAAACAATGGAATTGTGAAAATAATTTAAAACCATTAAAATAAAGTTAAAATAATTAGAAAAAATTAAGAGTAAAAGTAATTTTTCAAAAATTAAAGTTAAAAACTTTTTTTTTCCAGAGAAACAAGATGATAGAATTTATAATCAGCAGAGCAGGAATTCAAGAAATCTTAAAAGAAGATTTTCAAGCAAAAGAAAAATAGTTCCAGATACAGAGTTGATCTAAACAAAGAAATAAAGAGTATTGCAAATGATAAATAGGTAAACATATGTAAACTTTTTTCTTATTTTTATTTCTTTAAAATATAATTGATGGCTTAAAGCAAAACTAACAATAATACATTGAAGGATGTATAACATATGGAGAAGTAAAATGTATGAAAAGAGTGGCCCAAAGAACAGAAGGATTTAATGTAAGTAGACTGTTGTCGGGTTCTTATATAGTACATAAGGTAAGATAATGTTATTTGAATGTAGATTGTGAGAAGTTCAATGCATATGTTGTAAATCCTAGAGCAACTATAAAAAAACAACACAGAAAAGTATAGCTAACAGCCAATAGTGAAAATAAAATGAAATTATTAACAAAACTCATTTAATCTGAAAGGAATAGAGAGGAGATAGGACAGATAGAAAATAGACAGCAAAGTGGTCATTTTCAATGTATCCATGTTGATAATTACATGAAATAAAAATGGCCTAAATGCTAAAATTAAATGTCAGAGACTGTCAGACTGGATATAAAAGCAAGATATAACTATAGGCTGTCTATAAGAAACCCATTTTAGATATAAAACCACAAATCAAAAGGAAAAGGATGAAAATAATATCTCATGAAAACACTAATCAAAAGAAAGTTTGAATGGCTATCTTAATGACAGTCAAAGTAAATATCAGGACAAGTAATATTACCGGAGACAAAAATCAACATTTTACAATAAGGAAAGGAGAAATTCATCAAGAGAAATGATAGTCTAAAATGTGTTAACAGGGGTACAAATAACAAAGGTACAAAATACGTAAAGCAAGAACTGATAGAACTGGAAGGAAGAAAAGAACCCACATCTAAAGTTATAGTTGGAAACATCTACATTTCTCCCTCAGTAATGAAATAAATATGAGTCAGGATGTAGATGATTTGAACAACATTATTGTGCTAGTTTCCCATGGCTGCTATAACAAATCATTACAAACTTGGCCATTTAAAACATAGCAAATTAGCTTCATCAGCTGTCACAAGTATGCCACCCTGGTGGGGGATGTTGATAAGGGAGGAGGCTATACATGTGTGGGGCAGGGAATATATGGGAACTCTCTGTATCCTCATTTCAATTTTTCTGTGAACCTAAAACTGCCCTAAAAAATGAAGTATTAAAAAAATCAATTGGCCAAGAGATGGTCAACAGGTTAGTGACTGCTGGGGTTAGGGATGGTGGGGGGTGTGGGAGGGTAGGAAGAAGCGGATGGATGTGACCATGAGGGCAGCATAAGGAGATCTTTGTGGTGATTCATGGAATAATTTTTTTTAAATCTTCTTTATTTTTATTTTTATTTTTTGAGACAGGGTCTTGCTCTTTTACTCAGGCTAGAGTGTGGTAGTAGGAACATCGCTCAATGTAGCCTTGGATTCCTGGATTTGAGCCATCCTCCTGCTTCAGTCTCCAGGATAGCTGGGACTTACAGGCATGTGCCACCATGCCCAGCTACTTTTAAATTTTTATTTATTTATTTATTTTTGTAGAGATAAGAGTCTTGCTATGTTGCCTAGACTGGCCTCATAGTTCCGTATCTTGGATGTGGTGGTGGTGGTTATGTGAATCTACACATGTGGAAAAATGACACAGAAATAAAACTATACACATGCCAATTTCCTGGTTTTGCTATTGTACTGTATTATATAAGAAGTATTGTATATTGTATTGTATTGTATTACACAATTGCTATTATATTACATTATACAAGACATAACCACTGGGGGAAGCTGGGGAAGTGTACAAAGGATCTCTTTGTACTATCTTTCCGATTTCCTTTGAATCTATAACAATTTCCAAATAAATCGTTTTTAAAAATTATTCTCTTAGATTTCTGGAGGTCAGAATTCTGAAATGAGTTTCACTAGGTTGAGAGCAAGGTGTTAGCAGGACCACCTCCCGCGGAGGCTCTAGTGAGCATTCATTTCCTTGCCTTTTCCACTTTCTAAAGCTGCATTCTTTGCATTCCTTGGCTCAGGATTCCTTTCTCCATCTTCAAGACTAGCAGGGTATCATCTTCACATCTCTCTCTGCTGTCTTCATATAGCCTTTTCCTTCTGTTTGCCAATCTCTCTGTTCCTGACTCTTACAAGGATTCCTATGATTACATTTAGGGCTCAGATAATCCAAGATAATCTCCTTATGTCAAAGTCCTTAATTTAACCATGTCTTCAAAGTTCCTGATATTATATAAGGGAACACTCACAGGTTTCAGGGATAAGGACCTGGATATGGTTATGGGCTGTTATTCAGCCTGCTACCACTATCATACAACTTGCTGTAATTGACTTTTATAGCACACTCATCCAATACAGCAGACAACACATTATTTTCAAGTACAAATATTTATCAAGATAGATTATATTCTGGGCTGTAAAGGAAATCCGCTAAATAAACTTAAGAGGGCTGAAAGCATAAACATGTGTTCTTCCTTCACAACTAAAAATCAGGCCAGGCTCGGTGGCTCACACCTGTAATCCCAGCACTTTGGGAGGCCGAGGCGGGTGGATCACTTGAGGTCGAGTGTTCAAAACCAGCCTGAACAACATGGTGAAACCCTGTTTCTACTAAAAGTAAAAAAAAAAGCCGGGCATGGTGGTGCATGCCTGTAATCCTAGTGACTTGGGAGGCTGAGATGAGAATCACTTGAACCCCGGAGGCAGAGGCTGCAGTGAGGCAATATTGTGCCACTGCACTCTAGCTTAGGTGACAGAAAGAAAGAAAGAAAGAAAGAAAGAAAGAAAGAGAGAGAGAAAGAAAGAAAAGAAAGTAAGAAAGAAGAATAAATTAAACCTCTCCAAGATGGAGGAAAAAATATTAAAAATAAAATAATAAATCAATGAAATAGAAAACAGAAAACCAGTAAAGAAAAATCAATAAATCAGAACTGTGTTATTTGAAAAAGTCAATAAAATTAATGAACTATAATCAGACTGATCAGAGTAAAATTGGGAAGACAAAACTTACCAAAGTCAGCTAAAAGAGAGGGCCATCACTACAGATTCTGTTAGCACTGAGAGGATAATAAGCGAATATTATGGATCACTTTATTTCACAGAAATGAATATGTTAGTGTAGACGAAATAGACATATTCATTAAAGACATGAACTAGCAAACTTATGAAGAAATGAATAACCCAAATAGCACTATATCCATAAAGTAATTGAATTCTAATTAAAAATGTTCCAACAAACAAACAAATGAAACCCTCCAGGCCTAGATAACTTCATTGGTGAAGTCTATCATACACTTAGGGAAAAAATAGTACCAATTGTACATAAACCCTTGCAGGAAAAAAAAAGATGGAATACTTCCCAACTCAATTTATGAGGTCGTATGACCATAATATCAAAAGTAGATTAATATATCTCATTATCAGAGATGTGAATATCTATAACAAAATATTTATAGAACAAATCTTGCCTAATATAAAAAATAATACATCATAAATATGTCAGTATAATCTAATGATAATAAGGATTGATTTAACATTTGAAAACTAACCAAAGTAATTGACCATATCCACAGACCGAAAGGGAATCACCATAAGATCATCTCAACAGATACAGGAAAGACATTTGACAAAATTCTGCATTCATTTTTGATAAGTTCTTGGAAAACAAGGCATATAAATAAATTTTATCAACAAGATAAAGTACATCATTAAAAAGCCTACAGCCAACATTGTACGTAGTGTCAAAAGATTCCATGCTTTCCCCCTAAGATCTGAAACAAGGCAAGAATGTTCACTTTTGTCACTTCTATTCAAGGTCATATTGGAGATCCTACACAATGCCACAAGGCAAGGAAAAGAAATAAAAGCATACAGATTGAAAAGGCAAAATTAAAGTTGACTTTATCCACACACTACATGTTGTCTACATAGAAAAATTCCCCTAAGAATTTATGTAAAACTACTAGAACTGTTAAATGATTTTAGCAAGCTGGCAGGTCCGTAATCAATACACAGAATTCACATATTTCTATGTACTAGCAGTGATTGATTGGAAATTAAAATTTAAACAATACCATTTACAAGAGCATCAAAAACATGAAATATTGGGGATAAATTTAACAAAATACATTGAAGAAGTCTATACCGTAAACTAAAAAAAACCAAACCAACATTATTGAAAATGATCAAAGACCAAATAAATGTAGAGAGATACCATACTCATGGAATAGAGAAATCAATACTATCAGGATGTTTCCTTGCTCCAAATTGACCTATATCTTCAATGCAATCCCAATAAAAATCCCAGCAGGCATTTTTATAGAAATTGACAAGCTGATTTTAAACTGTATTTGCAAATGCAGTGACCTAGATCATCCAAGACAGTTTTGAAAACTTATGAAAAAGCTGAAGGAATTGTGCTACCTAATTTCAGGGTTATTATAAATAAATTGTGGCAAATGCACGTCACAGAATACTATCACGGAGTAAAAAGGAGCATATCACATATTGTGTGATATACACAACAATATGGCTGAATCTCAAAGCAGTATGCAAAGTCAAATAAGCCAAATGTGAAAGATGGCATACTGTATGATTCTGTTTTTGTGAAATTCTAGGAGAAGCTAAACTCTAGGGACAGAGATCAGATTAATGGTTGCCATGGCCCAGGTTTGCAGGAGTGCACAGAATGAAAAGTGATATGAGGGAACCTTTTGAGGTAATAAAATTCTGCGCCATGATAACACTCAATTCTACACTTAAACTGCTGAATTTTATTGCATGTAAACTACATGCAATTATTTTTTTATTTAAAAAAATAAAAAATGCAATGGTAAGAGAAGCATTATTATTACTGAGAGTCTCTGCCTTAATCAATAACTGTTACGTGGTGCTATGTTTCCAAGTGTGATATATGGGTCTAGGAAACAAGGGGGTGGAAGAGAATGAGGTGTTGCCTCACATCACCACAGAGAACCCAATGAATGTCCCAATCAATCACCCAAGGATGATGTGTGCTTTCAACTTTAGGTTTTGCAATTCTAGAGGTCCTGGTTCTCAGAGGGCAAACGTTTCCATATTTCCATGTGGAGACACAATAAGAGTCCCATTAGATTTCAAGCTATGGCTCTTGCCCAGTCAGTTCAGGATCCTTGTGTCAAGAGACAAGCAGGCAAGGAAAGAGGACTCATGTTGGCTTGGGCAATGGACTGACTTTCAGAAGAGCTGGGCCTGTCACTTTACATGGGGGAGAAAAGAATATGTTTGTTGTTCAGGTGACCCACTAGTGGTCCTATGCTCGATTTCTAAATTGAAAAAAATGGAATAATCTCAAACTTACAAATAAGTTGCAACTAAGAAAATACAAAGGATTTTTTTCAGTTGAATCTTTTGAGAGTAATTTGCCAAAATGATGTTCTGTTGCCCACTAACACTTCAGTGTGTATTTTTAAAATATGGGTAAATTGTCCTACATAACCACAAAGGAACCATTAGCACCAAGAAATGAAATGACACTGCTATCTAATCTGCAGACACCATTCAAGTTCTGCCAATGGAAGCTGTGCAGCTGTGTCAACATTGCTGGTGACAGTTTCAGCCCTTGGTATGGTGGCATTTCAGTGGCACATCCAGAACCAACTGTGACAGCATCTCCAACAACGCAGGGCAGTGGTGGGCTCAGGGACTCCATCCCAGGGGCATTAGCTTTGTGACCTCTGGGAATCACTTGTTCATTTATATCTTCCAACCTTCTCCTCCCTTTTCCTCTTTCAGTTCTTCCAACACTGTATCACTAATCAATTTCCTCTAGAGCTGAAGTACTTAATTTCTGTTTTCTGGCCTGGATCCTGGCTGATACACAGAACACAGTGGAGGACAGAGCAAAGGCTTCATTGTGACTGTTGGTGATACTTCTGAGGCCCTACAATGTCCATCTAGGCCTAGACAGATATCTTATCTTCATTTGCTCTGGGCTTCTCATCAGGTTGATTCATGAATATTCCAGTTCTCCTCTCTTGCCAGGTACAGTAGGTGGAGCTGCACTTTCCACCCACTTTGAAGTTAAGAATAACCATGTGGCTTGCTTGGCTAAGAGACACCTCAAGGAGGAAGTCTTAAAAACCAGGGCACAATCTCTCCCTTGGCTATGGTGGAAGCACGTCTTCATGGGAGCCCTCAGTCTGTTTCTTAAAAGACCACAATGAATAAAGACTTTCTACACAAAATGAACATGAAGCATGAGCAGGAAATTAATACTGTTGTTTCCAGCCACTTCGCTATGGGAGCTCTTTGTCACATTAGCATAACCAAGGCTAACCTGACTCATACACTAACAATGGACTTGAAACTTCCTAAGGATTGCTCATCTCCAGAGTGGCAGTGTGTTTGGACTAGGCTGCAGAAATCACTTTCTTATATAAACATGTTATTTCTGTAAAGTTAACACATACTTGCTTCCTGCCCTTCCAACTTGGCTCACAGGAGGTGGATTTTTTTGGGACCCATTATATGCATAGTGCTTGCATTTCTTAAAGACATGAAGAAGTTCAAGCTGTCGACATTGGGAATAGCAAGTGACCATCTCCAAGGCAGTTGCTTCTCCCTGTGTCATCACATCAGAGGGTTGTGTGAAATAATCTTTTATTTATAAGATGAAATTCATAACATTCAGAGGTCTGCCTCTTTCTTCTTTGCATTCCTGGCCTGCACACTGGCATCAAAAGAAACCTGCACATTTGAGGACAACTTCAGGAGAGTGATTGATTTCACTGAGGCCAGAGTTTAGAGGCCTTTCATGGGGCATTGCAGACATACGGCTTTCCTCATCATTCAGAGAGATTGTGTTACTTATTTCAGGGGATTTTTAATTATTAATTTTTTTAAAACTCAGAATTTAGGAATGCATCATGCCATGAAATAATCAATGATCCATAATCCCAGTCTTTATTTAATTACACATGTTTACTCTGGCTTTGTACATATGACAAGTTTAACTTGTCAAGTCAGCAAATTGGCTCTAGTTAAAATCATTTATAAAACACATAGACAAGAATGCAGTCATGTTGAACACATCAAGCTCCCTCCTCCCCCAGGTTTCTGAGTACAAGGAATTATCTGGGACGCTATTTCTCCTGTTTTTCTTCTGGCTAACTCCTATACAGATAAAATCTCCTTTCTCAGAGAACTTAATGACCCAACATCCAATGTAGGTTCTCTTATTGTATTCTGTATTTTTGTTCTTAATCTTACTTAACAAATTGGTAATAGTATACTTTATTTCATAGTTCTATGTTGATGTCTGCATCTCTGCTAGATTATAGGCACCAAGAGGATAAGAACCACTCTAGAAGAAGACAGCTCACCATCATATTGCATCATCTAGAACACTTCTTGGCACAAAATAATGACTCAACTTATATTTTGTTGAATGAGCTAACTGGTTAATAAAAAGGCAGAACATACTCGTCCCCTGTGCCTTTGCTCATCACTTAACCTTGCAGTACCAACTTAATAGCTGTGTGGCCTTGGATAAATTACAGAACCGCTCTGAGCCTAGGTTTCCTCATCTCTAAGATGTGAATAAAAATAGTACCTACAGGTAATCAACTTAGTCTATTTTTCCCCTGCCCAGGATATGAATCCTGTTGGAGACCAATGCCTCATAGTGGGATGCTTGACGGAAGGTGACCCACCTCCCACTGGAGGGAAGCCCAAGGTGACAAATCAACCTTCTCCCTGCAGCCCCAGCAGCTAAGACATGAGAGTATGACTGAAGTTTAACTAATCAGTTGACCTTCTGGGACATTGATCCCAAGGGAGTGTTACAAAGAAGAGAGGATAGTTAGGAGGTTGTTGGTCGTGGCTGGGGCAGCTCAGGCAGTATAGGGTCAGTAGCGGGGGGTCCTAACCAGATGGCTCTTGGAGATGACTGTGAGCTGTGCCCTATAACTTAACTTCCCTCTCCTCATTGCCTGAGCCTTGTCCTCTAATCCTCTAACACCAATTTTATGGGATACATGAGAGGCATCCAAAATATTCCATTTCTATGTATTAGCCTTTGGTTTCTGTGAGTAGCCACTAGGAACCCTGACTATATAAAATGTTTATGAGGATTAAATGATTAGATAATGCATTTCAAGAGCACTAGAACTTGGTGCTTGAGAAATGCTCAATGAGCATTCACTTTTGTGCTGTGCTCATGGGCTTCTGCCTATCTACCCTTTCCGGATATAAATAAATGAAGAGGATAATATTATATATATTGTCTAATGTTCAATTATACAAATAAAACAAAATAATATGACTAAGACACAACTGGTTCTCTGTATAGCTTCAGAACCACAATAAATATTCAATTATCTGTTTGTTCATTTACTTAATCTGTCATTCAACAAATATTTACAGGACAACTTCTATGTGCGGCACCCTGTGCTAAACACTAGAAATACTGAGCACTGGACATACTATGAAGTAAATAGAAAATCAAGACAAGCAGAAAAGATAAAAAGATGAAAAGTAAGACAAAAAGCTGCAGGGAAGATTGAGGAAACAACTAACTACATGTCCTGGGAGGGGCCTGTATTGCCCCAGCGGATTCTAGCCACACCTACCCAGTGGCAACTGCCTCGTTACCTGATGACGTTTGGTCTGGGGAACAAAGCCCTGGACTCGGAAGCATGTCTTGAGTCTGGTCCTAGATCACCACCACCTTGGGCCCCACTTCCTTCCTTTACATCTGTAGAATGTAATCACCTAGCCCATTTCCCCACAGGGATTTGACGAGAAAACATTAAGATAATAAATAGATAATTACTTGAAAATTCTCAAGTTATTGAGACTTCTGTTAGGTCAGCCATGATTATCATTGTTACTAATATCATAACTAGTGATTTACACTTCTGACATTTCAAAATTTGACATTTTTGTTTTAGCCTCAAGTTGCACAGTTCTAACGTTCTGACAAATGCTGAAGAAAAAGTTTCTTCCCCTTCTAAACAAAATGTAATGGACATGAAATATACCTTGCCATTTTATGGTGGATTTTAAGAATTTCTATTAAAAGCCTTTTGCTTTTGGGAAAATCGAGGATGAAGGAGAGTATGTTTAGGTTGTTTTCTGTCCTGAGAAAAGGAAGATACTTACAGGTAGCCTCCAGTTCAGATTTCAGCATTTTACTGAATCCTCATGAAAAGACACCCAGTATCTCTCCAAGTGTCACTGCCCAGGACTTCAGATTCTTGATGTGCTAGATGATGCCCAGTGTCTTAGACCTGGTTACCAAAACGGTAATTCACTGTGACACAACAGCATGGGCTTACTTTAGCTTAATCTAAAACAAAGAGGAAATGCTATCTTAAAGGAGGAAAGAACCTTCAACATGATAGGGTCCAGCAGCTTCATTTTACAGACCAGGAAACCAAAGTCTAAAGAAAACAAGTGGCTCCTCCAAGTATCAGTCATGGCAGCCCCCTCCTCTCCTCACTTCTCTTCACTCCCTCCCTCCCCAGCCTCTCCACCCCTCCTCATCTCCCTGACTTTTACTCCTGTTATTTACATTTCTTTCCCTCTCAGGGGAACCAAGTTGCCCCACAGAAAATGCCCTGTGGAAAACACATAGGATTTTAGGGTTTATCATACGTGAGTTTGGTTCAACTCATTCCTTTCCTCCCCATTCCTTTATTTATTTATTTATTTTACTTTATTTTATTTTTGAGACAGAGCCTCGCTCTGTCACCCAGGCTGGAGTGCAGTGGTGCAATATCGGCTCAATGCAACCTCCACCTCTGAGGTTCAAGCGATTCTCCTGTCTCAGCCTCCAGAGTAGCTGTGACTACAGGTATGTGCCACCACACCCAGCTAATTTTTGTATTTTAGTAGAGATGGGGTTTCACCATATTAGTCAGGCTTGTCTCGAACTCCTGACCTCAGGTGATCCACCTGCCTCCGCCTCCCAAAGTGCTGGGATTACAGACGTGAGCCACCGTGCTCAGCCCTCACCGTTCCTTTTATAACAGGTGGGCATTAGTCTTTATATTGCTACCACAGTGCCCTAAGTCCTTCTCAATTTTAAATATCAAATCCACTTCCCTGGTCTTTTTTGGGAGTGGCTGGTGGGAAACGCATGTACCAAGACACCGGATGGATCCGAGACTCTCCGCTGTCCCTGTTGTACTTTGAGTTCTGCCGCTGACCTACGAGGGTAGAACACCTTTAGCATTAGACACGGAAAAAGACCTATCAGACCCCTTGCTTAATTGACCCTTACTTCTAAAACAATGCAAGCGTTCTCATGTCTGTAATTGTTTTAGAAAAACAGCTTCTGCAGTCATCGATGTTCTTAAAGTAATTTAATGAGAAAGAATTTGAGAAAGACTGCCTCAAACATGGCTGATATACAGGAGATGGAAGACAAGTCCTTATTGGGGACCTAGGAAAAGGAAATTCTCTATGCAGTTCACCAGGAAAAAGAAAAAAAGAATTTCTCTGCTAAACCCTTTATTGTCAGCACTTTTTCCAGTTTCTTTTGAGTCTTTTTCCTTAGATGCTAAGCTTCTTTCTAGACTGAACAGTCAGTTCTCTGGGCTCACCCAGGACAGTGTCCTCTGTGTATACCAGAAAACAAGGGTCCCTTAACATGTGGTTGAAGGAGCAAGAAAAACAAGTGATAAATTTTCAGTTAAAGGTGTTATTACTGGGGAAAGAATACACACAGACCTTCAAATTATGAGGTTTTTTCTGCCTATGAAAACTGCATGTCATGTGACCCAGTTTTTCCACTTTTAGGTATCTGTCCTAGAAACACGTTTCCACACAGGGGGTAGAAAGTTGTAAAGATTGGCATTCTCACCTTAGTAATAAGAAGAACTTGGATAATCTGCAGAATCATAACTTCTCTTGAGCTTATTGTCAAGCTGACAGCTATCTTTGCAAGGTTGCCAAGTAATCCAGATTTCAAAGACTGACAAAGTGCTCCCAGGAGAGGTGGAGTGTTTCCCTTTAGCATAGCACAGGAGAAAGAGTTGTTTATAAAAAGTGTAAGGAGAAATCACCAAAATTTCATCAAATTATTAAAGCATGGGCTAGTGGGTCCTTTTGGAATGTCTGGGGGGGGGGGTCTCTAGCACAAAAGGAGTTGGCACTCCTTTGCAACCTCCTTTGCATGAGTCCCATTGGGTGCTCACAAGACAAACTGGAGTAGGAGGCCAGTAAGAGCCCCCACCGGTGGTACAGATGCACATCAACTTCTGGCCCCGACCTGAGTCCTGGCTCCCACCTGAGTCCTGGCTGCCACCCTCTGGCCTTCACCTCTGACCTGTGGGGATTAAGGGTAGAAGAGAACCTTGCCTCCTCTGCCAGGGCTGTGGGGTGTGGAGGGGATTCCTCCAGAGAGGAAGAGTGTGTCTGGCTTGGAGACGAACAACAAAACCCAAACTGACTTGATTGACTCAGTTCTACACTAATGTCTTCTCCATTTCCACGTATAAATAATGATCTCCTCAGTCTCCACTCTTTCACACAGTGTCCAGTATTCAGTTTTGACATAAGACAATTTTCTTTAAGAAGATTATGAAATACAAAATAGAGCAAGTTAAATATTTTTCAAGAGATAAAGCAATCAACAAAGCTGGACTCAGATAACCCAGAAGATGAAACTGTTATACAACCAAACTGGGGTCTCCTCACCTGGTGCAGTAAAAACATATCCACACGGAGGTTTTGCAGAGGCAGAAAGGAAACTATTTATCTGCAGGGCACCAAACAGGGAGGACCAAGTGGTTAATGCTCATATCCCACCTTACCCAATGGCTTGCAGGTTAGGGCTTTTAAAGGCATGCGTAAATTTCAGGAAGGCGGAAGCTACAGGCAAAATTGTAAATTGATACATGGAGGGTATACATTGGTTTTGGCCTAAGAGGGGCAAGATGTCTTAAAGTGGGGGCTTATAGGTCGTGGGTCGATTCCAATATTTTCTGATTTGCAATTGGTTAAGAAAAAGAAGCTTTGTTTAAAAATTTGGGGGTCACCAGAAAAGAACCTCAGCTCTGGCTTATGGGTGTGACTTTCTCCAGGTCCCTCAGGACGAAATTTAGAACAAAGAGCAGTGGTCAGAGTTCAGTCTTCAGTTCCCCCTTATCTGAGGTCTATGTGCCAGTGGGTGGTGGGGGTCCTTGGTGGGGATCCGGGTTTCTGAAAGACAACTCAGGCACATATGTTAAGATGCTATCTTCAGTTTCCATAGGGAAAGCAAACACCTCTGGAGTCTAACTTCCTTGACTATTGTTTTAGGCTACCTTGCTTATCAAGTTACTTCCTTACTTCTCAGGGCTAGCTAGATACCTGGAATTTCCCTTGAAGGAATTCAGGGTTTTCCTTCGTTTTCATGCTTGGGGGCCCGTTAGACAACTTTAAGGTAACTATTTATTAATGTGTTAAATGCTGTGATGGAAAAGGTGGATGGCATACATGAAGTTTATATCAGAATGGGTAAGGGTTGATTATTCAGCATACATTGCTGGAAAAATTCTTTATTCAAAAAACTTTTTAGAGCTGTATCTCACTAAATATATCAAAATTAATATAATCTGGATTAAAGAAATTAAGTATAAAAATAATCGATGTAAACTAGAAAAATAACAGAATATTTTAAACTATTGGATAAGGAAGGACATTTTAAATAGAAAACAATGAAAGAAATAAAATAAAATATTTTTTATGTAATAACATAAAATGTACAACTTTTATTCCTCAAATAACATCGTAAGTAATATTATAAGCAAGTAAATTGAGAACCTCTGCTGCAACGTGATGCAGCCTGCTGTCTTCAGGAGACTCACTTAACACGTAAGCCCTCACGTGCTTAAAGAAGGGGTGAGAAAAGATGTTCCATGCTAATGGACACCAAAAGTCAGCAGGAGTAGCTATTCTTATATCAGGCAAAACAAACTTTAAAGCAACAGTAGTTAAAAAAGACAAAGAGCGACATTATATAATGATAAAAGAACTACTCCAACAGGAAAATATCACATTTCTAAATACAAATGCACCCAACACCAGAACTCCCACATTTACAAAACAATTACTACTAGGCCTAAGAAATGAGATAGACAGCAACACAATAATAGTGGGGGACTTCAATACTCCACTGACAGCCCTAGGCAGGTCATCAAGACAGAAAGTCAACAAAGAAACAATAGACTTATACTATACCCTACAAAAAAATGGACTTAACATATTTACAGAACATTCTACCCAAAAACTGCAGAATATACATTCTATTCATCAGCACATAGAACCTTCTCCAAGATAGACTATATAATGGGCCACAAAACAAGTCTTAGTAAATTTAAGAAAATCAAAATTATATCAAGTACTCTGTCAGACCACAGTGTAATAAAATCGGAAATCAACTCCAAAAAAAATCCCTCAAAACCATGCAGAATACATGGAAATTAAATAACCTGCTCCTGATGATTGTTGGGTTAACAATGAAATCAAAATGGAAATTAAAAAATTCTTTTTAAAAATTCTTCTAAACTGAATGATAATAGCCACATAGCCTATCAGAACCTCTGGGATACAGCAAAAGTGGTGCTAAGAGGAAAGTTCGTAGCATTAAATGCCTACATCAAAAAGTCTAAAAGAGCTCAAATAGATAACCTAAGGTCACACCTCATGGAACTGGAGAAACAGAATACATTCAAATCCAAACCTAGCAGAAGAAAAGATATAACAAAGATCAGAGCAGAACTAAATTAAATTGAAACAAGAAAAAAACATTACAAAAGATAAATGAAACAAAAAACTGGTTATTTGAAAGATAAATGAAATTGATAGACCATTTGCGAGATTAACCAGGAAGAGCGAAGATTCAAATAAGCTCAATTAGAAATGAAACGGGAGATGTTACAACTGATAACACAGAAATACAAAAGATTATTTAAGGCTACTATGAACACCTTTATGTGTATAAGCTAGAAAACTTAGAGGAGATGGATAAATTCCTGGAAATATACAACCCTCCTAGATTAAGGCAGGAAGGTTAGAAACTCTGAACAGACCAATAACAAGCAGCAAGATTGAAATGCTAATTTAAAAAATTACCAACAAAAAAAGTCCAGGACCAGATGGATTCACAGCTGAATTCTATCAGACATTCAAAGAAGAATTTAGTACCAATACTATTGACATTATTCCACAAGATAGAGAAAGAGAGAATCCTCCCTAAATCATTCTATGAAATCAGTATCACCCTAATACCAAAACCGAGGAAGGACATAACAAAAAAAGAAAACTATAGACCAAAATCCCAGATGAACGTAGATGCAAAAATCCTCCACAAAATACTAGTAAACCAAATCCAACAGCATATCAAAAACATAATCCACCATGATCAAATGGGTTTGCATACCAGGGAAGCAGGGATGGTTTAACATACACAAGTCAATAAATGTGATACACCACTTAAACAGAATCAAAAACAAAAATTACATGATCATCTCAATAGATGTGGAAAAAGCATTTGCCAAAATCCAGCATCGTTTTATGATTGAAACCCTTAGCAAAATTGGCATAGAAGGAGCATACCTGAAGATAATAAAAACCAACTATGACAAACCCACAGCCAACATTATACTGAACAGGGAAAAGTTGAAAGCATTCCCCCTGAGAACTGGAACAAGACAAAGATGCCCACTTTCACCACTTCTATTCAACATAGTACTGGAAGTCCTAGCCATAGCAATCAGACAAGAGAAAAAAATAAAGGGCCTCCAAATTGGTAGAGGAAGCCCAACTCCTGCTGTTTGCTGATGATATGATTGTATATCTAGAAAACCCTAAAGACTCCTCCAAAAAGCTCCCAGAACTGGTAAATGAATTCAGCAAAGTTTCAGGATACAAAATTAATGTACACAAATCAGTAGCCATTCTATACACCAACAGTGACCAAGCTAAGAATTGAATCAAGAACTCAACCCCTTTTACAATAGCTGCTAAAAAATAAAATACTTATGAATATACCTAACCAAAAAGATAAAATACCTCTACAAAACACTGCTGAAAGAAATCACAGAAGACACAAACAAATGGAAACACATCCCATGCTCATGGATGGGTAGAATCAATATTGTGAAATTGACCATATTGCTAAATGCAATCTGCAAATTCAATGCAACTCCCATCAAATATGAACTCAAACAAATCAACAAGAAAAAAAAAATAGACGATCCCATCAAAAAGTGGGCTAAGGACAAGAATAGACATTTCTCATAGGAAGATACACAAATGGCCAATGAGCATATGGAAAAATGCTCAACATCACTGATAATCAGGGAAACGCAAATCAAAACCACAATGTGATACCACCTTACTCTTGCAAGAATGGCCATAATAAAAAAAATAAAAAATAATAGATATTGGTGTGAATGTGGTGAAAAGGGAACACTTTAACACTGTTGGTGGGAATGTATACTAGTACAACCACTATGGAAAACAGTGTGGAGGTTCCTTTAACAACTAAAAGTAGATCTACCGTTTGATCCAGCAATCCTACTACTTGTTATCCACCCCAAAGAAAAGAGGTCATTATACAAAAAAGATACTTGTACATGCATGTTTACAGCAGCACAATTTGCAATTGCAAAAATATGGAACAAGCCCATATGCCCATCAATCAAAGAGTGGATAAAGAAAATGTAGTATATATATACCACGCAATACTACTCAGCCATAAAAAGGAATGAAATAATGGCATTTGCTGCCACCTGGATGTAATTGAAGACTATTATTCTATGAGACGTAACTCAGGAATGAAAAGCTAAATATTGTATGTTCTCACTCATAAGTGGGAGCTAAGCTATGAGGACGCAGAGGCATAAGAATGATACATCGGAATCTGGGGACTTGGGGGAAAAGGGTGAGAGTGGGGTGAGGGAAAAAAGACTACACATTGGGTATAATGTACATTGCTCATGTGATGGGTGCATCAAAGTCTCATAAATCACCACTAAAGAACTTATTCATGTAACCAACCACCACCTGCTCCCTAAACAACCTATTGAAATAAAAAATAAATTAATAACATAAAACATGCTACACATATTTTATGCATTTTCATCCTTCCAGACCTTGGCGTTATGAGTTGAACTGTGACCCTCCAAAAGATATGTCAAAGTCCTAACATCGAGTACCTCAAAAGATTACCTTATTTGGAAATAGGGTTGCTGCAGATGTAATTACTCAAGATGAAGTCACCCTGGAGTCAGACGGGCCCTTAACCCAATGTATCTGGTGTCCTTTTAAGAGAGATGGCATGTGAAGACACAGAGACACACAGGGAGAAGACAGCCATATGATGCTGGGAGCAGAAGTTAGGGTGATGCTTCTGCAGGCTAAGAAACACCAAAGGTTGCCAGCAAACCCCAGAAGCTGGAAGAGATAAGAAAGAATTCTCACTAAAAATTAAACAGAAGGAACATGGTAGGTACTCAATAAATTGAGAAGGTTTCAGAAGGAGCATAGTAGGTACTTGATCAATAGTTATTAGATAAATGGCTAGATGTTCTCTCACATCTAAAAGTTATTTTCAGAACCTATGCCACAGGAAGCTTTTAATATAAACTTAATTTGTACAAGCAATATGATATAACTCTCAAACATAAAAGAGAGACATCTGAGAATGGTATGGTGCTTTCGAGTTTTCTATTATTAGTTTTTGATTGAAATGTTAGTGAATATGTTGGTTTATCTCAGACCATAAAGAATGGAAGAAACATAGACAAATGGGAGTAATGTCTATTTTATTCAGGGACAGAAATATAACCAGCAATGACTCTGCTACTGTTCTTAATTGGCTCATAAAACAAGCTTAGGACACTCAAGGTAGTTCTCTAGAAACAAGACTCTGAGATACTGAAAGCAGAACAACTGCAGGTCCTGGGTCTATGAAGGAAGCCAGGACCCTGCCCACAATGCAGACCCCCAACTGTAGGTGCCTATGCCTTTGCACCATGTAGACCTGGTCTCTCTGATGTCTTTCCTGCTTTGAATCCTTATTCCTCAATAGCTGGTTTTTCGAAAACTGGTTTAAACTGTGAAATATAGAAGGACCAAATAATCTGAAGAGGTAGAAGGAAGCTTGTCTTGATCACAGCAAATCCTTAGTATTCAAAACTCTTTCAAGACAATAAAACATCCTAAGGAGAAACAATGTTATGGGGGATAAGAAGCTGAGACTGCATAGACTTTTCCATGGGGCAAAACTTTTCCAGTGAATGTATGTTTTACTTTTTCTTTTCTTTTCTTTCTTTCTCTCTCTCTTTTTTTTTTTTTTTTTTTTTTTTTTTGGTGACAGGGGTCTCTCTCTGTCACCCAGGCTGGAGTGAAGTGGTGCAGTCACAGCTTACTGAAGCCTCTTGACCTCCCACACTCAAGTGTCTCTCCTGCCTCAGCTTCCCAAGTAGCTGGGACTGCAGGTACATGCCACCATGCCCGGCTATTTTTATTTTTTGTACAGACAGGGTCTCACTATGTTACCCAGGCCGATCTTGAACTCATAGCCTTAAGCAATCCTCCTACCTTAGTCTCTCAAAGTGCTGGGATCAGAGATGTGAGCCACTGCACCCTGCCCTGTAGGTTTTTTCCTCATCTCTTACAAAAATAAATACTTTGTGTATTTGCACAATTATGTGAAGGACAGTAGGGATATAAAAGATAATGACTTCTTTGTTTAAAAAAATACTGATGTCTTTCTGCTCCAAATATTCTCTCCATGTCTAGAGGGGAAACAAAGAGTTTTTGGCAATCAAGAGTTGCTAATTTGTATAAAGTTTAATTCTTAAAGTTATATTTTTAACCAAAATTTGAAGAATTTTGAGATGCATTTTAAGGTTAAGTTTTTCATTGATTTTAAGAAACCATAGTTTTGTATTTAATAAATAATTTAATTGAGAGTCTAGAAAGATATGTATCTCTATTAGTCCATACTCATGCTACTATAAGGACATATCTGAGACCAGGTAATTTATAAAGGAAAGAGGTTTAATTGACTCACAGTTCCACAGGGCTGAGGAGGCCTCAGGAAACTTACAATCATGGCAGAAGAGGAAGCAAACGCATCCTTCTACACATAGTGTCAGGAAGGAGAAGAATGAGAGCCGAGCAAAGGGGGGAGCCACTTAAAAACCATCAGATCTCATGAGAACTTACTCACTATCATGAGAATAGCATGGGGGAAACTGCCCCCATAATTCAATTACCTTACCAGGTCCCTCCCACCGCACATAGGGATTATGGGAAATATAATTCCAGATGAGATTTGGGTGGTGACACAGCCAAACCATATCAGTATCTACATGTTAACTTCCAGTGTAACTGGGAAAATTAGTTGTTGATAAGGAAGAAAAATGAAATTTGATCCATACCTTACACCATAAACAAAAATCTACTCCAGAGGGATTAAGAACTTAAATGTTAAAAGCAAGACTTTAATCCTCCGTCCCAGTCCCTTGCCTGTTTTCTCTCAGATCAGTTCCCTCCTCTTTCCAAGTTCTGCTCTGTAGCTCAGAGGGTTGACCTTGGAAACTAATTTCCCAGGCTCCCTGATCCCTGACTTCCACGTAAGATGAGCCAATAGAAGGCACCGGCAGACACTTGAAGGGAAAAAGAGGATCCAGGGCATTTCCTCCTTTCTCAGCTTCTAGTGGTGTCTGGGGAAGGGCTGTGTATCCTCCAAGGTGTCACTTCCGCGGAGATCCCCTGCCCCCAGGTCCCAGCTCCCAGCAGGTGCTCCTGATTCCTGGGCTTTGGTAACATCATACCCTCCTTTGTTCCCCAGGCCTGGGGATGTTGGTGGCCTTCCATGTTGCTGACCTCTGGGTTGTCCTGCCATCCTCATGGTCTTTTCAGCTCTTCGAACACCTTTGTAACAAGTTCCCCTCTTAAACCTCTCTCTGCAGAGCTACCTCTTGTGCATTCTTTTTTTACTAACTCCACCTGACTGACACAACCTCTAAAAAGAAAAAATAAGAGAATATCATTATGTTAAAATTAAGAAAGTGAAGATGAACCCCAAACTGGGAGAATCTATTTGTAAAGTGTAACGGACAAGGAATTGATATGAAGAGCATTTAAAACTCATGCTAATGAATAAGATTTGAAATTATTAAAAAGTATCAAACAGAAATTCTGGAGTTGAAAAATATAGCTGTTGATGGCTTTTTACCCCTGAGTATGGATCAAATTTTGCTGTTTCTTTGTTTGCTCCATAATTTTCTGGTTGAAAACTGTGCAGTTCAAAAAATACGATAGACTTATCCAATATTTAGGTAAATATATGTATATATTCATATATATAATTTAGCAACTATGAATTCTGATTTTTCTTCTTGTAGGTTATACAGCTGTTGCTGATTTTTTGCTTGTTTAGTACTTGTCTAGAGTAAATTTATGAGGTCTGTTTCTCCTATAGTGTGTGACCACTGATGTCTCTGCTCAGTTTTTAAATTCTTGTTTTCATTTTTAAGTATGGTTTCTACGGGTCACCCATGTGTCTGCATAGCTTAGTGTGCAGCCAATGATTGCCCAGAGGCTGTGCTCAAACAGCCTGAGCCAATAGGTCAGTACGTGGTTCGGGGAGAGTGTTCCAAGTTCAGGCAGCTTCCAAGTCTGTCCTGGCTTGAACTTTCAGCCGGGTCCTGCTGCATCTCCTCTGTGTATGTATCTGTGCAGGCTCATGGCCAGCCAGTGGGCGGCTCAGGCTCTCTCCAGTCTCTCCATGTGGCTGATCAGTGGTATCCAAGCAGTCTCATTTCCTGGACGTGGTTAATTTTCTGGCTAGTCTGCTGCTCTGTTTCTTGTCCCAGTCAGGACTGCAACCTCAGGCTAGCTGAGCCACTGCTCTTCCTCAGGGTTTGCCACTGAGATGGCTGCTGTTACAGACAGTGCCACTGGGGGTAGGATTTTGTTGTTTGTTTGTTTGTTTTGCATTCTACTCCAAATCAAGTTAGCTCCCTCTGGCAGCAAAGTTTACTGGTTTCTAGGACTAGCCCCAAACTAGTAGAACTGCCTCACCAATAGAGCTAGAGAGGGATGGGGTCAGGCGCAGGCAAGAATCCTAGGGTCTCCCACTGTCTTACCTGAAGTTCCACAAGTTTCCATGAGTCACATCTTCTAAATTTGTTGTGTGCTTCAGGCCAATTTCCAGGGCCCTGAAATTAGTGGGTTTTTTTTTTTCTTTTTAAATAGTTACGTACAATGTTGCTGGGGTTTTTTGGCGGGGGAAGGGGATTTGTTGAGCTTCTCACTCTGCCTTACCGGAAGCCCTACACCATTACTTAGTTTTCTTAATATATAAGTTTCAGTAGTTGATTAGAAACATTTTTTTCTACTATAAGCATTTGATGTTATAAATTTTCCTTTAAGCACTGTTTTAGCTGCATCTCACACATTTTGATATGCTGTTTTTATATTTTTATCAGAATCAAAATATTTCTTAATTTCCCTTTTGATTTCATATGCAGATAAATTAGAATTTAGAAGAGCATTTAGAAGAGTGTTATTCAATTTCCAACTATTTGGAGGATTTACCACACAATATATTTCTGTTATTGACTTCTAATTTAATTCCATTTTTTTCGGAGAATATGCTTTGTATAATTTCATCTCTTCTAAATTATGAACACTTATTTTTCTGGCCCTTATTTTTCTGGCCCTGAGTGTGGTCTGTCTTGGTAAATATTCCATGTGGACTTGAAATAAATGTGTAGTTTGCAACTGGGGGTGGTTTTCCGGGTGCCAAGGAAGACGAGTCGACGTTTAGTGCTTCTCAAGTCTTCTAACTTTATTACTCTTTTGCCTCTTTGTTCTATTAACTATTGAGAGAGATGAGTTGCAAGCTCCAATTATACTTGGAATTTATATACTTTTTTGTTTTATCAGTTTTTGCTTCAAGAAGTTTGAAAACCTGTTAAGTACATACCAATTTAGCATTGTTATGTTTTTATGGTGAATTGACTCCTATATCATTAAAAAAGATCTGTATTCACAGTAAAATTCTTTGCTCTGAAATCTACTTTGTCTAATGTTAACCTTGCCACTTCAGCATTCTTTTGATTGGTGTTCTAATAATGCATGTTTTTTTCCCAATATTTTACTGTTAGCCTCTCAGTGTCTTTATTTACATATCTCTATCTCACTAGCTACATAGATGTTTTGATTTGCTTTTTGACTAGACTGTTTAGACTAGAAGTCAGCAAACTATGGCCCCTGGGCCACATCCTGCCACCTGGTTGTATAAATAAGTTTTATGAAAACACAGTCTTGTCTATTCGTTTGTGAAATGTCTATAACTGATATTTTTACAACAGCAGAATTATATTGTTATAATATATAATTATATAAATATATTTACATAATACATTTAAATATATTTACATATATTTAATATTATTAAATATATTTAATTAATTAATGTATTTCTATATTATATATTTACATATATTTATGTTATATTATAAAATATATTTATTTATGTTTATATTTATATATTTAATTTTATATAAATATGTATACATTATAAGTATTTTAATATATAAATATATTATATAAATATATACATTACAAATATATTTATAACTATAACTGACTTTTTATAACAGCAGAATTATACATTTATAATATTTAATTCTAATATATAATTATATATTTAATATATTATGTATCATTTACAACTTATATGTACTTATAATGTATATGATATATCATATAATATAATATATCATATATAATAATATATTATTATATTTATATTTATAAATAACATATCTATAAATTATATAACATATAAATATGTATTACATATTATATATTATAATATATTATAATATATAATATATCATATAATATAATATATCATATATAATAATATATTATTATATTTATATTTATATATAAATATATTATATTTATATATAAATATAATATATTTATATTTATAAATAACATATCTATAAATTATATAACATATAAATATGTATTACATATTATATCTAAATTATGTATTATAAATAGGTAATTATTATATATTGCTGCTATTGCAGCAGCACAGGTTACACTGCATGCAAGGCGTAACTGTTTATACTATCTGACCCTTGGTAGAAATAACTGATGTAGACCATTTACATTTACTCTGGTATCGATATGTTTGGGTTTAAATCTACTATCTTTTTATTTGTTCTTCATTTGTTCCATCTGTTATTTCACTATTCCTCTCTTTTCCTGTCTTCTTTTACCTTGACTTGTTTTTAAGAATTTAATTATATTGCTATAATTGGTTTATTAGCCATATAGCTTTTGTTTATATGCACAGTTGCTCTGAGAGCACCTATTATATCTTACTTATCTTAAATTTACCAAATCTACCTTGCAATAGCATCAAGTATGTTATAGTATGTTGTTATGATAGTATGATATTAGGCATATGGAAGAAACTTAAAGTAATTTACTCTCATTTTCTTCCTCTTTGCCCTTTTTGCTTGTATTCTGAGATATTTTCCTTTTTCATAAGTTGTTAACCTCACCATACATTGTATTAGTTTTGCTTTAAACAATCAATAGCTTTTAAATTCATTTTTAAATGAGAATTGTACGTTTTTCAACTTTTTAGTTTTCTAGGTTGAAGGGTAAATCTAGTCTCTTTTTCCCAGTGTGATCATTAATATAAATTTTTATGACATTTCAAATTCAAAATCCACAAATGAAAATGGAGTGACTGTAATATCCAGGTGCCGTCTGGGTGTTCCCATGTGTGACATCACAGGCAAAGCTCCTATGAGGATTATACCATTATCTATATTTATAAATCAGGAGGTGAAGGATCAAAGTGTTAAACAACATACAGCATCAGTCTCACAAGGGCACTGCTATTTGAAAACTTACGAGGAATAGGAAACCTATGAATCATTATGGCTGTAATTTCAGTAATTCCCAGAGGTGTGCTGTGAAAATTCAACTTTCAATCAAGAAGGGTGAAGGGTCTGGGACTTTCCCTATTTGCAGGCTCACAAACCAGCCTGCGTATTTCCCCAGATGCTCGCTGAGAGGAAGGACAGTTTCTTACTCACAGCATTTGAGGTAGCCAGCAGCTCATCCCCCACAACCCAAATCCCAGAAACCAAGACAAAAGAATTAACTTGCCATTATTTGCAATACAGGAGCAGAACCCTGATTTAGGAAATGTCACATGTTTACAATGGGCATGCGTGTCATTTGCCCTGAGGGGGACTCTATTACAGTGGGCAGTAAGCATGCCTACCCGTCGCCCAGGAAGGAGTTTCTTCTACACGAATATCCTTGAAAAGGTAGTTCAGAACCAAGGCTGTCAGTGTCTCGTGTGCAAGACATTCAGAAACCCGAAAGACCAAGGCAGAATTGTCTCTCAGCATCCAGCCCATTATAAATTTAAGGTCCTGCAGGGATTACATTTTTTTCATTATTCTAGCTTTAGGATTCTTTTCTATGTGTAAATAGTGGATTGTTTACATATTGCAGGCATCTGTTTTAAGGTTTAAGGAAAGGATCTAGATCTAGATGAGTCAGATATTATATTTTATTTCCACATTTGTTACAGTTGCCTGCTTTTTATAAAACTCTGACCTTTTTAGTTGAATTTTATTTTCTATTTTCCATCAATAAAGAAATAACTTTCTCAAGATAAGAGTGGTATTTTAGAAGTGGGAAGGGGACTCGGTTTGTTGTAATCCACAGCTTCAACCATGATGTGATGTACACGGAAGCCCACAGCTGGTGAGCGATAGAGGGAAGACGCCATCCCCAGTCAGCCCTCTTAGCCACGTCCTCTTTCCCTGATACTCTCCTGCCTCTTTTCTGTGTATCCGTGGGGGATAATTTGTTGTTATCTGAGAGCAACACTCCCTGGGCTTTTTATCTCCACCAAGGAGTGGCAGAAGAATATTATTAGCCATCAGATACGGGATCAGAGAAGACAGCTAAACTACAAATTCTCAATTTCTTAAAATCTTACACATCCAACTTGGTGTCTGCATTGACAAGATTAATAGGATAAGAGTTAAATCTGGACTTCTCATCTTGTTACTCAGACCTGCTTATAAAATCCACCTGTGAAAAACAGACCTGCACTTTGAGTTACTGCAGATGAAGTAACCAGCATCAAACCCAACCTGAGCATTTTATAGGAATTTGGAAAATGCATGAAACCAATTCCTGCTCTGCTTTTCTGATCTTCCACCTGAGAATGTCAGGAGAAATCACATGTAGCTTGTGGGATATTCAACAGTATAATAAACAGATAATTCCTATCAGACAAGACATTTCATTTTAGGGGAATAATTATCAATCTAGAGATAATGTATTAACAGCTCACGCAAAGCCCTGAGGTTTTCATTATGCTTCTTTTCTATAGCAAATGTAGCAGGCTGAATGCAGGGAAACATTTTTACAAGACCTCTTAGTGCCCAGGCTCTTAATTTTTCATTCGCACGTGGAAAGGTTTCAAAGAGGAGTGTTCACAAGACTTAACTCACACGCCCCTCAGTATGGACGCCAAGAAATGCCTGGCTTCTACCTTTTCTCGTCTAGGCCTTGTGATTAGAAACCATCTCTACTGCCTACTCTACAAATCATCTCTATGTGCCCAGTGCCTGGAGAGATAGAAGCTCTCTTTCTTTCATTGTAGACAATTTGGAGCATATAAAGATGTGTAAAGTAAAAAGCACACACACGCACACACACACACACACACACACACAATCTTCCTGTCCTAAAACAACCATGACTAACACTCGATGTGTTACAGGAAGTTGTTCTTTCTGGTGAAAAGTGTGAGAGGGAGGAAGATGAGGGATTTACTCATGGTCACCTCCTGAACCCAGGAAAGGAACAGAATCCATTTCTTTGACTTTCTCACTGAAGCTTGAGTATCCACATCTATCTGGGGATATCTGAGGACCCAGCCTGGAGGCTGCCAGGACTTTATTTGCATGAGGAGCCTCCCTAGAGAGACTGACCTGGTGCTAAGACCTTACATCGCAGGAGGTGTGGGAAATGCTGAGAACATTGTCACTTGGATAAATGCGTCCCCTTACCTCTCCAGGATCACATCTGCCTTGGTCTGATAAAAAGACCCAAAAAGATGTTTCACTAAAACTGCACCATTTAGGCTCATACGACCTCTGCTTTACAAAGTGTATTACAAAGGGGAGAGAGGGTCTCCCTGCAACCAAAAACTCTGGCTCTCGGGCTCTCGGGAGCATTGGGAATGTGGCTCCAGCACCCAGCTATGACAGGGATGTGTGATGTGGGCAGCACCCCACCGAGGGCAACAGTGTGGAGTGGAGCCTGCATGCTCCACGTGGTAGCTAGCCTGGGCATGGCAGAGCAAGGGGTGGTGAGAAACACCGTGCAGACACTCATTCGTGGGCAAGAGTCAGAGCCTGTGAAACACTAGCTAAAATTTAGCGCGTCTCAAACTTCACTGCAATTGGAGCCCCGGGGAAGCGCCTAGAAATTACCTTTGCTTTGGGGGTGGTTCCTGGAAATCTGTAGCGGTAAAAGGTCTGCACTTGGTGTGGCAGCCATCTAAGAACTGGCTTTAGGAACCAGAGCTCTCCTCACAGTGTGGTCCTCACATCTGCAGCTCTGGGGAGTAGGCGCTGTGGGTGTTCACTTCCCCTTTCCTAGGCCAGGACAGCTGTGAGTGACCATGTGAATGGCTCACAGCTGCACTTCTGGGGAGAATTGCCCAGCGGGGTCTGAGAGCTCTCAGACTCTGCCTCCAGGCAGGATCAGCCTTGAGGTGGGATGCTGGTTCCAAGCCTCGCCTTGAGCCAGGCCACAGCGTGTCTCCAGCTGCTCTCACATCTTGACTTCACTCCCCTCCTGGCCTCTCCTGCTCCCCACTCCGTGGCAGCTTCCCCTGGGAGCCCTTCCTCAGTTAAGTAAGCAAGAAGCTAGGAGGAGGCAAGAGCTCAGCCTGGAGGCAGGAGCCTGCCTGGAAGGAGCCCAGCCTAAGACCACAGCACTGCCGGGGCACTGGTTAGAAAGCAGAGCCTTGGACTCTTCCTGTGCATGCAATGGGTCCCCAGCCGTCTGTGTACGCTGGGAGCAGGGGCTGAGAGGCTACTCATCAGCACAGGGGTGTGCAGCCGGGGCTGGAGAACACGCCCACCCTCCCACACCTCCGCCCATGCCCCACAGCTCTCTGGCTCTTTTCACGGGAGCTCCCTTTCAATGAAGTCGAAGCTTTCAAAAAAAAAAAAAAAAAAAAAGGCTAAGCAGGAAGCCAGAGGCCTGTATGTGGCAAGGAAAGACCAGAGACCATTTTCCATTTTACAGATGAGGCATGGTCGGTAGAGAAACCCTGCTATCCCAGAGTTTTTGAGGTTTTTAGGAACCTACATTGGAAAAAAGTTGGTTCTAATTTGTGGGTGGGAAAACTTGAAATAAATAAATGTTTAACTAAATGCCCGCAAAATATAACATGGCAATTGGTTACCTGCAATTTAACTCAACCCATATATATTTAATTGTATTTAATGTGGGCTGTGGCAAAGTTTGAATATGTTTGCTCTTTAGTGGCTTGAGGTCTCTATGACTCTACCCAACGCTATGATGAAAGAGAAGGGATATGGAAGCAGGGGCAGCCAGGCCAGCTCAGCCTCAGAGGGGATGCTGGGCTGGCAGAGCACGGAACAGGTAGACTCCTTACCCGCCTCTGGGGCTCACAGCTGGGAGGGATCCCAAGCAAGGGGCAGACTCGGGTGTGCGGCTGAGGGATGGGGAGAAACAGGCCCCACACCAATGCTTTGCTCTCCACGGCCTTGCTATTTCATTTCTCCTAAAATCTGCATAGTGCCAAGTAGAAGGCATAGGACAGAGAACTAGGATGAGGATGGGGTCCTCTGGCTGCCGGCTAACTGGTGTCTCCCTTCTCTTTTATTGGAGATTGATTTCAGTGTGACCTGGAAGAGCCTGCGATTGTTTTTTGAAAGCACTTCCAGTTGAAGTGCTCAGTACTAGGCTGCCCTGGCTTTGGGCCAGCCCTCCCAGAAGCATGCTCTAACCGGGCCCGAAGGCATGTCACCTGGCACATTACTTAGAGCCTGGCTTAGTGACTTAGGCTGTTTACTGTCACTTATTTTCTTTTCGAAATAAGTCCATCAACTTGAGTTTAACTTTGGGAAAATCTAATTTGCACACATGGAAACATACCCCACTGAAGTGTACATTTGAATTAGTTTTGACAAAAGCCTACCTCAGTGTAATCACACCATAATCCAGTTATAGAATATTTCCCTGGCCCTAGAAAGTTCCATTGCAATCAGCTCTCCACTTCGGGCGAGGATGGGTCAGCTTTTGGTGGTTGGAATGCTCCTCTCTAGCATTTTTGATAATGGAATCATGCACTTTGGAATTTGTTGGGTCAGGCTTCTGTGGCAACACGGAATGTTTTTGAGATTTATCCATTGCTATGGCCTGAGTGTTTGTGTCTCCCTCAAATTCATAGCTTGAAGCCCAGCCCCCAAGGTGATGGTATTGATAGAGGCAGGAGGCAGAGAAAGTCTAGGCAGACAGGAGTGGGTCCCCAGTGAAACCCCACCTTCAAGCCAAAAATCCTGATACCCACAGCCCAAAGTGGGAACTTCTATTCCTGTTTGCCCATTCTTTTCCAATTGGTTCTTTCTGGATAATGCCTTTTGCCAATCAAATGTTGCCTTTCCCCAAACTACCTATGACCAGCCCCACCCCCATCCTGTGTCTATAAAGACCCCAGACTCAGTCAGTAGAGGGGAGAGAAGCAGCTTGACTAGAGAGAGAAGCAGCTTGACTGGAAAGAGACAACTTGACTTCAAAGAGACAGCTGGACTTCACAGGAGAGATGGCTTAACTTCAGGGAAGAACTAGCCTGACTTTTGGGGAAGATGACCTGCCTGTCCCACCCCCTCTCCAGCTCCCCTCTCTGCTGAGAGCCATTTCCATTGCTAAATAAAATTCTCCACCTTCACCACCCTTCAAGTGTCCACATGACCTCATTCTTCTTGGATGCTGGACAAGAGCTCAGGACCCACCGAGTATAGATACACAAAAAAGGCTGTCACACTGGCCCTTTGCGTTTGCTGGCAGAGGGCAGCTGCCCCAAAGAATGAGACAAAGAGCCAACTGAACTGATAATACACTACCATCCATGGATGTCAGAACTAAGAGAGCACTGTAACATGCCCTCAGGGGCTTTAGGGTCGCAGGCACCTGCCTCCCCTACCTGGGCGCTGCTGCACAGAGCTTGCTCCTGCTGGGGCCCAGAGCAGCTGGCTGGGTCCTGCACTCGCTTGCTCACATGCTCCTTCCTGCAAGGGATTGAGCACGGTGGGCCGTGTAAACGTTTGCTCCCCTCATGAGTACAATGAAGGGACTGAGAAAAATCCTGCATCATTATTAGGAGGTGGAGCCTTTGGGAGGTAACTAGGTCTTGCGGATGAAATGTAAAAGGGGAGGAGGCACAAGGTCTCCTTCTCCCTCTCCCTGTCCCCCACCTCACTCCTTCCCCATCCGCCTCCCTCTCCCCCTATTTCTCTCTCTCTCTCTCTTTCTCTCTCTCCCTCCCTCTACTGTCCATCCTGTAAGAAAATAATAAGATGGTGGCCATCAGAAATCCAGGAAACAGCGCTTACCAGACATCAAATCTGCAAGCACCTTAATCTTGGATTTCCAGTTCCAGAACTGTGACAAATAAATGTGTGTTGTTTAAGTCCCCTGATCTGTGGTATTTCTATTACAGCAGCCTAAACTAAGATGTCCATAATGTCGTGTTTATAAGCAATTTGCTCCTGATCGCAGTGGAAGCTGACTAGTGTTCCACTGTATGCAGGGACCACACCCCTTCATGGACACTTGGGTTGATTCTACTTTGGGGCTGATTATGAAGGAAGCTGCTGCAAACATGTAACTGTACATGTGCTTTCATTTCTCCTGGGGAAATACCAAGGAGTGGAATTGCTGGGTCATAGGAGCATATGCTAGTCTCCTATTTTCTGAAAAAGTTTATGGTAGACTGGTGTTATTTTTTCCCCGAAATATTTGATAAACTTCACTGTTGGAGTCTTTTGGGCCTGAAGTTTTCTTTGTGGGAAGTATTTTTAAAATAGCTTTATTGAAAAATAATTTACATGTTGTGGAGCTTCCCCATGCTTAGTGTACAGTCTCATGAGTTTTGGGAAATGTGCACAGCATTGCAGTGACCTCATGCCTCCCTGCAGTCACGACCCTCACCAGGCTCCAGGCCACCACCGATCCACCTACTGTTGTGTTGATTTCACTTCTTGAACATTTCCTGCTAATACAGAGGACAATTTCTTGTGTCTAGCTTCTTCTAGTGACTATGATGTTTTTGAGATTCATTCATACTGTTGTGGTTATCACTGTTTTATATATATATATAAATATATAAATTTATATATAAATAAAACATACAAATTATGTTTATAAATTTATATATTTATGTATAAATATATATTTTATTTACATATTTATATATAGATGTATATTTATATATAAATTATATATAATATATAATATGTTATATATTTATATATTATAATTATATATTATATTTATTTACACATTATATAAATATATATAATGTATAAATTATACGAAATATAGCATATATTATACATTATATATAAATATATTATTTCATTTATTTGTTAATATAAATAAATATTAAATAAAATATTTTATTTATATATTTATAAATATATACATTTATTATATATTTATAAATATATATTTTATTTGTATATTTATATGTAATATAATGCATAATATATAATTATATACTTATATATAATTATATACAAATTATATATAATTTTATACATATTAATGTATATATTTATATTTTATATAAGTATATATTTTATAAATATATATTCATATAAACATATATATTTATATATAATATATAAATATATATAAATCATATAGATACATGTTTATATAAATTACATATAATATATAAAAATATATAATATATAATATATAAAAATACATATTTAATATATATAGCATATATAATATATTAAGTATATATTTATACATAAATATATTCAATATATTTATAATTTACATAATGTAACTATATTAAATATATATTTATACATACATAAGATATATAAATTTATAAACATAATTTATATATTTTATTTATATATATACTTATATATTTATATATATAAAAAACAGTGATAACCACAGCAGTATGAATGAATCTCAAAAACGTCATAGTTACTGGAAGAAGTTAGTCACAAGAGAATGTCTTCTATATTAGTATGAAATGTTCAAGAAGTGAAACCAACACAACAGTAGGTGGATCAGTGGATAAATTTGTATATAATTTATATATTATATATTTATATATAAATAAAATATATAAATATATAAAATAAAAATTTATAAATAAATACAATATATAGATAATAAAAATATAAAATATATAAATATAAATATATATAGAACTGTTTTATATATATACCAAATTAAGATTCCATTGAATGGATTTACCACAGTCTTATTTATCCATTTAATAGCTGATACACATTTGAATTATATCTTTTTTTTGGCTTTTATGAGTAATGCTGTTATTAACACACACATATAAGTCTTTGGGCAGAAACATGTTTTAATTTCTTTAGAAGTGGAACTGCTGGGCTGTGTAAATAATGTATGTTTAATTTTAAAATAAATTGATACACTGTTTTCCAAAGTGTCTGTATGGTTTTCCATTCTCACATGCACCGTGTGAAGGTCCTAATAGCTCAGCATCCTCATCAATATTTGGTATTGCCAATCTTTTTGACTTTATGCCAGTGAGTGTGTAGTGTTATTTCATGGTATATTTGCTTTGAGCTGTTCTGATCACCACGTTGAGCATCTTTTGATGTGCATGTTAATAGTCCAAATATCTTTTTTTATGGATTCCACTTAAATCTTTTGCCCAGTTGTTTGTCTTATCATTATTTAATTGTTCTTTCTACAATCTGGATATAGGTAAGTGCAAAAGTAATTGTGGTTTTTCTATTGAAAGTAATGGCAAAAACCGCAATTACTTTTGCACCAACCTAATATGTAATTTCTCAAGTGCTTTCCTACTTTGTCAGATGTATGTTTTACAAGCATTTTTTTTCAGTTTTTGGCTTGCATTTTATTTTCTTAAGAATGTTACATGATAAGCAAATGCTTAAAATTTCGGTGAAGTTCAATTTTCCATTTTTCTTCTATGATTTGGGCTTTTTCTGTCCTAAGAAATAATTATCTACCTAAAGATTGTGAAGATTTTCTTTTGTTTCCTTCCAGATGTTTTATGGTTTTAGTTCTTACATTTAAGTCTATGATCCATTAGTAATTAATTTCTGTGTATGGTTTAAGGTAAGACTCTACGTTTATTTTTTTATACAGGTATTTATTTAATCTAGAATCATGTATTGAAAAGATTTTCTGTTACTTGTTGAATTATCTTGCCCTCTTTGTTCAAAATCAATGCACTATGTTAAATATGAGTTTGTTTACGTATTAGTCAGGGTTCTCCAGAGGGACAAAACCATTATATATATACATATATATCCTAATATATATATCCATATATATATATCCATATATATATATCCATATATATATATCCATATATATATCCATATATATATATCCATATATGTATCCATATATATATATCCATATATATGTATCCATATATATGTATCCTTATATATATATATCCATATATATGGATATATATATACATGAAAGGGAGTTTATTAGGGAGAATTGGCTCATGCGATCACAAGGCGAAGCATCATGATAAGCTGTCTGCAAGCTGAGGAGGTAGGAAGCCAGTAGTGGCCCAGTTCAAGTCCAAAAGCCTCAAAAGCAGGGAAGACAACAGTGCAGCCTTCAGTCTGTGGCTGAAGGCCAGAGAACCCCTGGCAAACCACTGGTGCAAATCTAAGAGTCCAAAGGCTGAGGAACCTGGAGTCTGATGTCCAAGGGCAGAAGGAATGGAAGGAAGCATCCAGCAGGGGAGAAAGATGAAGGCCAGAAGACTCAGCAAGCCGACTTATTCCACCTTCTTCTGCCTGCTTTGTTCTAGCTGCGTTGGCAGCCAGTTGGAAGGTGCCCACCCACACTGAGGGTGGGTCTATCTCTCCCAGTTCACTGACTCAAATGTCAGTCTCCTCTGGCAACATCCTCACAGACACACCCAGAAACACCACTTTACCAGCCACCTAGGCATCCTCGATCTAGTCAAATTGACACCTAATATTAACCATCACAATTTATAAATTATTAATTCTGTTCCATTGATTTATGTGTCTATCCTTATACCAGTACCACATTATCTTGTTTATTGTTGCTTTACTATGTGTCTTAAAATCAGGTATTATAAGTTTTTCAACTTCGTTCTTTTTTTTGAAAACTGCTTTGTTTCTCCAGGTCCCTTGCATACTCACATACACTTTAGAATTGATTTGTCAATTTCCAAAAAAGTATGCTGAGAGTTGGATCGTAATTGTTTTGACCACTATAGGAGAATTAACATCTCAATATTGAATTTACCAATCCAAGAACATACATATAAATGGAGGTATTCTTTGAGTCCTCTCAGAAGTAGTCTGTAATTTTCAGTGTTCAAGTCTTGCACATTTTTGCACGCTTTTCTTTTTTTTGTTATTGTAATCATGGATTTTTAAAAATTTCATTTTCCAAATGTTCACTGTTAGTATATAAAAATGCATTTGATTTCTTATATTGACCAGATTGTAATGAATTCTTACAATTTTTATGTTTCCTTGGCATCCATTTTGAATGCAAATTTAACTTTCTCATCCAGAGGAAGGACTCAGCTAACCCTGGCACAGTTTCCGTTCTATACCACACCCAAATGGCTTAAGCCAGTGGCCGGAGATGAGAACTTAGAGGCATCTCTCCTGCCTAGCGGACTGGGCTCCCACTTTCCCGCTGTTTCCTTTAAACAAACTAATCAGGCATTTGCCGGTAATCTTAAAGTGATCCACACCCTATTCCCTTATAGACACTGCTGATTGCCACAGGCTTTCCTTTCTCTCTGCCTGGCCCTCCATTCCTTCCTGGCGTGACCTGGGGATGGAGGACTGCACTCTGGACTCATTACATCCTCCCTGCCCAGGATCTGTAAGTAAACTCTTTGAACTAGTTTCTTATTGTGGTGGTGAATTGAGTTTGCACCTTCCATCTGAAGAAAGCACTTGGGGCTGCCCGAGGCTGGGGTTTTCCCTGGACACCGGGGAGAACAGAAGGTTAGGCTTCCAGTACCAGAGCAACTGGACACTAATCAGACAAGAGCCCAGGGCAGGCATAAACTGGACACTGGTCAGACAAGAGCCACAGGGCGTTTGCCAGTATAAACAAGCTTCCCATGTGAGGGATCCCGTTAGTAACGGGCAGAACAGCTGGGCATTAGGCTCTCCACCAGGTAACAGTGCCATGTGAAAGGCACCCTGAAAACACTATGTCCAGTTCCCCTTCATTTCCCATTAGGGCACGGTTTCCAGATGCCCTGGAAGCCCAATTTAGCTGGGGGCTCTCAAAATACAAGTAAACTACAGCTTTGAAATAGTCACTTATTAGGTCCAGAAGATTTTTTTTGTCAACATCGTAGAATTTTCTAAGTAGGCAATCGTGTTTTCTGAGAAAAACATTTCTTGCAAGGCATGTCTATTATCTGATAATGCCAACATACCTGCAACATAAGACTCTAGTTCAATTTCTACAAATTGTGTTTTTTTTGCCTTTTAGTATGTTTTCTAGTTTTTTGTTAAAAGGTGAATATGATGTACTAGGTAAAAGGAACAACAGTAAGTAGGCTTTTAGTAATGAGGTGGTAAGGTGTAGGGAGAGGGGAAATATTCTATAGTCCTATGATTAGGTCTGTTTTTTAGTGAGCCTGTGCCATGGACAGTAAGGTTCACCAGTATTTCTTAGTAACTCCCCTTATGTGGGACAGGGTACTGGTGGGGGCTGGAGTTGCGTATGTTTCTCCCCCAAGGTAGGGTAGGCTCTGATAAAATGCCAGAAGGTTATGCTCTGATTAAATAGTTTCTCCTGAGGGCAGGCCTTTTTGAGAAAAAGAGAAGGCTCTGGTATGTTACAAAAGGATTACATTTTCCCTCCACCTGCATGGGGGAGTATTTCTCCAATATTCATTGTGATGACCTCGTGGGACCCCTAGAGATAAAACTCACAAAAGTGTGAAGGCCCTCTATGACTGTCTCCCCTGGAGTTCTTAACTCTCAAATTTGTCCACAGTGAACCTCCAGCATCTCATTAATAATACAGTTTTTCTTAACAGCACTAGTTCCCATGAAATTTCTGCTCCAGTAAGTTGTGATTTCTGTATGCGTTTGTCTATCTCTCCAAACTGTGGGAAAGCAAATTGCCCTGCAATTTCACTTAAATTCTCTGATGGACCTAAGAAGAATTGTTGATTTTTCAATATGTTCAGTTCTTTATTTGTTGTTAGGATTTCTAAGCTACTTACACATCAGACCAGAAATTGGAAGTGCTTATTATTTTTAAAGGATTTTGCACCTATAGTCAAGAAATATACTAATATTTAGTATATGAGAGTGTTTGAGTGTTTGTGTTTGAGTGTGAAAGTGAGAGAGAGAGAAGAGAGAGAGCGCACACTACTGGTATTAGAAGTGTTCCTTTCTCTTCGGTTTTATACAAGAGCTATATAAGAGTGGTATTATTTCTTTCTTAATTGTTTGATAGAATGAATGATGAAGCCATTCAGAATCAGACTTTTCTTTGTGGAAAGATTTTAAATAATTAATTCAACTTACATGTTATAGATCTGTTCGAATCTTCTACCTCATGCTTAATTTTTAGTTCATTTATTTGAGAACTTGAAATTCTCACAAGTGGTCCTTTTATTTTGTTATTTGTACCTGGAAATCGTTCCTAACATGTCACAGAATAAATCTGTTAGTGTCAACTTTGATTATTTATGTCTTTCAAAGAATTTTTCTATTTTATAAAAATCATCAAATTTGTTGGTGTAGGATTGTTTATAATATGCCTTTGTCATCCTTTTAATGTCTGTAGAATCTGTAGTGGTACTCCTGTTTCATTTCTGGTATTGATAATATCTTAATTATTTTCCTTCTCTTTCATCAGTTTAGGTAAATGTTTATCAATTTCACGTGATTTTTTTTCAAAGTACCAGTTTGGCTAAATTGACTTCCACTCCTGTTTGTATATTTTACAATCTCTAATAATAGTCCTAGTTTTATATTCTATATTGTCTGGCTTTAATATTGTCATTCCAGCTTTCTTATGCTTACTGTTTACATAGTGTATCTTTTTCTAATCTCTGTGTGTGTGTGTGTGTGTGTGTGTTTAAATTTGAAGTGCATCTCTTGTAGAACACATACAATTGGATCTTCCTCTTATAGCCAGTCTGATAATCTCTGCCATTTGACTAGAGTATTTAGGCCATTTACATTTAATGCAATAATTAATATGTTTGTATTTAGATCTACCATTTTGCTATTTGTTTTTGGTCTATCTCATTGAGTTTTGCTTTTCCTATTTGTGTGTGTGTGTTAAACATCATTTGTAATATATAATCTTAATACATTTATTGAAATTTTTCTATATTTTGTGTTATTATTTTAGTACTTTTTCTAGGGATTAAAATATGCAATTTGCGTAAATCAAATAGCCTCTAATTTCACATTGACCTTGTTCTAGTAAAATATAGAAACTTTGTGCCAATATAGTAGAATCCCTACTACCTCCTTTGTGCTAATATTGTCATATATAAAGCCTCTAACCACTTTATAACCTTAACAATACAGTGATTAACTGCTTTTTAAATATATGTCTTTCAAAGAAATGAAGAGAAACACATGCTCTTAAACACACACACTATTCTTATCTTTTATATTTACTAAATGATTATCATCTGGTGTTATTTCATTTTAGCCTGAGTAATTTGTTCTAGAATTTGTTATACCATTGGTATTCTATTAGCAAATCCTCTCAGTTTTTATTTATTTAGAAATGTCTTTTTTTCACCTTCATGTTTGATGGAGAGTTTCATTATATATGCAATTCTTAGTAGTCTGTATTTTATTTCAACCCTTAGAATAAGTTATTCCAATGTCTTCTGGCCTCCCTTGTTTCTGATGAGAAGTTAGTCATTGACTGTATTATTTTCCCACTGTACGTGATGGGTTATTTACCCTTGCTAATTTAATATTTTCTCTTTGGCTTTTTCTTTCAGCAGTTTGATTACCACACATCTTTGTAAGCTGCGTTTCTCTTACTTGGGGTTTGGTGTGCTTCTTGGATGTACGATTTAATGTTTTGTTTTTCTTTCTCAAATCTAAGAAGTTTTTGGCTATTATATTTTCCAGTAATTTTTTTAACCATTTTGTATTTGTCTGCTTTTTCTGGGAATACAATCACACCTAGGTATGTTTGATTTTGTCCCATGAATCCCTGGGACTTTATCCATTTATCTTCAGTCTTTTATGACTGTTCTTCAGGTTGGATAATTTCTAATGATTTTTCTTTAAATTCATTGGGGTTTTTTTTCTGTCATTTCTAATGTGCTGTTTTAATTTTATTTTAGTTATCATTCTTGTCAGTCCTAGGATTTCTGTTGTTAAT